>NC_000001.11:42887168-43190198 GCF_000001405.40 Homo sapiens
AAGAGCACCCCCAGCCAGGTCAGAGTCGGCCCGTAAATCAGCTCCAGAACATTCCGGGCAATGTCAAACTCAGGCTTCCGTCTCCTCTTCAGCTTCTTCTCGGAGATAATCCTCCACATCAATTCCCCGAAAAGCGTGTCCAGCACGTGAGGACGAGTCCATCACCAGGAACCCATACAGCACGGGTTCCTCCCAGCACTGGCCCTGCAGGGCGCCCACCCTGCGGCCCTGCCAGTGGTAGCACAGTGTCCCCAGGATGGCCAGCTTGAGGATGAAGTTCCTGCAGATGGCCACGTACAACTCCAGCACCGGGGAGTCATGCAGCTCCAGGGCGGTCAGGCCAAGGCACGGGTAGGGGCCCCCCAGGTTGAGGGGGCCGACCACCAGAGGCAGGACCAGCAGCGCGGGCTCCTGGCCAGCAGCCTCCGGATTCTGCATCATGAACTCCGAGAAGATGTGGACGGCCACAGCGCAGCCCAGCGCAGTCCCCAGACACAGGAGCCACATGAGCCCCAGCATGGCCGCCTGCCGCAGCCTCCCGCACACGCTCCTGGGGCTCTGCCGCAGCTGCTGCTCGGGCCAGCAGCTCCTTCTCCCGGTGCGAATGTTGTCTGTTGTCTTGCTGAGGGCGGGGGGCCCGCTTCTGCCTCACCTTGCAGTCCCAGGAGCAGAAGATAGTGACGGCGTGGATGCCAGAGGTGCTGCCCACCCGGTATTAGCATTAGCTTAGCATTACTGTAGTGGCTGTAATACATGATGATGTGGGTGAAGCAGCCTGTGTCTTTGAGGAGCTCCAGGCCAGAGCAGATGCGGGCAGGGCCCGGCGGGGCGGGCGTGAAGGCGGCCTCCGGGCCCACAATGAAGGCCACGAGCAGCAGCAGCAGGAAGGCGTTGAAGGCCAGCAGGGTCTTAAGGAAGAGGAAGTAGGAGAGCACGTTGGAGCTGAACTAGCCCCTGATGCGCTTCAGGACGTAGCGCCACGGCTTCAGGGCCTGCAGGCCCAAGAGCAGCGCCAGCCCCAGGCTGTGCAAGGCCAGCACACAGACATATCTGAGCCAACCACAGCAGGAGCAGACTCTGCCATGGCCCCGCAGGCTCCTCCACTTCCCGCTCTGGGTTCGGCTCTTCTCTCGCAGGCCGCGTTTCTCAGCCAGGCTTAGGGGAATCCCTCGAAGCACGTGGTCCCGCTGCGCCACAGCCAGGCCCTGGAGCTCCTTCACCAGGAGGCTCCGCTTCTCCTCCTCTTCCTCCCAGGACGTGGGGTCCAGCTTCAGGTCGTACAGACGCAGGCTGTGCCGGGAGGAGCGCACCAAGTCTGCGAGCAGGGGCCGGCCAATGGTGAGGCTGGGAATGCTGGCCAGGACGCAGAGTGTGGCCGTGCTGTGGGTGCCCTCGGGCCCCAAGAGTGTCTGCTGGCCACTCGCTGTGGCCACCACCCCTCTCCCTCTGCTACAGCTCCAGCCCCTCCTGGGCCTCCCAGCGGCTCTGCTCTTGGATGAGCAAGTGGAAGGAGTAGTGCATTTCAGTCTCATCGTAGGGGCTGGGCTCCTGGCTGGGAGGCGCCAAGGTGGAGGGAATGATATCTTTTCAACAAGTGGAATTCACGTTAATAAATCAAAGGAGGAAAACTGTATGATCATCTCTCTTAATGACAGAAAAGCAAGCAATAAAATTCAGTTCCCCTTTAAAAATAAGAAGAGAACCTCCTTAATATGAAAGAGGGTATCTATAGCAAAACCTCTATCAAACCTCATACTTTAATGTGCGAGGAATGCTTCTAAACTTTGGAAGCATTTTATTTAACAGTAGTAACTAAACGAGCCAATAAAATGGGGGTACTTCTGTCACCATCAATGCTCACCATGATATTAGAGGTCCCGATCAATACAATAAGATCGGAAAAAGAAAGAGGGAGTATAAGGATTGGAGAGGAAGAGATTTATTTTCAGATTACACGATAATTCACATAGAAAATGATGATAAGAATAGCTAAATTTTTTTTTTTTTTGAGACAGGGTCTTGTTCTGTTGCCCAGGCTGGAGTGCAGTGGCACAATCTCAGCTCACTGCAACCTCTGCCCACTCGGCGGGCTCAAGCGATCCTCCCACCTCATCTTCCTGAGTAGCTGGGATCACAGGCATGCGCCACCACCCCCAGCTAATTGTTTTGTATTTTTTATAGAGACGGGGTTTTGCCATGTTGCCCAGGTTGGTCTGGAACTCCCGGACTCAAGTAATCCACTGGCCTTGGCCTCTCAAAGTGCTGGGACTACAGGCCTGAGCCATTGGCACCCAGCCAAGAATAGCTAAAATTTATTGAGCACCTAATATGTGCAAATGCTGTGCAGTAAGCATTACATGTATAATGCCTTTAATGTATAATTAATGCCATTTAACCCTACTTAAAAAAAAAAAAAACCCTAGAAGATAGGAACAATTATTCCTCACATCTTACAGATAGTGACTATTATTTGAATTGTTTTATTTGGGAAAAGTGCTTCTTACAAAAGGACAGCTGCAAAATACAGAGACCTCTGCAACAATTATTTGTATTTTCATAAAGTGAAAGAATGGGTGGGATCCAAGGAATCAAAGCAGTAAATGGACAAACCAGGAGCATCCCCGAGTTACTTTCAGGAAACAAAGCGACAAAACACAAAGGTAAAATTTCCAATCAAGGAATTCTTCAAATAACTTAATTTTAGCTAGTCTTAGGGATTCCCAAGCCCTCCCCTTCAGTGGAAAAGTATGACTTATTACTGCAAACCCATTAGTCCACTACAATAGACACCTTAGAACAGAGTTTTGTATCACATCTGTCTATGTGAAAACTCAGGGGTGGAATGAGGCAAATACCCACAAAAAAAAACACAAAAACTCGACAACAAAATGCCCCAAATGAAGACAAAGGTTTTTCAGAAAGTGCCTGTACTGGAAAAGCTAGATCATAAAACATTAAATACACAGTGTATCCAAGACCCAGTTTGTGTTAACATATGGGATAACCAGGTAGTTTTAACCTCTATGGCTAACCCCATTTCTCTGTTTATATAGACAGAGCTAGCACTGCTATATTGACAACTACCAATATAGTGCTTTGCCCTTTAAGATCTATCCTGCTGTACAAGGCTTAAACCACTAAACCACTTTTTTCTGCTAAGGCTAAGAATACTGCATCTATGCAGGGATGAGAAGCTTTTCACACACCCACACTCATACACATTATGTCAGCCCTTGGGAGTCAACTTCCAACTCTGCATTGATGTTATGCCTCTGTATCTTTTATATGTATTCTTTCTCAATTTTCCTAACATGCAAAACAGTAGAAATCTCAACACATTTGCACCTGGTTCTGGTTACCCAGTAGTATCACTTATGTACAATTAAACAAGAGACCAAAAACCACAGAACAAGTGCACGTGGTAGGGATTACAGGATAGGGAACAGATATAAAAACACAGATGTGCAGATTTCACCAGAAACCTCAAGGATCCACGTCCCATGTCTGGAGCAGAAGGCTATTGGCCAGCTTAGGTCCCTTCACCCATCACTCCTATTCTTGGACCCCAAAGCAGGACCACTGCTTTTACTTTTGAACCTGGGGTCCTCAAAATGAGTGTGTGAAAAGTCCATAAACACAATCTGGTTGAAAACAGATGGCGCAACACACCTACACTAACTGACGGTTAAATTCATGTTACAAAAAACTAACTTTAAGATTTATTTTTGTAAGTTTTTTCAACAGGGAAAACACACTCCTCGCGGAAAGGGTAGGGGTTGAGAAGACAGGCCCTGGGTAAAAATTCTTACCGCAGCACTTGGAGTTGATAGGCCTGCCTAGGAGAGAACACAGGCACTGCCACACCACCACAGGGGACAGCTGCTGTCTGGGGTCAGCAGACCAGTTCACACGCCATGCAAGGTTGTTATAGATCCAAGTCATAAAAATCTTCCAGCTTATCATGAAACAAGTCCCACTCATCTTCAGAGTCTGTCAGTCTATCGTCCCTACCTGCAGCCCAAAGCATAAGCAACATCTTGCCCAGCTCAGAGGTGACAACCTCTTCTTCATCGTTGTCAGAGGGGTTGCTGTTCTCTCTTTCCTCAATGAGTTCCCAGAAGTGGTTCCTTTGTTGGGCCCAGTATCGGCTTGATGTTCCCACTTTCTGTCTCTGTGGCTCCTTTCTATGGCCATCAGGGTACACATGCTTGTAAAAACAGTTCCCTCCAAAAGGGCAGCTCCCATGCTCTTTATCAAAATACCTGCACGCCTTGTTCCTCATCGCCTCCTTGTATTTCTGAATGAGTTTCTGCTTCTCTTCTTTCTCCTCCTCCCAGTACTCACTTGGAATGACAAAGTTAGATGTGATATGGCATTCTGGGCAGGACTTTATGATCTTGCTCTCAAATTGCTTAGCACTTCTCCACTTGCAAATGCACTTGAGAGAGTAGGTGTGGTTGCCGTTGGAGAGGATCCTGAAGTGGCACTTGCTGGGGTTGGCTTTCTCATAGACTGCCTACCTCCATGCAGATCCCACACACCAAGTCCTTGCTGTGCTGCACAGCCAATGAGAGCTCCATGTCCTTCTTGTGAGCCTCAATGCACGATTTTACATGCTGTGATCTCTAGGCAGCAACCATCGGATGCAGTACCTGCACCCCACACATGTCACATGAATCTCCGTGGAGATAACACAGAGTTCTCCCCATATTGGCACTCTCCCACTGCAGCATAGGGGCACAGCTGCTTCTTTGTTTCCATAGCAGTTTGCTCTTTCTCTGATTCTTCTGAGCCCTGCAGGGGAGCTTCAGTGCAGGAAGGCACAGTACAGCCACAGTAGGGTTGCCCAGGAACAAACTCAATAGTATTCACCCAGTCCTCTGAACCTGCTCATATAGTTGCAAAGTTTGAATTTCTTGACTCAGCTTTGCCTGTATTTATTTTGACAAGTGGTCCAACTATCGATGAGAGACTTGAGGAAGCAGCAAGGGACAACATTTTAGTTAGCTCTGTAGCAGTTGCTTCTTCCTGTTTCAGTGGCTTGCTATGTTCATATCTGCAGCGGTCTCCATAAATGCAGTACCCTTGCTGAAAATAATTGCACACTACACCATACAGACTGTCAGAGAGGTCATATGAGTAGTGACAGTTATCTCCTTCTTACAAACCCCATGCATAAAATACCTGCAGGTGACATGCCATCACTGCCGCTCCTGCTCCTGATATTGTGGCTGTAGTTCTGGGAGCTGCAGCATCCACCATTATTGTTTATGATAGCACAATTATTATTCCCATTTTACAATTAGTGACGCTAAGGCACAGAGAAGGTAAGAAATTCACTCAAGATCAAACCTAAACAGTTTGTTTCTAGGGCCTGAAGTTTCAACCACTATCCCATATTATAACTTACTGTCATCAACACAATTTCGTGGCAGACAAAGAGGTATGAAAAGTATTCAAGCTCTGGTGGAATAAAATTAATATGTCTTTACAGCTGAAGGAGAAGGCATATCAGTGATTCTCAACCTTGGCTGTATATTAGAGCCACCAGAGGAGATTTGAAAAATCCTGATGCCTAGGCTTTAGCCAGACCAATTACAGCAGAATTTTGGGAGATGGGTGGAAAGGTCACGCATGTAGTTGTTAAAAAACAAGTACATTAAAATATCATAAGATGGCCAGGCACAGTGACTCATGCCTGTAATGCTAGCCCTGTGGAAGGCCGAGGTGGGCGGATCACCTGAGGTCAGGAGATAGAGACCAGCCTGGCCAACATGGTGAGACCCCATCTCTACTAAAAATACAAAAATTAACTGAGTTGGGTGGCATGCACCTGTAATCCCAACTACTCGGGAGGCTGAGGCAGAAGAATCACTTGAACCCAGGAGGTGGAGGTTGCACTGAGCTGAAAGCATTCCAGCCTGGGCGACAGAGTGAGACTTTGTCTCAAAAAACAAAAAAAAAATTCTTAAGAGGCTCACGTATCTACTCAAATTGTGGTAGAAGTTTCTATTCTTGCAACCTGAGTGAGGTTGCAAACTTTGACCAGATGAATTACAGAAGGGTGTAATTTGAATCCAGTAGAAGGATATGGACTAGAAGTCCCCTGTTGTCATGGTGACTACAAAAAGGACTCACTGTATCCACATGTAGCTCAGGTAGAATCATTCTGGAAGCCTGCAAAGTTCAGATCCTGTTCCCCAATGTCAAATCTCTAACCGATAATGACCTTATTGTGTTAATAAATTTTCAACTCTATAGCTTCAACTTGTTTAAGATGTCAACCCCAGTTTTCCTGACAAGGTAACTATCTCACAGCCGTGAACTGTTGAGCCAGTCACCTCAACTTGGCCCCCTGAGATGGTAACTCTATCATGGTTGTCAATTCTTGACCTAGTAATCCGAACTCCCTGGAGATGCTAGAACTCAGTGAGTAAGTGGCTTTTCAAACCTGAAAAGGCTAGAATTAAAAATAGAGATGATAAATAAATCAAACCTATTATGTTAATAATTTTATGTTTATAATAAGTTCATGTGTGGAGGAGTATGGTACTTAAAGTGCAATTTTAATATAATATGGCATATTGAAGAATCCAATAGATTAGCTTAATTTGATCAATTAGACCTGTGAGGTGTATGAAAATTTAATTAGGGTTATAAACAGTATTGAAATATTTGACAATTAGACCTAATAGATTTACATGTTTAATATACATAATAATTTTTAGTTGAGTACTTGGGAAGGATTTGCTTATCAGGGATGGAAAATTTTTGTTTTTTTTTTAAATTTATATTTATTTTAAAAAATTTCCCACAGGTTATTGGGGTACAGGTGGTGTTTGGTTACATGAGTAAGTTCTTTAATGGTGATTTGTGAGATTTTGGTGCACCCATCACCCGAGCAGTCTACACTTCACCCTATTTGTAGTCTTTTATCCCTCGCCCCCTCCCACCCTTCTCCCCAAGTCCCCAAAGTCCATTGTATCATTCTTTTTTTTTTTTTTTTTTTTGAGATGGAGTCTTGCTCTGTTACCCAGGCTGGAGTGCAGTGGCGCAATATCCGCTCACGGCAAGCTCCGCCTCCTGGGTTCACACCATTCTCCTGCCTCAGCCTCCTGAGTAGCTGGGACTACAGGCGCCCGCCACCACACCTGGCTAATTTTTTGTATTTTTAGTAGAGTTGCGGTTTTACCGTGTTAGCCAGGATGGTCTCGATCTCCTGACCTCATGATCCACCTGCCACGACCTCCCAAAGTGCTGGGATTACAGGCGTGAGCCACCGCACCTGGCCCATTGTGTCATTCTTATGCCTTTGCATTCTCACAGCTTAGTTCCCACATATCAGTGAGAACACACAGTGTTTGGTTCTCCATTCCTAAGTTACTTCACTTAGAAGAACAGACTCCAATCTCATCCACGTCACTGCAAATGCTGTTAATTCATTCCTTTTTATGGGTGAGTAGTATTCCATTGCATACATATGCCACAGTTTCTTTATTCACTCATCAATTGATGGGCATTTGGGTTTGTTCCACGACTTTGCAATTGCGAATTGTGCTGCTATAAACATGTGTGTGCAAGTATCTTTTTCATATAATGACTTCTTATATTGACTTACCCAGTAGTGGGATTGCTGAATCAAATGGTAGTTCTACTTTTAATTCCTTAAGAAGCCTTCGTACTGTTTTCCATAGTGGTTGTACTAGTTTACATTCCCACTAGCAGTGTAGAAATGCTCCCTGATCATCTCATCCATGCCAACATCTACTGTTTTTTATTTTTTGATTGTGGCCATTCTTGCAGGAGTAGGGTGATATCACCTTGTGGTTTTGATTTGCATTACCCTGATCATTAGTGATGTCAAGCATTTTTTCATATGTTTGTTGGGTATTTGTATATCTTCTTTTGAGAATTATCTATTCATGTCCTTAGCCCACTTTTTGATGGGATTGTTTGTTTTATTTCTTGCTGATTTGTTTGAGTTCATTGTAGATTCTGGATATTAGTCCTTTGTCAAATGCATAAATTGTGAAGATTTTTTCCCACTCTGTGGGTTGTCTGTTTATTCTACTGACCATTCCTTTTGCCATGCAAAAGCTCCTTAGTTTAATTAAGTTCCAGCTATTTATCTTTGTTTTTATTGCATTTGCTTTTGGGTTCTTGGTCATGAAATCCTTAAGCCAATGTCTAGAAGGGTTTTTCCAGTGTTATCTTCTAGTATTTTTCTAGTGTCAGGTCTTAGATTTAAGTCCTTAATCCTTCGTGGGTTGATTTTGGTTTAAGGTGAGAGATGAGGATCCAGTTTCATTCTCCTACTTGTGGCTAGCCAATTATCCTGGTGCCATGTGTTGAAAAGGGTGTCCCTTCCCCACTTTATGTTTTTGTTTGCTTTGTTGAAGATCAGTTGGCTGTAAGTATTTGGTTTATTTTTGGGTTCTCTATTCTGTTCCATTGGTCTATGTGCCTATTTTTATACTAGTACTATGCTGTTTTGGTGACTATGGCCTTATAGTATAGTCTGAAATCAGGTAGTGTGATGCCTCCAGATTTGTTCTTTTTGCTTAGTCTTGCTTTGGCTATGTGGGCTCTTTATTGGTTCCATATGAATTTTAGAATTTTTTTATAATTCTGTGAAGAATGATGGTGGTATTTTGAAGGCAATTGCATTGAATTTGTAGATTGCTTTTGGCAGTATGGTCATTTTCACAATATTTATTCTACCCATCCATGAGCATGGGATATGTTTCCATTTGTTTGTGTTATCTATGATTTCTTTCAGCAGTGTTTGTATTTTCCTTGTAGAGGTCTTTTGCTTCATTGGTTAGATATATTCCTAAGTATTTTATTTATTTATTTATTTTTGTAGCTATTGTAAAAGGGGTTGAGGTCTTGATTTGGTTCTCTGCTTGGTTGCTGTTGGTGTATAGAAGAGCTACTGATTTGTGTATATTAATCTTGTAACCAGAAACTTTGCTGAATTCTTTGATCAGTTCGAGGAGCTTTCTGGAGGGGTCTTTAGGGTTTTCAAGGTAAACAATCATATTGTCAGCAAACGGTGACAGTTTGACTTCCTCTTTACCGATTTGGATGCCCTTTATTTCTTTCTCTTGTCTGGTTGTTCTGGCTAGGACTTCCGGTACTATGTTGAAGAGAAATAGTGAGAGTGGGCATCCTTGTCTTGTTCCAGTTCTCAGAGGGAATGCTTTCAACTTTTCCCCATTTGGTCTTATGTTGGCTGTGGGTTTGCCATAGATGGTTTTTATTACATTGAGGTATGTCCCTTGTATGCTGATTTTGCTGAGAGTTTTAATCACAAATGGATGATGGATTTTGTCGAATGCTTTTTCTGTCTCTATTGAGATGATCATGTGATTTTTGTTTTTAATTCTGTTTATGTGATGTATCACATTTATTGGCTTGCCCATGTTAAGCCATCCTTGCATCCCTGGTATGAAACACACTTGATCATGGTGGATTATCTTTTTGATATGTTGTTGGATTTGGTTAGCTAGTATTTTGTTAAGGATTTTAGCATCTAAGTTAAGCAGGGATATCAGCCTGCTGTTTTCTTTTTTGGTTATGTCCTTCCCTGGTTTTGGTATTAGGGTGACACTGGCTTCATAGAATGAATTAGGGAGGGTTCCCTCTTTCTCTATCTTGTGGAATAGTGTCAAAAGGATTGGTACCAATTCTTCTTTGAATGTGTGGTAGAATTCTGCTGTGAATTTGTCTGGTCCTGTACTTTTTATTTGTTGGTAACTTTCTAATTACCACTTTAATCTCGCTGCTTGTTATTGGTCTGTTCAGGGTATCTAATTCTTCCTGATTTAAGCTAGGCGGGTTGTATTTTTCCAGGAATTTACCCATCTCTTCTAGATTTTCTAGTTTATGTGCACAAAGGTGATCATAGTAGCCTTGAATGATCTTTTGTATTTCTGTGGTGTCAGTTGGAATATCTCCCACTTCATTTCTTATTGAGGTTATTTGGATTTTCTCTCTTCTTTTCTTGGTTAATCTTGTTAATGGTCTATCAATTTTATTTATCTTTTCAAGGAACCAGCTTCTTGTTTCATTTACCTTTTGTATTTTTTTCATTTCAATTTCATTTAGTTCTTCTCTGATCTTGGTTATTTCCTTTCTTCTGCTGGATTTGCGTTTGGTTTGTTCTTGTTTCTCTAGTTCCTTGAAGTGTGACTTGAGAATGTCAGTTTGTGCTCTTTCAGTCTTTTTGATGTAGGCATTTAGGGCTATGAACTTTTCTCTTAGCACTGCCTTTGCTGTATCCCAGAGGTTTTAATAGGTTGTGTCATTATTGTTGTTATGTTAAAAGAATTTTTAAATTTCAATCTTGCTTTTGTTTTTGACCCAGTGATCATTCAGGAGTAGTTTATTTAATTTCAATGTATTTGCATGGTTTTGAAGGTTTCTTTAGGAGATGATTTCCAGTTTTATTCCACTGTGGTCTGAAAGAGTGCTTAATATAATTTCAATTTTCTTAAATTTATTGAGGCTCCTTTTGTGGCCTATCATACGGTCTATCTTGGAGAAAGTTCCATGCACCGTTGAATAGGATGTGTATTCTCGGGTTGTTGGATGGAATATTCTGTATATATCTGTTAAGTCCATTTGTTCCAAGGTATAGTTTAAATTCATTGTTTCTTTATTGACTTTCTGTCATGATGACCTATATAGTGCTGTCAGTGGAGTATTGAAGTCCTCTACTATTATTGTGTTGGTGTCTATCTCATCTCTTAAGTCTATTAGTAATTGTTTTATAAATTTGGGAGCCCCAGTGTTAGCTGCATATATGTTTAGAATTGTGATATTTTCCTGTTGGATAAGGCTTTTTACCATTATATAATGTCTCTGTCTTTTTAAACTGCTGTTGTTTTAAAGTTTGTTTTGTCTGATATAAGAATAGCTACCCCCACTCACTTTTGGTGTCCATTTGCATGAAATGCCCTTTTCCACCCTTTTACTTTAAGTTTATATGAATCCTTATGTGTTAGGTGAGTCTCTTGAAGGCAGCAGATAATTAGTCGGTGAATTCTTATCCATTCTGCAGTTCTGTATCTTTTAAGTGGAGCATTTAGGTCTTTTACATTCAATGTTAGTATTGAGATGTGAGGTACAATTCCATTCATCATGCTATTTGTTGCCTGTGTACCTTGATGTTTTTTGTTGTTGTTGTTGTTTTATAGGTCCTATGAGATTTATGCTTTAAAGAGGTTTTGTTTTCATGTGTTTCCAGCATTTGTTTCAAGATTTAAAGCCCCTTTGAGCAGTTCTTGTAGTGGTGGCTTGGTAGTGATGAACTCTCTCAGCATTTGTTTGTCTGAAAAAGACTGTATCTTTCCTTCTATATGGAGCTTAGTTTTGCTGGATACAAAATTCTTGGCTGATAATTGTTTTGTTTGAGGAGGCTGAAGATAGGGCCTCAATCCCTTCTAGCTTATAGGGCTTCTGCTGAGAAATCTGCTGCTAATCTGATAGGTTTTCCTTTATAGGTTACCTGGTGCTTTTGTCTCACAGCTGTTAGGATTTTTTCCTTTGTCTTAATTTTAGATAACCTGATGACAATGTGCCTAGGTGATTATCTTTTTGCAATGAACTTCCCAGGTGTTCTTTGCACTTCTTGTATTTGGATGTCTAGGTCTCTAGCAAGGCTGGGGAAGTTTTCCTTGATTATTCCCCCAAATATGTTTTCCAAATTTTTAGATTTCTCTTCTTCTTCAGGAACACCGACTATTCTTAGGTTTGGTCATTTAACATAATCCCAGACTTCTTGAAGGCTTTGTTCATGTTTTCTTGTTCTTTTTTCTTTGTCTTTGTTGGACTGGGTTAATTTGAAGACCTTGTCTTTGAGCTCTGAATTTCTTTCTTCTACTTGTTCAATTATATTGCTGAGACTTTCCAGAGCATTTTGCATTTCTCTAAGTGTGTCCAATGTTTCCTGAAGTTTTTATTGTTTTTTCTTTATGCTATCTATTTTCTTGAATATTTCTCTCTTCTCTTCTTTATCGTTTTTTGGATTTCCTTGCATGGGGCTTCACCTTTCTCTGGTGCCTCCCTGATTAGCTTAATAAACCTGCTGAATACTTTTTCAGGTAAATCAGGGATTTCTTCTTGGTTAGGATTCATTGCTGGTGAGCTAGTGTGACTTTTGGTGGGTGTTTAAGAGCCTTGTTTTATCATATTACCAGGGTTGCTTTTCTGGCTCCTTCTCATTTGGGTAGGCTCTGTCAAAGTGAAGGGCTAGGGCTAGAGGCAGTTGTTCAGATTCTTTTGTCCGATGGGGTGTTCCTTTGATGTAGTACTCTCCCCGCTTCCCTATGGATGTGGCTTCCTGAGAGCCGAGCTGTAGTGATTGTCATCTCTCTTCTGGGTCTAGCCACCCAGCAAGTCTACCAGGCTCTGTGGTAATACTGGGGGTTGTCTTCACAGAGTCCTGTGATGTGAACCATCTATGGTTCTCTCAGCTGTGGATACCAGCTCCTGTTCCAGTGGAGGTGGCAGGGTGGTGAAATGGACTCTATGAGGGTTCTTAGCTTTTGTGGTTTAGTGCTCTATTTTTTTGCTGGCTGGCCTTCTGCTGGGAGGTGGTGCTTTCCAGAGAGCATCTGCTGTGGCAGTATGAAGAGGAACTGGTGGTGGATGGGGCCCTAGAACTCTCAAAAGTATATGTCCTTTGTCTTCAGCTATCAAGGTGGGTAGGGAAGGACCACCAGGTGCGGGCAGGGCTAGGGATGTCTGAGCTCAGACTCCCTTGGGTGGGTCTTGCTGCGGCTTCTGTGGGGGATGGGAGTGAGGTTCCCAGGTCAATGGAGTTATGTTCCTAGGAGGATTATGGCTGCCTCCGCTGAGTCACACAGGTTGTCAGGGAAGCGGGGGAAAGCTGGCAGTCACAAGCCTCACCCAGCTCCCACACAATCCAAAGGGCCAGTCTCACTCCCACTATGCCCCCGCTAATAGCACCGAGTCTGTTTCCAGGCAGTGGGTAAGCAGGGCTGAGAACTTGCCCCAGGCTACCTGCCTCCCAGCTGCAAAAGAAAAGGGCTTTAGTTCTTCCCACACCTGTGGAGTCTGCACACAGGATTCACATCCTCCCCCAAGTTCTAATCAGGAGGCTTCTCAACTAGTTCAAATTGTTACAAAGTTCATCTGGAGACTTTCTTCTCTCTGTGGCATTTTCCCTGCACCTCTGGCCACCCTCTCAAACGAGCCCTGTGATGCCAGGCAGGAATGGCCTGCTTAGGGACTCAGCAAGCTCCCAGGGCCTTTCCCACTGCTTCCTCTACCCCTGTATTTCACTTGGCTTTCTAAATTGACTCAGCTCCAGGTAAGGTCGAAATCTTCTCCCAAAAACTAGACCTTCAGTTTCCCTGGTGGCGGTGTGTGTTCAGGGGCGGAGGATCTCCCTTTCCCACTTCCGCAGTTTGCGTACTCACAGTATTTGGGGTGTCTCCCAGGTCTTGCAGGAGCAGTTCACTTCCTTCAGAGGGCCTGTGGGTCCTCACAGGATTCCTGACTTATTCCTGCAGTCGTTCTGGAGCTAAAACTCACCATGCAAGCCTCCACATGCTGCTCTGTCCATCAGAGTCAGAGCTGCAATCTAGTCCTGCCTCCTCAGGGATGGAACTTGATTGATTAGGCATATGACAGGTACAGAATGAAAAAGAATATAAACATTTACAAATTCAGTTAAAATTCTAATATAATTACATTGTATAAGCTTATAAGTGAGACTGTTTAAGAGTTTAGATAGTTCTACCTGAGTTACTTGAACAATTATAAAAGATCCCCTTAAACTGAATTATTTTATATAAGTTCAGTTTATAAGTATACTATTCTATCTGTAAATCCATATAATAGATATATATAATAGACTTACAGATAGAATAGTATACTTATGAACTGAATTTTAAGACATAAATAAACCTAGGTATTGAGTTTTAAATTAATAAATTAAATATTAACTTAAAACCTAAGCTCTTGTAAGTAGTCTTTTATTTTGTGCTCACAGAATCTGCCCTCAGACATGAAAAAAAAATTACATGACACTATTGTTATCTGCATTTAACAGACGAATAAACTAACACTTAGAAAGGTTAAGAAGCCAGAATCAGCTCCATGAATGTCTGGCTCTAAAACCTGTGTCCCCACTGAACATATGGCTTCCTTGACTGACCAACCCCCTAAAGAGCCAGGTGACTTGGGAACAATTAAATTTTTCGAAGTAACTTTACTAAGGTCTGATTATATGTATTATAGATTGATTTTATAGATAAGCAGTCAATTTCAGCTTAAGGAAAGATAATTTTTTGGCTCACGTAGCTGAAAAGTCCGGCCTCAGACGTGGTAGCTACAGACTGTGTTGGCTCCATTCAGAGACAGGCTTTCTTTCCCTTTGTGGTACAAGACCACTGGAGCTATCCCTCTGGGCTAAAGTATAGCTAAAACATGGACTGCCTCTCTTCTAATTGTTCTCACAAAAGAATCATTGCATCTCACTGAAGAGTAGGTCATGGGTCCATTCTGGAACTAATCACTGTGACCAGGGGAAGGTGATGCTTTAATGGTCATGCCTGGGGTCAGAAGTTGACCCTTGGAGTTCGGGGTGGAATTAACTATACCATAAACATATGGACTGAGAGTAGGGAAGGAACAATCTTCCTTGAAAAGGGTGATTGGATGGCAGGCAGCCAAAATAGATGTCCAGTATAGTAGGCAACCTTACCTCTCTCACTTCAAAGTTCTTTGTATTACCTCACTCTATCATTCATATTTACTGCTGACATTTACTCTTTCTTTTGGCCAAGAATCATGATACTACACTATAACTTAATTGTGTGTCCTTTATTTCTCCTGTGACTGCATGTTGAAGGCAAGGGATATCTGTCTTGCTTTTCTTCAGCGACCTACGTAAATGCTTGTCTAAATGAATAAAACCTAGATTACAGGATACTGGGTTTGTTACTTAAGAGAAGAAATGTTGGAAAAGTGTTTTCAGGGTTTTGTAGGTGGTAGCTCTGTAGTGTAAGGAGGAAAAGTCAAATTCACTAAACGCTTATTGATAACTTCTTTGTGTTGGGCTGATCTCTCTTGCGGACAGTGTTCCAGTGGCCCTCAAAGAGCAACCAGTCTAAGCCAGGTGTGGTGACTTGCACCTGTAGTCCCAGTTACTCGGGAGGCTGAGGTGGGAGGACTGATTGAGCCTGGGAGGCTGACGCTGCAGTGAGCCATGATTGTGCCATGCACTCCGGCCTGGGTGACAGAGCAAGACCCTGTCTTAAAAACAAACAAAAAACAACGAGCAACTAGTCTAGAGGAAGAGACTGGATGAAGGGTATTGGTTACTGTGATTTGGTTTTGGCCTAGATCTAGGTTATTATGGATTGCCTAGAGCCTTGGTAATAGATTGAGTACTGGAGAAGGTTTGGGTTACCATATATGACGTTGGTTGGGTTAAAGATTCTTATTTTTCATTTATTGAGCATCCATGTCAAATTCTTGACACTTAGAGCCTGGGGCATGGGAATAAGCAGGTCAGAAGACTCCCAGGATAGGCCCAGGTCTTGACTCAGGGTTATACCCATTACTCTGCTAACAGTGTGAGGAACCTACCTAAAAATAGAGATTGAGATACTCACCAAAGCACAGACATAGGGGCAGACTGGGATAAAGCACAGACCCATGCTGCCAGGCACCCAGTGAAACAGTGCATTTTCCCAAAGACAGCATGACTCCTGAGGTGGAAGCATTACTGCCCAGTTTCAGAGGGAAGCTGTGAGGGGTGTCTGGGCTTGAGACTCAGTTTAGTAGAATTGCTCATACTTTTTACTTGGGCTGTGCAGAGGAAAGACATCTATAAAAAATTGCACTCATTTGGAGAACCTGACTGTGGTCATTTTGAAGCCAAGGCTTGCTTAGAAAGTGTGGAAATTAATAAAGTAAAGGAAATTGATAAAGATCTGCACAGGGGTTTCCTCTGCCCAATCCTCCCACCTTCCCCTTCAAACTTAAACTCGAGCCTGCTGCTCTCCGGCCTAGCATTGCTCTTGCCATGGCTGTCAGTGATGCTGACATGCGAAAGCAGATAAAGCATATGATGGCTTTCATTGAATAAGAAGCCAATGAGAAAGCAGAAGAAATAGATGCAAAGGCAGAAGAAGAGTTCAACATAGAGAAAGGTCAGCTTGTGGAAACCCAAAGACTAAAGATTATGGAATATCATGAGAAGAAAGAGAAACAGATTGAGTAGCAGAAGAAAATTCAGATATCCAATTTGATGAATCAAGCAAGGCTCAAAGTCCTCAGAGCGAGAGATGACCTTATCACAGACCTACTAAATGAAGCAAAACAGAGACTCAGCAAGGTGGTAAAAGATACAACCAGGTACCAAGTGCTGCTAGATGGACTGGTTCTCCAGGGTTTGTACCAGTTGCTGGAGCACCGAATGATTGTTCGTTGCAGGAAACAAGACCTTCCTCTGGTAAAGGCTGCGGTGCAAAAGGCAATCCCTATGTACAAAATTGCCACCAAAAACAATGTTGATGTCCAAATCGACCAGGAGTCCTACCTGCCTGAGGACATAGCTGGTGGAGTTGAGATCTATAATGGTAATCATAAAATAAAGGTTTCCAAAACCCCAGAAAGCCAGCTGGATCTCATAGCCCAGCAGATGATGCTAGAAGTCCAGGGAGCCTTCTTTGGTGCAAAAGCCAACAGGAAATTTTTGGACTAAGCCTTCAGGAGGTAGAGCACGTTCTCAGCTCTCCTGCTA
The DNA here is from genome assembly GCF_000001405.40 of Homo sapiens. Lineage (NCBI taxonomy): Eukaryota > Metazoa > Chordata > Mammalia > Primates > Hominidae > Homo > Homo sapiens. Next base: position 42,903,952 of record NC_000001.11, read on the forward strand.
TGATGTGGAAGATTCTGATATTTGAAGAAACGCGAATGTTTCTGTAGCTTCCTCTTTACTGCCCCAATATTGCTTTGCATTTATCAGTGATGCCCCTCTGACACTAACGCCTTGCCTAATTATTCACAATGGTGGGAAGCTTCATGTAATATGATCAGGACCCACCTCCAGTTCATCTGAAAGTAACACAGCATCCAGTTGGTTCTGCAGCACTAGGGGAGGGGGCAGAGGTGGTTGCATGGGCTTCCTGGGTCTCGGCTTTCCATCTGGCCTAGAGGTGATGTGTTTGGTGTTCCTAGCCCTGCAGTCCCCACTCTTGAGGCTTAAGGCGCATGTGGCACACCACTCCTTCCAGCAGTAGTCGCTTCACTGTTACCTGTTTAGGCCTAGAAGTTTTCTCTCATCTGTAAATGTGATTTAAAATCTAAGCCATGAATATGCTTTATTTATTAAAAGAGCTATGTGGATTTTTAAACAATGTGGAAATTATGTTCATGTTGTACTGTCATCAAAGATAAAAATGTTTTAAAAAAAGAAAACAAGTATAATTTAAAAAAATTTTTAAAAATGAAAGGAGCAGAGCCAGAAGAGGAGCCATGCAGACTCCAGGAAAGAACAGCTCATGTTGCCTTTCCCTCCTACCTCCCTGGAGGGAGGAGCTAGCAAGGGAAGATAGCCACTGTGACACTCCTTTCTCAGCATATGTGGGTCTGAAGTAAAGGTGGAGGTGGACTTCTGGGAGTGAAGAGGGAATAGCCTACCCTCCTGGCCAAACACAAACCCTGATGCTATTACATCTGGGCTCAGGACAGCTGTCCATTTCTCACCACTTCGATTAGGGTTTTCAAGAGAAACATAATGAACCTCTATTAGGGTTTTCAAGAGAAACAGAACAAATATATAATCTATTTGTTCTGTTTCTCTTGAAAACCCTAATAGAGGTTCATTATGGAAATTGGCTCACATGATTGCAGAGGCCAAGAAGTCCCACATTATGCTCTCTGCAAGCTAAAGAACTAGAAAAGCAAGTGGTGCAATTCAGTCCAAATTCAACGGCCTGAGAATGAGGGTAGCTGATGGTATTACTACCAGTCCAAGGGTGAAGGCCTGAGAACTGGAAGAAGGTGGGGAGTGGTGCAGGGAACTGCTGGTGTAAGTCCTGGAGTGTGAAGGCCTGAGAATCAGGAACTCTGATGTTCAAGGGCAAAAGAAGATGGATGTCATACCTCAAGAAGGGAAAGAGAAAACTTTCTTCCTCTTTTTTTTTTTTTTTTTTGAGACAGAGTCTCACTCTGTTGCCCAGGCTGGAGTGCGGTGATGCAGTTTCGGCTCACTGCAACCTCCACCTCCCAGGCTGAAGCGATTCTCCTGCCTCAGCCTCCTGAGTAGTTGGGATTACTGGCGCCTGCCACCATGCTTAGATTTTTTTTGTATTTTCAGTAGAGACAGGGTTTCACCAGTTGGCCAGGCTTATCTCAAACTCCTGACCTCATGATCTGCCCACCTCGGCCTCCCAAAGCACTAGGATTACAGGCGTGAGCCACTGCGCCCGGCCACCTTTTGGTTTTACTCAGGTGGACCCTTAATGGATTACATGATAACTGCTCACACTAGTGTCAGTGGATCTTTTTTACTCAGTCTGCTGATTCAAATGCGAATCTCCTCTGGGAACACCAGCATAGACTCACACAGAAATAATGTTTGACTAGCTATCTGGGCATCCCTTAACCCAATCAAGTTGACATATAAAATTAACCATCACAAGTCTGCCCCTTGTGAACTTGGCATCCATATGTATCTCCTTAAACCATAGTTAATCTCCAAATAATGACAATAACAAGGTCATAATTCCACTTAACATGATACAACTATCCTGCATACAACAAAAAATGCAGTAATCCCTTTTCCAGAAGAGGAGGTAAAGTCTGTGAGTGACGTGTAGTCTTCTGATATCCCATACTTAAAATACTAAGATGTCTTTAAAGTATTAACAATACTAGTACTTAGAATACTAGTATAAAGTCAATACATCTTATGTTACACGATAAGGGATAAGAAAGGAAAGGAAACAAAGATATTTGTTTAATATATGTGTACATACACACATTATTTAAAAAAAATAGGGATGAAATATTCATGACAATTACAGTCTTCTTTTCTGTAACTGATGACATGGCTGCAGCTCATACTTACAACTACCATCTTCAACTACCCATCCTGTATTCCCTTTGCCTTCAGCAAGAACCTCAGCTGGTTATGCTTCTTAACCTAGAAGGCCAAGGTTGGTTTGAGGGTGGAGGGGAGGTAAACCAAACCTTCATTCCTAAAGGTCTGGGCCATTCATAGTCTTGCCTGGTTTGGGTTGTAGTTTTCCATTGACTTTAACCACAGGGCATGGTAATACTGAGACACCCTAAGAGATCTCCTGTGTTCCAGACATATTCTTTTTTACCTCTTTTATGTCAGATTTCCCCATGGTAGTCTGGATCAATTACCCCAGCCAACACCATAACTCCCCTATTGGCCTGTTGACTCAGAGGCATAAGGAGCCCAAAGTGGTTGGATGGCAGTCTTAACTTCTAGTTCAATGGAATTTAGTTCAACTGTGTCTTCTGGTGGAAGCAGTCCTCCCTCTGGATCCAGCAGAGCATACCTTTGTAGAAACAGGAAGCAAAATTTTTGTTAGTAGGTCACTAGGGAATCAGTGTGTGGTGCCCTTCCCATTTCTACCCCTTCATTCCTAGACCTATAAATCCTGACTATGGGAGAAACAGTACTGTATGTTGGACATTGATTCAGAACACATACAGCCTTCTGGAGAACCTTTGCTTCTGCCTTGCAAAGTATTGTCACTTAGCTGGTTCTGTAAGTGAGTCTTCAAAAGGCCATTCCACTATTCTATCAAGCCAGCTGCTTCAGGTTGTGGGGAACACGACAAGACCAATGAATTCCATGAACATGGGCCCACTGTTGCACTTCTTTGGCTGTGAGGTGAGTTTCCTGGACAGAAACAATGCTGCATAGAATGCCACAATGGTGGATAAGGCAAGATGTAAGTCCCTGAATGGTAGCTGACAGAAGCATTGCATGCAGGGAAGGCAAATCTGTATCCAGAGTAAATGTCTATTCCAGTAAGGACAAAATGTTGCTCCTTTCATAATGGAAATGGTCCATTATAATCAACCTGCCACCAGGTAGCTGGCTGATCATCCTGGGGAATGGTCCTATATCGGGGGCTCAGTGTTGGTCTCTGCTCTTGACAGATTGAGCACTCAGAAGTGGCTATCGGCAGGCTGACCTTGGTGAGTGGAGGTCCATGCTGCTAAGCCTACACATAACCTCCCTCCCTGTCACTATAGCCACTTTGTTCATGAGCCCATTGGGTATTGACATGGGTGGCTGGGGAAAGAGGCTGACTGATATCCACAAAATGGATCACCTTCTTCACTCAGTTATTAAGATCCTTCTCTGCTGAGGTCATCCTTTGGTGATCATTCATATGGAACACAAATATCTTCATGTCTTTTGCCCAATCAGAGCAGTCTTTCCATATACTTCTTCCCCAAATTTCTTTGTCACCAATATTCCAACCATGTTCCTTCCCAGTCCCTGGCCATCCAGCCAAACCATTGGCTATAGCCCACGAATCAATATATTATCGCACATCTGGCCATTTCTGCTTCCAAGCAAAGTGTAGAACCAAGTACACTGCCTGTCGTTCTAACACTGGGAAGATTCCCTTTCAGCACTGTCCTTCAAGGATGTCCCAGAGAGGGGCTGTAGTGCTGTACCTGTCCACTTTCAAGTGGTGCCTGCATATTGTACAGAACATTCTTTAAACCAGGCCCAAACCTTCTCTTTCTCTGTCAACTGATCATAGGGAACTCCCCATGAGCCCATAGGTACAGTTTGAGAGAGAGTAAGAAAGCAGTGTAGTAAGAGTGACCATGGGCATTTGGGCCACTTATTCATGTAACTTACTAGTGCCTTTAGGGATTGCTCTGGACTTACTGCATATATAACACTTCTATTTGATGACGGGGAGCTGCTATGCACACCCAACTTTATGGCTTGGTGAGTCGGATAACACCTCATCCATGATGGGCAGCTCAGGTAACATGGTAACTTGGTGGCCTATGGTCAGGTGTTTAGTTTCTACTAAGGCACAGTAGCAGGCTAAGAGCTGTCTCTCAAAAGAATAGCACTGTGTAATGTTTCAGTCAATGATGGACCGCATATACTGCTGTGGCTCCATAAAACCATAAAACTGTATTTTGTACTGTACTTTTCTATGTTTAGATACATGAATACTTACCATTGTGTTGCAGTTGCCTACAGTATTTAGTACAGTAACATGCGGTACAGGTTTATAGCCTAGGTGCAATAGTCTAATTGTAGAGTAGGCTATAATATCTAGGTTTGTGTAAGTAAACTCTATGATATTTGCACAATGGCAAAATCGCCTAACAACATGTTTCTCAGAACATATCCCTGTCATTAAGCAACTCATGACTGTAGTTATCTGCCAATAATGGAGGGCCTTGCTCCAAAATCCCAAAGGCCTGCACTGTGATTCGTCTATGCACGCCTGCTAAATAGGCTCCCAATGGCATCCCTATCTGCCATAGACTCACCAAGCACCATAGGATCTGCTGGATCATATGGGCCAAGTGGCAGAGCAGTTCGCACAGCAGGCTGAACCTATTGTAGAGTCTTCTTTTGTTCTGGGCCTCATTTAAAACTAGCAACTTTTTGGGTGGCTTTGTAAATGGACCATTTTGGAGGCAAAATCCAAAATTCAAAGAGGCCCACGAGGTATTGTGCCTCTTTCTTGGTTGTAGGAGGGGCCAAATGCTATAACTTATTTTTTACCTTAGAAGGAATATGTCCCACACCACCAGCCCTCTAGAAATTCCACTGCGTAGAAGGCTCCTGAATTTTAGTGGCATTTATTTCCCACCCTCTGACATGCAAATGTCTTACCACTAAGTCTCAAGTATACTTGTTGCTCACTAGGTCCAATTAGCATAATGTCATCTATGTAATGGAAGAGTGCGATATCTTGTAGAATGAAAAAATGATCAAGATCCCTGAAAACTAAATTATGGCAGGACTGCGAGTTGATGTACCCCTGAGGTAGGATGGTGAAGGTATATTTCTGATCTTCCAGCCAGAAGAAAATAGTTTCTGGTAGGCTTTATAGACAGGGGTGGCAAAAGGCATTTCCCAGATCAATAGATGCATACCAGGTACCAGAGGATGTGTTCATTTGTTCAAGCAATGAAACCACATCAAGTATAGCAGGTGCAGTTGGAGTCACCAGTTGGGTAAGCTTATGATAATCCACTCTAATTCTGTAAGATCATTTGTCTTCTGCACAGGCCAATTAGGAGAGTTGAATGAGATGTAGTGAGAATCACCACCCCTGTATCTGGTGTCACTAATCTCTGCAATGAAAGGAATGCAGTTATTGCTTCTGTTTTACTGTTTTCCTAGGTGGTGGCAGTTCTAGTGGCTTCTAGTGGCCTTTTCCATGGTAATATCCCTCATTTCATTGTCAGGGAACCAATGTGGAGGTTCTACTAACTGCTAAGTATATCTGTTCCTTATGCATCCTGAAACTGGGGAAATAACTACAGGATGGGTTTGGGGACCCACTGGGCCCCCTGAGAGATGGAACTGAACTAAAATTCCATTAATCACCTGGCCCCCATAATCCCCTACTCTGATTGGAGTGCCACAGTGACATTTTGAGTCTCCTGGAATCAAGGTCAGTTCAGAGTCAGTGTCCAGTAGTCTCTGAAAGGTCTGATGATTTTATTTTCCCCAATGCAGAGTTACTGTGATTAAAGACTATAGGTCCCTTTGAGGAAGGTTGAGGGAAAGATGAACAGCATAAATTTTTGGTAGTGCACCAAGATCCTTCCTCCAGGGGACCTGTATTTCCCTTAATTCAAGGGGTTCTGGATCTGTAAACTGGCTCAAGTCTGGGAATTCATTGAGGGATTGACTCTTTTTAAAAATGATTTGAGTTAGACTTATTGTTCACTTGACCTGGAACCTTTCTGCTTATGCAGATCATTTCTAGGAATACCATGATTAACTAGTCAACGCCATAAGTCTGCAGGAGTCAGGTTATTCCTATTGCTGCTTTGGCTCTGCTGTCCATTATAGTAACTATGCCCACCATACCTTTGACAGTTTAGTGCTGCTACTTGGCCCCTGCCACCACATAATCTAATTACTCTGACTACCTTCGTTTTCCAGTTCAGTGGCTGTGATTCCCACTGTAAGATCTGGCCTACAGAAGAGAGTGATCAAGGATGTTGGAGAACCCTTCATAAATTTCATTTATTTATTTATTTAAAGATGGAGTCTTGCTCTGTCACCCAAGCTGGAGTGCAGTGGCGTGATCTAGGCTCACTGCAACCTCTACCTCCTGGGTTCAAGTGATTCTTCTGCCTCAACCTCCTGAGTAGCTGGGATTACAGGTGTCCGCCACCACACCCAGCTAATTTTTTTGTGTATTTACTTTCAGTAGAGATGGGATTTCACCATGTTAGCCCAGCTGGTCTCAAACTCCTGACCTCAACTGATCTGCCCGCCTTGGTCTTCCAAAGTGCTGGGACTACACCCTCATAAATTTATTTCTGAAAGTATTGTGCAAGATATGACTTCTGGACTCTCTTTGTATGGGTTAGTAGGTCTTAAATGACAAATCCATTGTAACATTCAAATTTTCCCAAGCCTTTGAACCCCTTCCTCTACATTAAACCAGAGAGATCGGGCATTTCCAACTCGCTCATCATGGGCCACCTTTTGATCCATGTTTCAGCCAAAAAACAAATGATTAGAGCCCTAACTTCCCCAAGAGGCAACATTAAATGCAGAATCTCTGCTTAGTGGGTCCATATCAATAAATTAGGCCTGTAAAGAAGGAGCAGGATTGGAAAATAATAAATTAGGCCATCCAACTTTATGTTCCTTCTGCCATTATTATATACTTTTAATATCCATTCCCACACATTCCCTAAATTTATGCTTATATAAGAAGAAAACTCAAATAATTCTTTTGGAATATAACATATCTTCTCATGAGCCATAAATCACTTTAAGGGCCTGCTGGGACTTGAGTCTAGTTAGGGGTGTAGAAGAAAGAGGAGAGGTGGGGATGAGTCCTGAGAAGAATCAACATTATCTTGCTTAGCAACTGCTTTAGTGGAGGCCACTACCATCCCTCAGGCAATTTAGGATTAATCCCATTGGGCAGAGGTAGAAAAGCCAGTACCACTGCAGTGGGGGAGGTCATTTTTGTTGGGAGTAAGGAAGCCACTTTTGCTGGGGTTGGGGAAGCCACTTCTGTTGAGAGTAGGCAGGCAACTTTTTCTGGGGGTGGAAAGAACTCTTCCACTAGCAAAAGAGACTTATCAGGATTTAAGACTCAATGTCCTCAGCTTCATTAGGGTCTTCCCCTAAGTCCCCATCCTAATATATTGGATGGGACATTATTTCCCAATGAATACCCTCACTTCAACAGTAGGCAGGGTGTAAGGCTGCCTACTTACACCCTGTAGTAAGGCTGCGTGTTCAATTTGCATTGTAATTCAGCCAATTACAAGATGAAATCTTCTGTTTCATTTGCAGCAATTTCAGTACTGAGGTTTTAGGAGATAAGGCTCTCCCTCAGGGCACATGTAGAAGCTCTTAGATCATTTATTTGAAGCTCAAGCTGGTAATTTGAATCTCTGAGCTCATCCTCCTCTTTCACCATTTTGTTCAGTGACATTAGGAGCAACCAACCAATGGCATTATATTCCTTGGTTTTCCAAAAACGTTTGAAAGTATCATATACAGAGTTACTTAGGTTTTTACTTCTTATATTTGGTAAACTAGGAGCATCTAATGCATATCTTTATAAATAGTTCATGCAATAGACTACTATAGAGTCCTTAGCATCTTGAAATCTAAGATGATTGAAGAGCCAATTCCATAAGCCCCAAAACCAATTCAGCAAACTCATCCTTAAAATTCTGTTGCTCTAGAACCACTCTCAGTATCGAAATCTGCATTAGTCAGGGTTCTCGAAAAAACCAGAACCAATAAGATATTTATACAGATATTAAGGGCAGATATATTATAAGAATTGGTTCAAGTGATTGTAGAGGCCAAGAAGTCCGTCCCATGATATACTGCCTGCACACTGGAGAAACAGGAAATATGGTAGTGAAATTCAGTGTGAATTTGAAAGCCTGAGAAACAGGGGAGCCAATGATATAACTCCCAATCCAAGGCTGGGGGCCTGAGACCCAGGTGGCTGCTGCTCTGACTCCTGAAGTCTGAAGGCCTAAGAATCAGGAGCTCCAATGTCCAAAGGAAGGAAATGGATGTCCCAGCTAAAGAGAGAGAGAGAGAATTCCCCCCTCCTCTACCTTTTTATTCCATTCAGATGGGCCCTCAATGAGTTGGATAAGACCTGCTAACACTAGGGTGGGTGAATCATTTTTACTCAGTACGCTGACCCAAATGCTAATCTCTGGGAATACTCTAAAAACATACCCAGAAATAATGTTTTACTAGCCATTTGGGTCTTCCTTAACCCAGTCAAGTTGACACATAAAATTAACCATTATACCATTCAAAGCCTGCCAGACACATCCTCTGACCCAGGTGCCCAGCTTGGGGGTGGAAGAGATCCAGTATAGGAAGTAGGTATTTTGAGAGCACATTCAAGGCAGACTTAGGAAACAAAATCCCAAAGGCAGCCAAAAGAATACTAATTTGAATCCTCCAAAAAGGTTATCTTCAAACTGGGTATTCATACCTGTGGATGTCCAAAAAAATTTCCAAGGAATATGTGAACATATTTAGCTTTAAGGGAATCGATGTCCAAATCCCGATCTTTACTTTCTGCATGTACTCTTTTCAAAAACTAATCTTCCTGAGAGGAGTAACATCAGTAATACAGCATAATAGGACATCTCAGACCTTGTTCCTCCATAGACACTGACTTAATATATGGTCCAAAAAGCTTTTATGAGAATTCTAGAAACTAGTGCCTGAGGCAAGTTCAAAGTCAAGAACAGCTATATTAAAATGGGTAAGAAGAAACATTTTCATTTAACCTACAATAGCCCTTTCCCAAAGCCAGTACAGCTTGGTGCTTTCAGGAGTAAATGCCCAACTTGAAGCTTCTACCTTGAGAGTGAAACAGAAGAGTAGAATGTGCGTCCAACATTCAGGCTTTTCAGGGGGCTCCCTGAGGGACCGGTTTCTGTCTTGCCTGACACTGAGTGCTGATAAAGTTAAAAAAAAAATTATATATATATATATATATACACACACGTATATATATACATATATGTGTATATGTATATGTGTATATATACACATATATACACATATATACATATATACACATATATATACATATATACACATATATATACACATATATACACATACACACACACACACACACACACACATATATATATATACATACATACATACACATCCCCTGGGGACTGCTGAGAACAAGAGACATCAACAGCTTGTTGTAGACCCTGAGAACTTGCAGTACTGTAGACAGACACCAGAGAGAGCAAGAGACCACAAGCTTCTGAAAAGACACCAGCAAACCTCTCGAATTGGGAAATCACAGGCACAAGCCCAAGAATACGTATCTCCAGAAAAGGTTTGAGAGACCACTCCCCCAAACTGTTAGTTGAGCTGAATGTTTAAGGTTTTCCCCTTTATGAAGCCAATCCATTAAAACTGGAAGACATGGTCATTTTTTCAAATCCACAAACTCTTGCAAAAAATAACAAGACATATGATGATAGTGGGAAACATGGTCCAGAGGACCAACTATGTATCAGAAATGGAACCCTAAAGAAACAGAGATCTATGAATTACCTGACAACGAATTCAAAATAATCATCTTAAAGAGGCTCAGTGGGCTACAAGAGAATCAGATACACAAATGAAACCAGGAAGTGACCCATAAAAACCAGAATACCAACAAAGACGCAGAGGCCGGGTGCAGTGGCTCAGGCCTGAAATTCCAGCACTCTGGGAGGCTGAGGCAGGAGGATTACATGAGCCCAGGTGTTTGAGACCAGCCTGGGCAATAGAGTGAGACCCTGTCTCTAAAAAGAAAAAAAAGAATCTGTTAAGAAAAAGACCAAATGGAAATTCTGGAGTTGAAAAAAACAATAACTGAATTGAACAATTCACTAGAAGGGATCATAACAGATCTAATTGAGCAGAAGAAACAATCAGGAAATTTGAGACAGGTTATTTGAAATTACTGAGTCAGGGGAAACAAAAGAAAAGATGAAGAAAAGTTAAGAAAGCCTAAGGGACTTATGGGATACAATATATGATCCAAAGAAGCCATCCCTGAGACACATAATAAACTGTCAAAAGTCAAAGAGAGACTCTGAAGGCAGCAAGAGTAAAGTGACTCATCAAGCACAAGGGAGCTCTTATAAAATTATCAGCAGATTTCTCAGCAGAAACCTTACAGGACAGAAGGGAGTGGGATGATATATTCAGAGCACTGAAAGAAAACCTGCCAAGCAAGAATAGTATTCAGGAAAACTGTCCTTCAGAAACGAAGGACAGAAATTTGGTTTCCGGTCCAGCATGTAAGGAGCTTAGAAGGTAACACTCCATCTAAACAGGTTAAAAGGCTGAGCAACAATAACAAAACCAAACAAAAGCTGAACAACTCTTCTTAGATTTGTTAGAGGAATGAGACCACTAGGCAGATTGCTGCCGCCAAAATTGGAGAGACAGGAAATACAGGCAGTCACAAGTTACTGGAAATGCAACAGATGAGCAGAAGCCTCTACAGGAGGTTTGAAAACAGGAATAGGAAAACCTAAACTGTAACTGCCCCAATTTTTGGAGAAACAGTGTGGACAACTCAGAGAGTTAAAAATTCCACCAGGGGCCAGGCATGGTGGCTCACACCTGTAATCCCAACACTTTGGGAGGCTGAGGTGGGAGGATTGCTTGAGCTCAACAGTTTAAGACCAGGCTAGGCAACATGGCAAGACCCCGTCTCTTTAAAAACTTTAAAAATTAGCTGGGTTTGGTAGTGCACTCCACTAGTCGCAGCTCCTCAGGAGGCTAAGGCAGGAGAATCGCTTGAGCCCAAAGGGGTTGAGGCTGCAGTGAGCCATGAGCATGTCACTGCACTCCAGTCTGGGTGACAGAGCAAGACCCTGTCTCAAAAGAAAAAAAACATTCCAGGGGTACTGAGTTATGGAGATGCCCCAACACTTTTGTGATTTTTACCTCTCAGAGCTCTACCAGATCCTCACAGTAAATCTCAGAGAAAAATCCCTTCATGCTTCTAGCAGAGGGAGGGGAAATAAACCATTTTGCAGTATGCCAAAGCATTCTGTTGTTTTTAAAAAGGTCTACCCTCAGGAGAAAGAATTTTGCCAGAGCCTAACCTACCCCAGGGAAGGGAAATACCCAACTCCAGCAGTCTGCAGCCTCCCACCTGGGGGAAAGGAAATACCAACTCCAGCTTCCTCTAAGCTTCCCTGTAGGAGAAGGGAGATACCCAACTTCAGTCTCCTCTAGTGGTTTTGCCCCCACCTAAGGGGAAAAAACAAAAGCTGAGAAGCACTGGTGAAGTTCACAGCCTAGACCCAAAGCCTCACCAAAAAACTGAGACCTAATAATAGAACTGTAGAACACTTCTCCCTCCTGCAACACCGCACTTCTACATTACTAAAGATCTATATCTTTTTTTTTCCCCCAAGACGGAGTCTCACTCTGTCGCCCAAGCTGGTGTGCAGTGGCTCAATTATAGCTCACTGTAGCCTCAAATTCCTAGGCTCAAGTGCTCCTTCTGCCTGAGCCTCCCAAATAGCTGGGACTACAGACATGCTTAGTTAAGGTTTTGTTGTTGTTTGTTTGTTTAGAGATAGGTCTCACTCTGTTCCCCAGGCTCTAAAGGCCTATTTACCACAGTTCCATTTACCCAGTACAAAACTGCTCATTTTTTTCCAACAAAAAAATTAGAAGGCACATTAAAAGAAAAAAAACCACAGCTTGAACAAATAGTGCAACCATCAGAAGCAGACACAGACATAGCAGGGATGTTGGAATTCCCCTAATCGGAATTTAAAACTACTATTGTGTCTGAAATTGGTGGGCTCTTGGTCTCACTGACTTCAAGAATGAAGCTGCGAACCCTCGCGGTGACTGTTAACAGTTCTCAAATGTTGTGTGTCCAGAGTTGATTTCTTCTGATGTTCAGACGTGTTCAGAGTTTCCTCCTTCTGGTGGGTTTGTGGTCTTGCTGGCTTCAGGAGTGAAGCTGCAGACCTTCACGGTGCTACAGCTCATAAAGGCAATGGGGACCAAAACAGTGGGCAGCACCAAAATTTATTGCAAAGAGCAAACGAACAAACCCTCCACACCACAGAAGAGCAGCCAAGCACATTGCCACTGCTAGCTCCGGCAGCCTGCTTTTATTCCCTTATCTGACCCCACCCACATCCTGCTGATTGGCCCATTTTACAGAGAGCTGATTGGTCCATTTTACAGAGAGCTGATTGGTCTGTTTTACAGAGAGCTGATTGGTCCATTTTGACAGGGAGCTGATTGGTGCATTTACAATCCCTGAGCTAGACACAGAGTGCTGATTGGTGTATTTACAATTCTCTAGCTAGAGGTAAAAATTCTCCAAAACCCCACCAGATGAACTAGACACAGAGCACTGATTGGTGCATTTACAAACCTTGAGCTAGACACAGAGTGCTGATTGGTGTATTTACAATCCTTCAGCTAGACATACAGTTTCTCAAAGTCCCCACCAGATTAGCTAGATACAGAGTGCTGATTGGTGCATCCACGAGCCCTGAACTTGAGACAGAGTGCTGACTGGTGCATATACAATCCTCTGGCTAGACATAAAAGTTCTCCAAGTCCCCATCCAACTCAGGAGCACAGCTGGCTTCGCGGAGTGGATCCCGCTCCAGGGCTGGGTGCGGAGATGCCTGCCAGTCCCGTGCCATGCACCTGCATGCCTCAGTCCTTGCACAGTTGATGGGACTGGGCACTGCGGAGCAGGGGGCGGCACCCGTCGGGGAGGCTGGGGCTGCGTGGGAGCCCACCGCCACAGGGCTTGGGCATGGTGGGCTGCAGGTCCTGAACCCTGCCCTGCAGAGAGGCAGCTGAGGCCTGGTGAGAATTCGAGTGTGGCCCAGGCCGGCAGTGCTGGGGGACCCGGCGCCCCCTCCGCAGCTGCTGGCCCGGGTGCTAAGCCCCTCACTGCCCTAAGCCAGCGGCGCCAGCCGGCCACTCTGACTGCGGGGCTCAGAGCCCACACCCACCCGGAACTCACGCTGGCCCGCTAGTGCTGTGGGCAGCCCCAGTTCCCGCCCGCGACTCTCCATGCTCACCTCCCTGCAAGCAGAGGGAGCTGGCTCCAGCCTCGGCCAGCCCAGAGAGGGGCTCCCACGGTGCAGCGGCAGGCTGAAGAGCTCCTCAAGCATGGCCAGAGCGGATGCCAAGGCCGAGGAGGTGCTGAGAGCGAGCAAGGGCTGCTAGCACGTTGTCACCTCTCACTATGATTAATACGTTAAGAGCTCTAATGGAAAAAGTAGATAACATGCAAAAACAGATGGACAATTTAAACAGAAAGATAAAAATTATAAGAAAGAATAAAAAAGAAATGATAGAGATAAGAAAAAAACCACTAACAAATGAAGAAAGCTTTTGATGGACTCATTAGTACACTGCAAATGGCTGGAGAAAAAAGAACCTCTGAGCTTGAGGATATGTCAACAGAAACTTTGAAAACTGAAAGTGAAGAGAAAAAAGACATGAAAAAAATGAGAAAGAATATCTAATTACAAAAAGTATAATATAGGCATAATGAGAATACCTGAAGAAGAAAGAGAGAAAGGAACAACAGAAACATTTGAAGCAATAATGCCTGAGAATTTCACCAAATTAGTGCCAGACACCAAACCACAGATCAGGAAGCTCAGAAATAACCAAGCAAAATAATGCCAAAAACAAACAAACAAATAAACTACACCTAGACATATAATATTCAAGCTGCAGAAAATTAAAGATGAAGAAAAAATTTTGAAAGAAGCCAGAGGAAAAAAGCCACTTACCTATAGGGGAGCAAAAATAAGAATTATATCCAACTTCTTCTCAGAAATCACGTAAGCAAGAAAATAATGGAGTGGAATACTTAGTGTTGAAAGAGAAAAAGCCAAAAACCTAGGATTCTATACACAGTTTTAAAGCAATCAGATTAAAATAAATAATAAAAATTATATCAGCAATCAATGAATTGAAAACAGGAAATCAATAGTGAAAATCAACATAACCAAAACCTGTTTCTTTGTAAAAATCAGTAAAATCATAAGGTTCTAGCAAAGCTAACTAAGAAAAAAAGAGAAAAGACATGAATTACAAATACTGAAAATGAAAGAGAGGAGATCAATTCAAATCCCATGGATGTTAAAAGAATAATACATGAATATTATGAACAACTCTATGCCCACAGATTTGACAACCCAGATGAAATGGACCAATTCCTTGAAAGACACAATCTGTTAAAACTCACACAAGAAGTAGACAATCTGAAACAGGCTTGCATCTGTTAAAGAAACAGAATCAATAAATAATAAACTCCTCAAACAAAAAGTACTAGGCTCAGATGGATCCACTAGTGAATTCTACCAAACATTTAAGAAAAAAATTATACCAATTTTCTAAACATCTTCCAGAAGATAGAAACAGCTCATTCTATGAGGCCAGTATTACCCTAATATTAAAACCAGACAAATACATTACAAGAAAACTACAAATCGATTTGTCAATTTAAAATAAATAAATAAATTTAAAAGAAAACTACAGACAAGTATCTCTCATGAAAATAAATGCAAAAATCCTTAACAAAATATTAGCAAAGCACACCCAATGATGCATTAAAAAAATTATATACATGACCAAATGTGATTTATTCCAGGCATGCAAGCCTGGTTCAACATTAAAAACACAATTGGCTGGGCGTGGTGGCTCACGCCTGTAATCCCAGCACTTTGGGAGGCTGAGGCAGGCAGATCACCTGAGGTCAGGAGTTTGAGACCAGCCAGGCCAACATGGCCAAACCCTATCTCTACCAAAATACAAAAATTAGCTGGGTGTGGTGGTGGGCACCTGTAATCCCAGCTACTCCGGAGGCTGAGGCAGGAGAATTGCTTGAACACAGGAGGCAGAGGTTGCAGTGAGCTGAGATTGCCCCATTGCACTCCAGCCTGGGTGACAAAGAGAGAGTCTGTCTTAAAAACAAAACAAAAACAAAAACAAAACCTGAAAAAACAACCCTCAATTAATGTAATCTATATGTAATTACATCAACGGGCTAAAGAAGAAAAATCAAAGGCCAGGCGTGGTGGCTCACGCCTGTAATCCCAACACTTCAGGAGGCCAAGGCGGGCAGATCACAAGGTCAGGAGATGGAGACCATCCTGGCTAACGCGTTGAAACCCCATCTCTACTAAAAATACAAAAAATTAGCCGGGCATGTTGGCATGTGCCTGTAGTCCCAGCTACTTGGGAGGCTGAGGCAGGAGAATTGCTTGAACCTGGGAGGCAGAGGCTACAGTGAGCCGAGATCGCGCCACTGCACTCCAGCCTGGGTGACAGAGTGAGACTCTGTCTCAAAAAAAAAAAAAAAAAAAAAAAAAGGAGAAGAAGAAAAGGAAGACAGAAAAGGAGAAGAAGAAGAAGAGGAGGAAGAAAAATCACATGGTCATATCAGTGCATACAGAAAAAGTATTTCACAGGACTGGGCGTGGTGGCTCTCACCTGCAATCTCAGCACTTTGGGAGGCCGAGGCGGATGAATCACTTGAGGTCAGGAGTTCGAGACTAGCCTGGCCAACATGGTGAAACCCCATCTCTACTAAAAAACAAAAATTAGCTGGGTGTGGTGGTGCACACCTGTACTCCCAGCTACTCAGGAGGCTGAGGCAGGAGAATCACTTGAACTGGGAGGCGGAGGTTGCAGTGAGCTGAGATTGCACCACTGCACTCCAGCCTGGGCAACAGAGTGAGAGTCTGTCTCAAAAAAAAAAAAAAAAGAAAGAAAGAAAAAGTATTTCACAATATCCATCATTCATTCCTGATAAAAACTCTCAGGAAACTAGAAATAGAGGGAAACTTCCTCAACTTGATTAAAGAATGTTTACAAAAAACCTACAGCTAAATATTATACTTAATGGTGAAAAATGTGAAGCATTATTGTTGCTAAGATCAGGAACAAGGCAAGGATGTCCTCTTCACTATTCCTTTCCAACACTGTATTGGAAGTCCTAGCTTATGCAACAAGACAACAAAATGAAATAAAAGGTATACTGATTGGTAATGATGAAATTAAACTGTTGTTGTTGGCTGATGACATGATCGTCTATATAGAAAATCCAAAAGTATCTACAAAATAACCACTGGAACTAATAAGCAATTAATTATAGCAACATTGCAGGATACAAGGTTAATATACAAAAGTCATTTGCTTTCTATATGCCAGCAATGAACAAGTGGAAATTAAAACATACTACCATTATATTAGCACCCCCCATATTGAAATACTTATGTATAAATCTAATAATATATATACAAAATCTCCTATTTTGTGGATATGGATATAGTAACACTGTGGTATATTGTTTGAATATATAAAGAAGAGTAATGTAAGAGTTTTATTGTAAAATGACAATATCAGCCTGACACGGTGGCTCATGCCAGTAATCCCAGCACCTTGGGAGGCCGAGGCAGGTGGATCATTTGAGGTCAGGAGTTCGAGACCAGCCGGGACAGTATGATTAAACCCCGTCTCTACTAAAAGAAATTACAAAAATTAGCCTGGCATGGTGGCAGGCACCTATAATCCCAGTTACTCAGGATGCTGAGGCAGGAGAACTGCTTGAACCCAGGAGGTGGAGGTTGCAGTGAGTCGAGATCATGCCACTGCACTCCAGCCTGGGGACACAGAGAGACAGCATCTCAAAAAATAATAAAATAAAATAAAATGACAATATCACATATCAGAAATTAAATCTCCTGCAAATATTTGAATTTAAGAAGACAAATTTGTAACTTCAATCTAAAAATAAGCAAAGAGATAGTTTTTCAAATTCTTTTTTTTTTTTTTTTTGAGACAAGTTCTTGCTTTGTCTCCCAGGCTGGAGTACAGTGGTGTGATCATAGCTCACACATTGCAACCTTGACCTCCTGGCCTCAAGCAATCCTCCCACCTCAGCCTCCTGAGTAGCTGGGACTATGGGCATGCACCACCACACTCAACTAACTCTTGTATTTTTTGTAGAGACAGGGTTTCGCCATGTTGTCCAGGCTGGTCTCAAACTCCTGAGCCCAAGTGATCCACCCTCCTTGGTCTCCCAAAGTGCTGAGATTACAGGTGTGAACCACCAGGCCTGGCCTCAAAATTCTTTTAGGAAGTATGTGAGCAAAAAAATTTGAAGATAACTACTCTAGAAGAAAGACAGAGATGTGGAATTCGTTTTGAGACAGTGGCAGAAGATGGAAAAACTGATATCCTAGGTTGGGGTCAAAACCACCTTCCTCTTGAACCATAATTCAAAATCAAGCTCTTTGTCCATGACAATTGTGACGCACTGGGATCCAGTCCTTTATGAGGAGACTAGGACAAAAACAGTGAGTCCAAGAACAAAGGAAATCCATTACCACTTAATAAACACGCTTAAGTCTTCTCATCCATTGCTTCATGCAAACGTGTATGGAATAACTTTTGTAAGAGATCGCACATTTTAAGGGGAAATTTGTGATTCCCCTGCTCCCTGATAAAAACTGGGTAAAGGAAAGCCCAAGTAAATTGACAGGTCCTTACCAGCTGTCATTTCAAAGCATTAGTCAAGGCCTTTGACAAGCAAAGTGGGGACTGGGCAAGCTGGTTGGAGTTTGGGCCCAAAGCCTGAGCTGGGAAAGAGGCCAAGGGATGACAGGAGCAAAACTCTGTCTCAAAAAAAAAAAAAAAAAAAAATATATAAAAGATCTCTGGGGGCCAGGCGTGGTGGCTCATGCCTGTAATCCCAACACTTTGGGAGGCCGAGGCAGGTGGATCATGAGGTCACGAGGTCAGGAGTTCAAGACCAGCCTGGCCAACATGGTGAAACCCTGTCTCTACTAAAAATACAAAAATTAGTGGGGTGTGGTGGTGGGGGCCTGTAATCCCAGCTACTTGGGAGGCTCAGGCAGAGAACTGCTTGAACCCGGGAGGTGGAGGTTGCAGTGAGCCGAGATGGTACCACTGCACTCCAGCCTGGGTGACAGAGGGAGACTCCGTGTCAAAAAAAGAAAGAAAGAAAACAAAAGATCCCTGGGAATTCACAGAAACCTTGGGGGTGATTACCAGACTTTCTGAAACATTTGGAAGGGGGAAGATGATGTAACTCCAGCCGATATCTGCATTACAATATATATTATTTCATTTTAATATTACAACAGAAAAGAAACAGAAGATCAGAAAGGTGAAGTGACTTGCCCAAGATTATTCAGCTAAATAGCAGTGCAGGAATCTTAAATCAGCTATTTCTGACTCCAGAAACCATATTTTTTCCAAGACCCAGCACAACTGAGGAGAAAACGTGGCAACAAGTGTGTACTCAGTTAGGTAATGGTTCAAAGAATTGAGCAAATGCTTCATAGAGAAAGTGACAGCTAATTTGGTATTTTGATATCAGATAATCTTATGGAGAGACCAAAGGCAGACCAGGAGAAAGGGGATTGAACAAAAAGTTTTAGGGTGAGGAGTTGTCCTGGGAACATAGAGTACATCAAGCTTCACTGGAGATTAGGGTGTGGAAGGAGTGTATTGGAAGATAAGGTCTGCAAAGGCCAGAATGTGGTTAAGGAATTTGGGCTTTATCATGAGAAAGTGGGGAGTATTAACCCACAGAATAATGTGGTCAGAACACATTTTTAGGAAGATCATTTGGGAAGCCAGGGTCAGGGTTACCAGATGGATTTGTTGTAGTAGGACCAGTCAAGGGTTCCCTCCAAAGCAACGTAGTATCTCTGAAACCCTGAAAGTGTGAGGTTAAACCCTGCCCTGATCAAAATGTTCACAAAACAGCCACTAGTTGGCAGGAATGTGCCAATGAATGGATGAGCCAGACTCCCAACTAGCAGCTTCTGTTCTCTCACTCCTTGAGCTGTGGTGGGGTGTGATCACCTAGTGGATAACAGGAGTAGGTGGGAGGGCAGTCTCTTCGGAGGAAACTTCAGAGGCCCAGAGGAGAAGGAGAACGTGATCAGAGAACAGAGTGGATGGATGGCTGGAGGATAGGGTTGGGGTTGAGTGGGGGCAGTGGTGAGGTCGAGAGCTTGATCATGAATGACTTGAATTTTCAGGTTAAGAAACACAGACATTATCCTGAGAGAAATGAGGAACCCAGGAAGGTTTTTAAGTAGGAGAGAGACATAACTAGATTTGAATTTTAGGAAGATCATCGATTGCAGTGTGGAGAATGAGGAGGAAGCAGGAAGCACAGAGATCAGTGAGAAGGCAGTTGCAGTGATCCTGGGAGAGGTGATGAGTGGCCAGCAGTAGGCCCAGCAATTGCAATGGACAGACGGACCAGAACTGTAGGAGACTTATGAAATAAAAATCACAGAATGAAAAAGGGGTCATTAAAAATGTAGTTGACAGAAAAGAATGATATCCTTTCCCTATTATTAAATACATCCTGAATTGTCAGATCGTCTACCTAAAATTGCACTGTAAGAATTCAGATTTCAGAACTTCTTGGCTTCTAAATTCTACTTCATTCATTCAATAATCCTGACCAGAGTCTGTGGTGGGAAGTGGGGACCAAGGAATGGCTCAGTCCTGTTCCTGCGGCAGCTGCCCTACCCCCCCAACCCCCGCCCTCGTCCCCGCCCCCGCCCCCAATGTGGTGGAAAGACACTCAATTCCGGTACAGCGTGGAGAGCGCTTTGATGGAGGAAATACAAGCCGATGTAGTGTTCCCGGGAAAACCTGATCCAGAAGGCTTCCAGGGAGAGGAGATTTTGCGCCTAAGATTTCAAATGAAAGATCTCATAACACTGTCAGTGAAACAACTAAGCACTGCTGGGAAAAGATGGTGGCCTGGAGAACAGTCCCGTTATCTATTTACCCCTTTTCGTCAGAAACCGTAGACGTCACCTTACGCGGGATAGGAACCCGGGTGAGCTACGTCCCCAGGGATGCCCAGCGATACACAAGTCACCGTCACCCCCTCCAGAGTAAACCGCATCGCCTGGCAAGCAGGCGCCCAGGTCGTCCCCAAGGGCCAGCGCCTGGAACCGCCAGGGTGTGATTGGTGGAGTCTTGGAGCCCGCCCCTCGTCGGGCCCAACAATGCGCCTCTGATTGGTGGAGAAACCACCTGGCCCCGCCCATCCCCAATCGTGTCCGTGCGCCGCCGGTGGCCCGGCTTAGGGGACCGCTGTGAGGTCTGGAGAGGATGCGCCATCGACCCCGGCAGTAGGCGGCCGAACCTTGGCCCCAAATCTTCTACCCCGGGGTGGATTGCGGCCCCTAGAGGAAAGGCGTCAGGGGACCGACCGGCAGCTGTGCCGTCGCGGCACTCTGGACCACGCTGAGGGCGGGCCGGCTTCCCTGCGCCTGCGCTGACATTTTGCAGTTTGGGAAATGGCGGTGCTCGGGGACGTCGATACTGACCCAGGGCGGGAGGCAGCTGCGAGTGGATTGTCGGGCCTTTTCAGACCGGGGTCTGAACCTCTGGGCCGGGGCGGGGCTCGGGTGCTGCCTGGCTCTGCCAACGTTCTGGGCCCTCGAGTGTGAATGAGCTCCGCCCGCCATCCGCCTTGTAGTCCTCGCGTCCGGCCACCGGCGCGGGGCTCCCACCCATCCCCACCCCACCCCACCCCACCCCACCCCGTCTGTTTCCTTTCTGGTCCAGTGGGGACAGCCCTGAGTGAGCAGCGTCGTAGGAGTAAGATACCTGGGCCCCCGGCCTCTCCTTCTTGCCCTGCCCCCGCACCCCCTCCCGCACGGGGACCCGGATAACTCCTTTCAACAGAAGTCTTTTGGGAGCACACGATAAGGCTTCCTTTCATCTGGCCTCAGCCCTTCACCAGTTAACCGCCCTGTCCCCAGGCTCAGGCAGGGCATATTCTTCGCAACCTGCTCTTCTTTGTTGAGATGCAGATGGATGTCCTCATAGATTCTTTATACCTAATGGTAATACATATAGGTATTTCCATTTGCTAAGTACCAGTTTTCCTTTCTCACACCCTTCTTACAACCCCTCTTCATGTCAGGGAGAAAAAAGCCTGCCTGTAGTTACAAAAGCAAACTTCTCCCAGATTTTGTCAGCTGAGCCTCTAGAGACAAATATCTTTGGTGTTTTATTTCCTCCAGTATTTTCTGAGTGCCTGCTGTGCATCAAGCACTGTACTGAATAGTGCTGAGGACCCACAGGAACCAAATCGGCATCTTCTCATGAAATTCAGACTAGTGGCAGAAAACTGGACTTGTGATGAAGGAGCAGATGAAGTGCTCTGGAAATTCAGGGGTGAAGGAGGAGGATGAGCTGTCTTTAGAGATGAAGCAGTAGTATACAGAGGAACCAGAGGGGGCAATTCCAAATGAAATGAACACAGGGCAGCTTGACAGCTCATTGGGCCCATACAAAGAACGTGGTTCATTTTGTGTGTGTGGGGAGGGGTGCAGGAGGTGGGTGGAGTTAATGGAGTAGTGGTTGTATGGTACCATTGTTAAAAGCAGGTGTTTTAGCTTATTCACTGTGCGACTTCAGGCACATAACCTCTTTGAGCCTGTCCAATAAAGGTACAGTATTTACTTCACATTCAAAATAATGCATTTCAAGCCTGAGCATCACGGCTGGCACAAAACTAGTGTTTTTTTGAACACCAACTATCAAATATGTGATAGAAATGCCTTGAATGTCAAGATAAAGAATGTATATATTCTCTGGGTAACAGGGATCAAACAGATTTTTGAGCAAGAGGACACTGATGAGAGGTACGTGTAAGGGACTGGATCCTGAGTCGAAGTCTAAGCCGTTGCAGTGGTTGCAACCCCACTTACTTCTGTCTCACTCCCATCCAAACCTCCTACCCTCAATCCACAAGCATTTCAAAACCATGTTTCTAAAAACCAGCCATTTATATCTGTTTAGGTAAGTAACAGGAGTGAGGTGGTGTATTTACAAGTTGGCTTGTCCAGATATACTATAACTTAGTGTCTGTATTTAATATTGACAACCAAAAATATATATAAATATCTTGCATCTATACACAACAGGGCAGGAGTCTCCATGTCTTCTTGAGCAGTGAGTTTGCAGGCTCCCACAGGCCCTCTTCTCATGGTAATAGTGTGGCCCTCAGTGCAAAGGAGACTAGAACCCGGCAGCCCAGACTGGCCCTTCCCCTCTCCTCCCTGCACTCCAGTGCTCCCAACTGGTCTCAGGTAAAGAAAGATTAATTTGAGTGGTTGGGTAGGAAGAGATGGGAAGGGGCAAATCCTAATGGAGCCTGACCCCTAGAGTGGGGAGATCCAGGCCAGCAGAACGGGTGGCCATAGCCACCTCCTGGGATAGAAGCTTTGTAGTTCATAGTTCGATTAGTGTGTCCTTAGGACATAGGTCCAGCCCTACAGATTAGCTGGGTGAAGAAGGCAAGTGTCTCGACAGGGCTTAGTCTCCACCCTCAGGCATGGAACCATTCAGGGTGAAGCCTGGGATGTGGGCACAGGAGACTCAGGCTGATATAAAAATAACAAAATCAGTAATAAAAAAATTATAAAACCTGTTGCTTGTCTGAATAGATTTGAGCAACAGTCTTGCTTTTGTTAAAATCCTGGAGCCGTTAAGTCCTGAATATTCTTCTGGACATCATTGCTGGCTGGAGAAAGGAGCCCCAGGCCCGGCTCGGCTGACATCTGTCAGGTTTGGAAGTCTCATCCAGCTGCCTGTGCTCCTGAGAGATCCTTAGGGCTGCTGGGAGCAGGCCGGGCTGGTGATCTGGGGCGACTCACACTTGGGAATCAGCCCCCAGGGGATGGAACAGCTCCTCGGGTGTCTTGTCACTTTGGCTGGCTCCCCCCTGCCGGAAGCCGGAAGCGATCTCATCGAAGGTCCGGCCTTTAGTCTCAGGAACTTTGAAGTAGGTGAAGATGAAGAACAGAACCAGGAGCACAGTGAAGATGATGAAGACGTAGGGACCACACAGTTGCTGAAAGACACACAGACACACTTGGTTGGAGTCATGACCCTACATCCTGGCTGTAGGACTTTGGATAAGTCACTTTACCTTTGGGCCTTTGAGCTGAAAAGGGAACATCCACCTACCCAGGGATGCTATCATAATTAACTGAGACCACGCTTGTACCTAGAATGTAACAGGCTCCAGGAGCACCATTCAAGGCTAAGGGGAGAACCCTGGAGTTGAGGTCAGCATTCTTGGTCATGTGACCTGGGCTTCCTACCCTCAGTTTCCTCCTCAGCATGATTCCTAATGAGAATGCTGGGCCAGCACTTTGCACAGCACTGTGGGGTCATGCGTGCGGGTGAGTATAGAGACAGTGGGGGTTCTCACCTCCACATACTGGAAGCACATGCCCACAATGAAATTTGAGGTCCAGTTGGAGAAGCCTGCAACGGCAATGGCAGCTGGACGTGGACCCTGGCTGAAGAGTTCAGCCACGATGAACCATGGGATGGGGCCAGGACCCACTTCAAAGAAGGCCACAAAGCCAAAGATGGCCACGATGCTCAGATAGGACATCCAGGGTAGCTGCTCCTGTTGAGGATGACGGAGAGGGGGAAAAGTTAGACTGGGTTGTGATGGATCCTCAGGGGAAACAGAAGCTACAGAGGCCAGAGCAGAGCTATGCGAGAAGGCAGGAAGCCTGGGGATGGTCCTGGATTTGTTGTGTATCCAGCATTGGGCCTAAGTTTCCTCATCCGAACAAAATGATTTAAGTCCTGCAGGGTGGCTGCAAGTGTTGAGTCCACCCGCTGGGAGTGGTAATGTGGTGTGCATGTGGACGGTGCTAAGAGGCCCCATGGTCCCCTGTCTGTGCCTGCAGCACAGTCCGCCTGTGGCAGGATGCAGAACATTCCTGGGGGTGGGGTGGATTCAGGTTCTAAGGCGTGTGAGGTGCCCAGCTCAGGCTGGCACAGAGTAAGCGCTAAGCATACGGTTCTGCATATAACCATTCTTGAGGAGGCCAGGGTAGAAAATTTATGGGCTTTCCACTTGCTGCCTGTCTGGCCTTTCGGCAACCACCAAACTTTCCAAGCCCAGGTTGAGCTGTAAAATGACAGTCATGGTGCTTTCCTTGCCCAGAGGCTAAATAAACGAGTGCCTGTGTGTGAGTGCCAGGCACAGGGTTAGCACAGCGGTCACAGTCACAGGCCTGGGACTGAGGTTGATTCCTGGCTTCATCCTTTATCTGACAAGTTACTAACCTCACTGGGACTTAAGCTTCCTCCCCCATAAAATGGGAAGAACTGAACTACACCTCCAGTCGTGTGAACTGAATGAGGCAAGGCATGTTTCTGCGCCTCTATGGGGAGGACAGCACTACTTCCCGGGGTTGCTGTGAAGATGAATTGAGGCTACAGATGAAGATTGGAAAGGGTTAATATTAGGCAAAGCAATTCCTTAAGGAGGTGAGAGTTTGGGGTCTGGGACCAGAGGTGCTGCGCTGAGAATCCATCAAGCAGGGAGGAGCAAGTTCAAGAGAGGATGTGTGTGGTTTGGAAGGAGACAACTTCAGGAGCCAGAAAGTCAGACCCACAGCCAGGGAGAATGCAGCCACCAAAAGGCCTGCCAGCCTGGGGCTGAGACAGGCATTTTGGGATATGAAGCCCAGGCAAACTCTCCCGCATCCCTCACTCTCCAGAACCTAGCAACTCACCAGCAGTGCTAGCGCGATGGTCATGAGTATGGCACAACCCGCCATGCCAGCGAGGCCTATGAGGTGCAGGGTCCGCCGGCCTGCTCGCTCCACCACAAACAGCTGTGGGCAGAGACAGTGTCAGTGCCACCCCTGCCTAGTGCCCTTCTGAACCCACCCACCCAGAGGCCTTGCCTCAAGAGCTGAGAAAGTCACAGGGCACTGCAAAGACCAGTGGGGAAGATGGCACTGCCTCCTCCCTGGGGTTTGGCTGGGGGGGCCAGTAAGCAAAGACTCACCGACACGACAGTGAAGGCCGTGTTGACGATACCGGAGCCAATGGTGGCATACACAGGCTGCTGCACCCCCGCCTTCTCGAAGATGCTCGTGGAGTAATAGAAGACCTGCCAGACAAGAGAAACTGTTGGGGCCTACCTGGACATTGTGGCCCTTCCCTGCCTCTGTAGCAGTGGATGTGGGACCCAGGATGAGTAAAGAATGAAGGGGACAAATACTCAGGCAGAAGGGACACTGCACTGCAGTGACCTTACGGGCTTGGGGTCTAAAGGGAAACTTCTTCGGCAGAGGCGTATCTGTTGTTTCAAGTTTGGGACTTGTTCACCATGCACACTTGACCAGAGGGCTTGGCTGGGGCACAGGAAGGGTGGGTGGGGGCACTCACAGCGTTGATGCCAGACAGCTGCTGGGACAGCTGCAGCACCACAGCGATGAGGATGGGCTGGCGGTAGGCGGGGGAGCGGAACAGCTCCAGGATGGTGACCTTCTTCTCCCGCATCATCTGCCGACTCTCTTCCTTCATCTCCTGCAGGTCATGGGTCACGTCAGCTGTCCCGCGCAGCTTCTTTAGCACTGGGGGGACCGGAGGGAAGGTGAGGGTGGCTCAGAGTGGGAAGAAGGCCAGGGCTCAGGGAGTGGGGAGGAGGGCAGGGCCATGCCCGTACCACTCTTGGCCCGGTTCTCCTCGTTGCGGTTGATGAGCAGGAAGCGGGGACTCTCGGGGCAGAAGGGCAGCACGATGCACTGCAGCAGGGCCGGGATGAAGATGATGCTCAGCAGCAGGGGCCACAGGTCCTTGTTGCCCATGATGGAGTCCAGGCCGAACACCTGGGGGAAGCAGGGGCCGTGAGCGCCTCTGCCCTGACCCCCTTTCCCACCCCGTCCTGCCAGAGTGGCCTTCCCTACTTTGTGTCAGCTGCTGCTTCAGGGAAGGGCCCCAGTTCTAGAGGCTCTGCCACTAGCATGAGCCCTGTTTCTCAGTTTCCTCATCGGTCACATGGGAAAAGTAGGACCTACCCCACAGTGTTGCTGGGAGGACAAATGACAAGGCCACAGATGTGTCCAGCACAGAGAATGGGGGCTGCTACTCTGCCACAAGAGGGTTTTGGGGACAGGGAAGGGGAAGCCTCCTGGAGAGAGGGTACTGTGCATAACAGCCTGCGGCATGTTGGGGGAAGGCGGGCCCTGTGGTTGGAAGCCTAGAGTGAGAAGAAAGGGACTGAGAAGAGTCAAGTCATCTTGCTGTCAACTGGGAGGCCATGGTGCTGTGTTCTCTGGACCTGTGTACCATAGTTGTCCTCTGCAAGGCTGTGGGGGCTGGGCGGAAGAGAAACTCTGCCCTGCTGGGCACAGATCCGAGAGCCACTGAAGCTGTGGGCAGGGGCCGTGCCAGGCAGGTAGATCCTGCCCCAGCTTACCTGGGCGATGAGGATGCCGACGACGATGCCCAGCTGGTGCAGGGTGCCCAGGGCCCCACGAAGGGCTGTGGGTGACACTTCACCCACATACATGGGCACGAAGCCTGTGGTCAGGCCGCAGTACACACCGATGATGAAGCGGCCCAGGATCAGCATCTCAAAGGACTTGCCCAGTTTCGAGAAGCCCATGAGCACGGCGGACACGAAGGCCAGCAGGTTCATCATCAGCATTGAATTCCGCCTGGGGACGGGGTCACAGGTCAGGCCAGTGCCCACATTCCTTGGGCTCCGAGGGGCTGGGTCAGAGGTAATACCCTGGAACAGGCAGATAAGTCTCCCCTACCTCCCACCCCATCTGGGACTCCCTGGGCAGGAGGGCATGGGCCCTCCAAGGGCAGTGCCAGGACCTCTCCTACTTACCGGCCAAAGCGGTTAACGAAAAGGCCCACAGAGAAGGAGCCAATCATGCCCCCAACAGAAAAGATGGCCACTGAGAGGGACCAGAGCGTGGTGAGCGTGGTGGGCAGGATGCTCTCCCCATAGCGGTGGACCCATGTCTGGTTGTAGAACTCCTCGATCACCTGCAGGGGGAGATGCAGCCTGGGTGAGCAAGCCAGGGGCCAGGACCCAGTCTTCCTTTTCCTTTCCCCTTGCACCCCTCCCTAAGAGAGGGCCAGGGCCTGGCTCTGCCACAGATTCACTGCATGTTCTTGAGCCAAGTCCCTCTATTTTTGTGGGCCTCACTTTCCCCAGGCGAGAAACAAGGGGTTGGAGTTCATCTGAGAGCCCCGCCAACTCTCCCACTTCCCCTAACGTGTGGTTTCCAGTGCCCTGTGGTTTCACAGGCTCAGTGTGACTTGCTGGGATGATGGCAAGTGATCAGTGGTGGAAGTTCAGGCATAGAACAGAGAGGTACAAGACCAGGTGTGGTGGCTCACGCCTGTAATCCCAGCACTTTGGGAGATCAAGGCAAGCAGATCACTGGAGATCAGGAGTTCGAGACCAGCCAGACCAACATGGTGAAACCCTATCTCTACTAAAAATAAAAAAAAAATTAGCTGGACGTGGTGGCGCAAGCATGTAATCCCAGCTACACGGGAGGCTAAGGCAGAATTGCTTAAACCCAGGACACGGAGTTTGCAGTGAGCCAAGACTGTGCCACTGCACTTCAGCCTGAGTGACAGAGTGAGACTCTATGTCTCAAAAAAAAAAAAAAAAAAAGAGAAATACAGAAGGAAAAGGGTCTTCCCACTTGCCCCTTTTCTCCTCACCATGTCTCAAAGCCCCAGGGGCCCATCTCCTGCCATCAGGCCCTCCCCCCAACCCCTTGCTGGGGAGGAAGCAGGGCTTGACAGACAGGTTCCGCCATCCAGGAAGTACAGACTCCCTGACCGCACTGAGGGCCTGGTGTGACAAACTCACACATGTCACCCTTCAGAAGTGCTTGAAAGACTCACGCTGTGGCTTTCTGTTCCCCAGGCCTAGCTCCCTTGTGTCTGGCCTGCGAGCACCCCCTTGAAGGACCCACGGCCTCCTCCCCTCTCCCAAGGGCCCAGCTAGGAGGTATGGGGAAAGGTTCCACACAAGGAAGCAGTTCCAGGAACTGGAAACGCCCGTCCTAGGGCAGCCCTGCCCACCAGCCCTGCCCCCACCCTGGCCAGCTCCCACGGATGTGGTAGGCAGGCAGCACCCGTTCTGCCTGAGCACACTCACCACACTCTCAGTGCCATGGGACTGGCCAGACCCACCCAGCCACACGTATAGCAGAGTGCAGGCCCTAGTTACCCAGAAACGGCTTCTTATGCACGTATACCATCACACACACATACCCGTGCTCATAGAATCTAAATATTCCTGCTTTAGCCAGTCACAAACTCACATGCCCCTCATCCCCTACCACTTACAGCTCAAACTCAATTCCATGTGAACCCAACCCATCCCAACACCCCTCCGTGTGTGTGCATGCCACAGGTTCATGCACACACAGCGGTATGCAGCCTCTGCAGCCTCCATCACTGCTGTTGGTCCTCCCTATCCCTTCCAACCCACTGAGGTCTAGCAGAAGAAGAAGGTGTGGGCAGGCACACTTGCCAAACCAAAGCCTGCAGTCCCAGAAATGCCCACCTATTCAAATATGCTGGGCCTGCCTCCTGGTGCCTTCCTTCCCATTGCTGTGGGTGCTCAGCCTCTAGCCATCTTTTCCCCTGCCCTGTCACAACCTGTCCCAAGTCAGCAGGCATCTGATGGAGGCCAGGCTCCAAGGGGCGAGGACAGTTGGTAGGGCAGAGGCAAGCCCTAAGGATCTGCTTGTCCGTTCCAAGGACGCCATGCAGGGCAGTGAATAGAAACCTGAACTCTGATTCTGGACACAACTAAATTCAGGTCCTAGCTCCACCCCTTATTTCCAGTGTGACCATGAGCAAGTTATTTCATCTGTGAGTTTCCATGGCCCCATTTCTAAAGTGCAGACATTAGCAGGAGCTGCTTCACAGTGCTGCAGGGAATCAGTGAAACAGTGCTTGGTGTCATCATCCCTAAAATCACCCCACTGCACACTGGTGGCCTGAAGGCTGTGCAGACCACTAACAGAGTCTCCCCAAGCCTTCAACCCGTAACTCAAAATCGGGGCTCCTGCCAGGTATCAATCCAATCTCCCTACCTACCACACCTTTGCACTCACTACACACCATCTCCCACCCCTCTACGCCTTTGAGATGCTACTACTCCTGCCTGGAAGGTACCCCTGGCCTTATTGCTGAAACCTTTCGAGATCCAGGTTTCCCTGACTCCAGGAGTTTGTCTTCCCTGAGGAAGACAGTTGATTCACACCATGGTCTGTCCCAGAGCCAGTGCCAGGGATACCTGGTGAGGAAATGGAGGAATCGAACCAAAGGTGTTAGGCTCTCCTCTTAGAACCCCTTGATTCTGCTGGGGGCAGACAGAAGGCAGATTTTGACAAAAAACAGAGTAACAAAATGCAAAGTGTTCTTCTGTGGACGAAACTAACCCCAGAGGAGGACTGGTTGGGAACGGTAATGCCCCGTTTATCAGGCTCCACCAAGAACAGGCTGCTCTGAATGAGGGTGGATATGGGAACGGTCCAGATAAATGGCGCTTGCCCTTCTGAGGGTCCAATCTTTCCTGACCCATTATGGGGTGAAAATGTGAAGAGATTTCACTTTGCTCTCCTGAGCAACCAGACCTACAAGCAGGGCTGCAGGGCAATGGTGTCTGCCCTTGGGGCTCTCTCCAGGGGCAAGGAGAGGTGTTTGTCCCTGTGCAGACTGGCTCCTGATGGCTAAATTTCTGCATTCCATAGTTCTAAGGTATTCCCCCAACCCTCTGTGGTTCAGAGGCTTGTCTTGTACAACTCTCCACACCTCTTTTGAAATTTGCCAAGAAGTCAGCAAATGGAATTTGTTTGAATTGTATACAAAGAAAGAGTAAATAGGTGCTAAGTAAGGCTTGAAACTACCTAAATAAGCTTGAAGATCTCTTGAGATGTTGGGGCAACTGACAAGAGGGCTGTGTGTAAGTGAGGTGTGACCAGAGCTCCACCCTGAGTTACGTCTCCTGCCTGTGGTCACACAGTCAAAGGGACCCAACCTTGTCCAGGGCTGGCTCCTGGACGCTGCCTAGCTGCTCTGTTACTCAGACCACTTTATGGGGTGGAGGAAGGGTGAGCAGCCAGCTCTCTGCATGTTCACCTTGGCCTAGACCCATCCTCTCCAGCCCACAGCAGCACTTCCTGGCCAAGCTGAGGCTGGGGAGTGGGTTTCTGCCTCTTGATGCCTGAGATTTCTGGGAAGAAGCCACGCCTGGTTTTCCAATTCCTACTGCTGGTTCCGGTGCTCTGTGCCCTCTCCTCCCTGGGGATTCGTATGGGGTTCCACGCTGACTCTTGGCCCAGGAAAGGCAGGGGGATGCTGGAGAATGAGAAGAACCCTACATGGGGAAAAGCTCTGGGGTCACATCCTCCCTAGAAGTGTCTGGGTGCACCTCAGGAAAGAAGAGTCTACTTATTATGCCCTGACAGGATCCCACAGGCCCAATCCCGCCGGCTCCCAGCAGCCTCCGCAACCCTGGGTCATGTGTGAGGTGAGACCTGGCACGTGCCTGTTCTGAACGCTCCCACCTCACATGCCCGTCCCAAGCTTAGGATTTAAACACTTGATGCTGCCACCACCCCACATCCATCCATCACCAGGTCCTCTCGATTCTGCCTCCGAGTCTGTCCTACTTCTCTACCCAGGCAGCCTGCCCTGGGTCTCATCTGGATTCTGCTCCCGACTCTTCCTATCCACCAAAGTCAGACCCCATTTCCCACAGTGAACCACCCCTCAGAATGCAGTCGGAGTCCTGCACACCAAATGTGCCAGGCTCGGCCATCCACCCGCTTCTCTGCTCCCTTCCCAGCCCAGTCTCTTCACCCAGCTGTGGAGTCTGGGTGGCGGCAAGCGTGTTGAGGAGGGAGGAGCGGTTCTGGTTAGTTCCTGGGGGGACTGCCATGGTGTCGGCCAGCCTAGAGCTGAGGGGCTACTACAGATCTCTGTCCAGGTGCCTCACTGAGCCTAGAGGACACCCACCATGGAGACCACCCTGGAGAAGCAGGTTGACTCTGGGCAGCTGAGATCCTTTGAACCGGATGGCTTCTGGTACGCGAAGCTATTCCTCACCCGGTGGCTCTCCTGGGGTGAGGGGGAGGCCTGCCCAAGCCTAAGGACACCTGGGAATCCCCACACCACCTCCCGCCAGTCGAGGCAACTGTGGGTGAGACTACATGTCTGCCCATCTGCCAAGGAACTTCTCACTTCCCCTTTGTAGAGGGGCATGAGGCGGCGAACACTGCCTGGCACATGGGTAAGCTGTTACTGCTGTCACTGTTGCTCTCTCAAGAAAAGAAGTCACCACTTTCGGAGGAGCCTTAGGGACAAGGTTTTCCATTTTGAAATTGCCAGAAATCATTACCCTAAGAATGTAAGAGTAAGGAGGAACCTGAAGGAACTACGGGCCTGCCTCAGGGAATAAAGCTAGTCTCCAGACCCTGCTCGGCTGCTCCTGGCAGAGGAACCCAGCACTCTGTAGCCCCAGAGGGCAGAGGTGCCAGGGCCAGACTCCAGCTCAGGGGAAGGAAGAGCTTTATAGACTTCAGGGTATGAGGCTGCCCACCTTACAGGTGGTGAGTTCCCTGTAAGTAGGGAGCATGCAAGTCAAAGTGCTCCAGAGCCGGACTGGGGTAAACATTTTATGTAAAAGGCTAGCTAGAATCCATTAGGTAGGGTCTGTGAGCCACATATGGCCTCTGTCACTCATTGTTCTTTTTTTCTCAACCTTGTAAAAATGTAAAAACCATTGTTAGCTCATGGGTTGCACAAAAACAGGCTGCTGGCTGGATGTGGCCCTCCTGCCAACCCTTGATCTAGGATTCTAGACCACTGCCAGGAGGGGTATGCGTTTTGGAACCTCTGGCTGGTCTCACCATCCTTCCCTCTAGACATTCCTTTACCCCAGGAGGACTAGGTCAGTTAGGTCATCCCCAGCAGGGATCCCTGGGCCAGGTTTAGGCTCGGTCTCAACTCTCCCTGTGCTCTACGGGATGCTATTGTGGGGAAGAAGGGGCTAAACTGCCAGCCAAGCTTTCAGCGCCAGTTACAAGGAGGAAAGGGCCAGCTTCTCCGGCTTAGCCTCTCAGCCTGGCCTTCACCCCTGTTCCTTGCCTGCCCCTGTCTTCCAGTTGGGGCTGGCCCCACACTGCCCTTCCCACAAGCTCTCAGCCCAGGGCCTTCATCTCCACAGCAACTCTCAGCCACACCCCAGGGTGAGCTGGGAGATTGGAGCCAGATGTTCCAGGTGGGGCTGGACAGATAACCCTGCCCACTGGGTCCCCTGGGGCCTCACTTTGGGGCCTGGGGGAAGAGGCCCAGGTTGGGGCTAGAGCTGGGCCCCAACCCCCCTGCAGAGGGCTGGACCACCCAGGCTGCTTCCCTGGAACAGCCCTGACATGGCTAGCCTCCAAACCAAGGCCAGGCCAGGCCAGGCCTCCCGGTAGACAGAGGAATCATCCCACTGCCGTGGCCACACCCGAAGCCCTTCTCAGCTCTTGCAATAAAGTGTCTCCTCTACCCCAACTATGACTCACAAGGCACACGCAGTGACTCCCTCATACGACCTAGACACCTCACACCTTTGCTTGGGCCTAATCACCTTTCAGAACATGCACAGATACTCCTCTGGAAAGCCTTCCTCCCGAGAACCACCCCTCCCACTCCACTGCAACTGGTTCTCAAACAGAGACGGCTTTGGTACCCCATAGGACATCTGCCAATGCCCAGAGACATTTTTGGTTGCCACACTGGCTACTGGTATCTAGAGGGCAGAAGCCAAGGATGCTGATAAACATCCTCCAATGCATGGGACAGGCCTCTACAACACCAGCAGAAACATCACAGTGCCAAGCTGAGAAACCCTGCTCTAAGGGCGAAGCACCCTCTCCCTCTTCCTTCCCTGCTCCCACTGTGCTTGCTCGCATTTCCATCATCGCCTTTAGAAGACTAACTGTAAGGTACCGTGTGCTCCCTGTACAGTAAACCTCAGCACGGAGATGGTCTGTCTGATGCATCCATGTTGCTGGTGCCCAGCACGGTGGTGGAGGTGCAGAGTTGACACTAAATGACCAACAAGCCATGAATCTAACTGAAGGGCTTGAGGGGTGATGTGATATGACAGGGTGTGATGGTGTAAGAGATTGTGCAACTGTGTGTGGGAAACCTGAGATGTTGGTACATGACTGAGCTTGACTCAGCTCCAAAGTGAGACCACACACTGCCAGCTAGGTGGCAGTTGTAGGTGAGTGAAAGGGTGTTTAGGTGCCCATCTGGGACTGTGTCCATCTTCCACAATGGTCAAGGGCACAGACTAGGGCCAGACTCCCCGGAGTTACATTGCAGCCTTGCCACTTACTAGCTGTGTGTCCTTGCTTTAATTGCTTAACATTCCTGTGCCCCAGTTTCTTATAGAGCAGGGAAAATTATGGTGTCTGCCTAATGGGGTTATTTTGAAGAACAACTGAATTACTATTTCTAGAGTATGTATAACAATGCCTGGGCAAGCTATAAGTAAGCAGTAAGGGTTTATGGTAGTGGTGACGGGTGAAGGGGAGAGAGGACTAGAACTCTTTGGATATAGGAGAGAGAAGGAGAGGCTGCCTAGAGCACGAAGCCCAGTTCAGCCTGACGGGACACAGGGCTTGGGTTGGGAGGCGGGTGTTGCCTCCAGCTCTTTCACTCACCAAGCTGGGTCATCCTGGGCAGACCTCACCTCCTCTGCAGACCAGGTTCCTCCTTTGTCAAACAAGGAGTGTTGTTTGTCAAACAACTGAGGCCTTTCTGGCCCAAACTCTGGATTCTGAGGATGCCTTATTCTCAGACATGCCTGACACTGTCCCTTGGGCCAGGACTTCATGGTTTCTCAGTGGCCGTCAGTCATCTCTACTGGCAGCTCAGTCATTTGGGGAGGGGAAAGGCAGTGCTCGGATGAGCCCAGTATGATGGTCAGGATTCCCTGGTTCATTTAGCTGCTCCCTCTGTGGCTGGGCTCACCTCTTCTGCTCTGTCCTCCTCCTCCAGGAGGGGATGCATGGCAGGAATGTCCTGTCACACTCACAGCAGGGCAGGGGCAGTGTGCAGAGCTGGGGAGGCACAAGGCCTGGAGCCCACCTCTAGCTCAGCCTCTCACTCTCCAGATACCTCATCTGGCTTCAGTTCCCTCATTTAGAAGAGGGGAAGATGTCAGCCCCGCCTGCCTTGTAGAGTTGCTGTGAGGTGGTAATTTATGGGGTGGTGCTTTGTAAACATATAAGGTAGTATGATTAATTAACCACTTCCAGGAGGAAGCCCTTTGGGGCCTGTTTTATGGAAGAGAACAAGCTTCTGGCATCCTCACCACTTGTGGGGCAAAGTCTCTTCTCAAGAGTAGGCAAACTGTGGCCAACCCAATGCTGTTTCCTAAGAGAGGTTCTTCTAAACAGACAAGGGAAGTCAGTGTGCCCACTGCAGGCAGTTAGCAATTCCGCATCAGCAGAACATTTCACACCCCTGCACCTCTGCAGAAGCCCCTCTCACTGCCCAGACACCTGCCCCTCCTGCCCTATGAGGTCAACTAACCCTTCAAGGTCGAGCATGGCTGCCAAGTCCTTCGTGAAGCCCTTTTTTTAATCTCCCCTGTCACCCCAGCCCCAGCATTAGTTGCCCCGTTTGCTCTCACAGCACCTTGAAGCCCTCTGTTAGTGACACTCTGGCTTTCTCCAAGGGGTCTCTCCCACTGCTGTGGAGACAGGGCCTGGCTCAGACTGTGTCTCAGGCAGCTCCCTGAGGGCCAGCATGTGCCTGCTGTGTTCACAGCTATACTTCTCTCTCCTTACTGTCTAGGACCGCATCTGGCACAGCGTGGATGCTCAGGAAGTCCTGGCTGAATGAAAGGGTTGGCCAGATGGAATCTCTGTGTCGCCCTAGGGCAGGCCTTCAGCCTACGCGGGCACAGGAGTCTCTCTGCCCTGTTACTACACATGGGCTCTGAGCCTCACTTTCATTTCTTCTTCTTGGGTCCTTCTGTCCTCTCTTCACATGTTACATGTATCACTTCTAATCTGGCTCCTGGTTGGAAAAACTACAGCCAGCCTTGTGAGAAGTGTTTGTAAAGTACAAAAGTCAACAGACCAAGTGTCTGGGTGCTTGCCCAAGAAACACCGCTAGATTTCAGCGTTCTCAGTTCTGGCCACTCACATCTCCAGCTTCGGTCTGCTGGGGCTGGTTCCTGAAGTGACCTTTGGACAGGTGACCATACATGGTCCTATGAATGCAGTTTACAGGCTCATCTGGGCCCTCTGTGCTGCTGACCAGCCCCGTGATGCCCTGGTCAGAGGTTCTGCCCATATTCCATGACAGTTATAACCTCTTGCCTATTTCTGATTAGATGGGAGGCCCCGGGGATCACAGAAGTTCATCTCAGATTTGTCTACATCTTCAGAAGTCTCTCAGTCCCTGGCTGGGCATGGTGGCTCATACCTGTAATCCCAGCACTTTGGGAGGCCAAGGCAGGTGGATCGCCTGAGGTCAGGAGTTTGAGACCAGCCTCACCAACCTGGTGAAACCCCATCTCTACTAAAAACACAAAAATTAGCTGGGCGTGGTGGTACACACCTGTACCAGTAGCCCAGCTACTTGGAAAGCTGAGGCACGAGAACCACTTGAACCCAGGAAGCGGAGGTTGCAGTGAGCCAAGATCATGCCACTGTACTCTGGCCTGGGCAGCAGAGCAAGACTCCGTCTCAAAAAAAAAAAAAAAAAAAAAGGTATCTCAGTCCCTCCTGGCCAAAGGCAGCCCCTCCCTTCTGCTCCGACACCACCCTCCCTCCTGGAAGACCTCCGCCCTCACTTCCTTATCTTCACCCTCTCCTGCTGATTCCTTCCAACATGTTTAAAAATAACCTTCATTAAAATAAATAAATAAATTCCTAGCCATACCATCATTCCAAACCTCCTCTTTTCTCCCTCTCCCACCAACTCTTTTGGAAGAGCCGTCTCCACCCTTTCTCATCTGCCTCTCACTCTTCACCCAATCGTAGTGAGGCTTCTATCCACGCTGTGCCACCCAGTCAGCCCGAGTGGCCACAAGGCCACCATCGCCTCTTCTGCATTCAGCAATGTGGAGAGGCTTGCCCAGTTCAACCCCTGGGGTACCCGATGGCCTTCCTCCACTCACTATCCACCAGTGTCTATTACTATGACAGGCACCGTTCTAGGCACTAAGGACACGGCCGTGGACAAACCAGACAAATACCCTGGCCCTTCGATGGCTTACATTATCCCTCTGTCTTGGGAGGGTATCCTCTCCTGGTTTTAGAGATACCAGCTCTTGTTCTTCTACTTAGGGTCTTTTTCTAGCAATGGGTTGTTCTCTGGGGCCTTGATCTTTTACTTTTAATTTTTATTTATTTAATTATAAAATTGAGATGAGGTCTTGATGTGTTGCTCAGGCTGGTCTTGAACTCCTGGGCTCAAGTGATCCACCCACCTCAGCCTCCCAAAGTGCTGGGATTACAGCGTGAGCCACATGCCCGGCCTTAATCTTCATTTCTCTTTTTATTCCACAGTCTCCCTAGAAGATCTTTCTCCACTGTGTGGATACCAGTGACTAATTCTCAACTTTTCTCCAGCCTGGGTCTAAGAAACAGACCCATACATACAGGTGCCTCCTGCACATCTCCAGCTGTGTCACCCCACGCCTCCATTCCTGCACATCCCACGGCCACCTCTCAGCTCCTGGCACACCTGCTCCTTCTTCAAACCACACATCACCCATGCCAGAAACCTAGAAACCATTTTTAAACCCTTCTCTGTTGCCCTCGCACGGAATTGATGACCAAATCCTGTCCATTCTTCCTCTGAGGGTTTGCTTTTATGTCACTAGTCCAACGGCAACTTTCTTGATGGTTTCCCGTCTCTAGTCTCACATTCTTAAGTCCGCCCCTCCATACCAGACGCCTGAGTCATTTCCCTACAATGCAAGTCTGATCACGTCTGCCCTGGGCAGTGGGTCCCTATTGTCCTCATCCTGAAGTCCATGCTCCCTAGCTGGGCCCCCGTGCTGGTGCCCATCCGCCCCTTCTGACTGTGCCGTGCCATACTCACAAGGCCCTTTGTGGTCTGGCTCTTGCCTACCTTACCTTGTTGACCTCCCCAACCTTTCCCCTCCTCCTGTTCACTCTAGTGACACACTAAACTACTCACGCTTTACTGAATGCCAGGCTTTCTGTCTTCTGGGCATTTTGCTTTGAAGGCCCCCTGCTCACCCCAACCCTGTTCTGTTTCTGGAAAACACCTCCTCTGTCCTGGCCTTAGAGTCCTAGTTCTGTCATTAACTCACTATGAGATCACAGTCAAGACATCATTAAATCCAGTAGCTGTCAACCTTGGCTGCACATTCGAATTGGTTGGGAAGCTTTTAATTGAATGCCCAAACAGCATCCCAGACCAATTAAATCAGAATCTGGGGGCGTTCTGGAAACCCCAATGTGCAACCAAGTGGAGAGCTCAACCTCCCTCTGTTTCCTCCCAGCCTGTCTTACAGACTTTCCATCTGTAAGGATTCCCAAAGGGAGCCAGTTCTGAAGCACACACTTTGGCAAGAGCTGTCAAGAGCACTTAGCAAATGCAGGGCTTGGGGCTGGTCCAAGCATGGGCCCACGGTCTCCATGCCCAGCAAACTTGGAAAAGTCCTGTCACCTCCCCTGCAGCTGAGCATGACTCAGCAGGCCAAGCCTTCCTGGTGACTTGCTCCTCAGCATCGGGCGTGGCCCCATAGCCACTGTCTGCCTATTTGGAAGAAGCCCAGCTAACTCTAGACACTACCTGGTTCCCCCAAACAGGACCCTGATCTTTGGGAGTCACTGCACTCACTTTCTAGCCCCATCCGTCTGGACAAGAAATGTGGTCCTGACGTGAGGACTGCCCACTCTCATTTGGTCCTCTCTGGGAAGGTACAGATTTTTAAACGGGCAAGGCAGCTGGTTAGGAAGACAACCTGAGGCCATGGAAACAACAGAGCTTGGCTTCTGACTCCAGCATTCAATAGCTTTGTGACCTTGGGCCTGTCGGCCATTTCATCTGCCTGGGCCTCAGTTTCCGGGTCTACAAAATGGAAATCACCACCCAATCTCATAAACACAAGCAAAATGCCTGGTACAGAGGAAGGGCTCAGTTTCCTTTCCTGTCCCTGCCTCCTACCCCCTACCCCCTTTTCCTCTTCTCTCCTCCTTAATGCAAGTAGGCTGGGCTGGAGGAGATGGTCTAGGTCCCTTCCCATCCTGACATTCAAGTAAACAAGTGAGGACAGATCTAGGATGCACGGCAGGGAGGAGGAAGCCAGCACAGACCTTCACCCCCTGTGGCTCCCTAGGGCAAGACGCCATTTCTGCTTTGACTGCCACAGGGCCTTCAGGGAGAGGACGCGGTTTCAACCTACAAATAAAGGAAGTGTGCTGCCTGTGGATGGGTATGAGTGCAGGCTCAAGGACCACCTGGCAGGCAGGTGTTGGATAC
Organism: Homo sapiens; assembly: GCF_000001405.40. Classification (NCBI taxonomy): domain Eukaryota; kingdom Metazoa; phylum Chordata; class Mammalia; order Primates; family Hominidae; genus Homo; species Homo sapiens. The sequence continues at coordinate 42,942,724 of NC_000001.11, forward strand.
CAGCTCTGTCTCTGACTTAGCTGGGTGATATTGGGCGGGTTTCCTCTCTCTGGCCGTTTCCCACACCTGCAGGCTGGGAGTGGTGCCTGCTGCCTCCTGACAGTGCTGCAGTGAGCATCAAGTGAGACAAGCCCATGAAAACCCTCTGCAGCCCCAGAATGCCACGGAAATGCAGCATTATTGTATTGAGCTTTGCTTTGAGTTTATTATATCATCAAACATATTATTAAATGACTGAGTTGGGTGGGGGGTTGGTCAAGAGGGCCTATACAAGACCCCAGGATTCTGTGGGACCTGAGATTCTAGAATTCTGCCACCCTGATTCCAAAGCAAGAGAAGAGTCTCTGACATGATCAGGGCCAGAAAACTGGCTGGAGAGGCAGACAGTACAGTGCGTTCATATAAATGACTCTAATTCAGGTGGTGGCGTGAGACTGTGGGCATGTGTGATGTGCAACAGAGCAGGCTGGTGTCCATAAGCCAACGATGGCACAGTACTCACCTTCTGGGGGGCATTGATGACTCCAGTGTTGTAGCCAAACTGCAGGGAGCCAAGCACTGCTCCTCCCACGGCCAGCATGAGGCGACCCGTCAGCTTCTGCGGAGAAACAAACCACACTGTTATAGGCGTGTCTGGGAGCAGGTTACTACAGGGCAGGGCCTGGACTGGCAAGTTTCTGTGTTCAGATATCTTGCCTGACTCTTGGCACCACACCAGTCTTTCTCCCAGGAAACTTGGCCAATTCCTGACCTTAGGTGCCCAAACCAGCCTAGCTGACTTCAAGATACTGGGCTGGCCGGGCCATTTCCTGGGGAGAGAGGGGAAGTATGATCTTCTCTCTCTGTAGCCAGGTCTCAGAGAGGGAGAGGCTTTGGATTCTTGGGGGTCTCATTTCCCTGGTGGAGCCATGCCTAGGGTCTGGTGGTTCTAGACTCTCTGACTGGGAGGCCCAGGAACCAGCCCTCCTATGCGAGGGGGCCCAAATTACTTGGTAGGAATAGCACAGATATAGATAGGAGAAGCACCCTGGATTTGGAGCTGAAGCCGCTGGCTTCTGATTCCAGCCCATCTGCCTGTTTGCTCTGTGAATTCCAGCAGGCTAAGTCCCCCATGTACCACCTCTCCCCTATCCTCCATTTGCTTGTCAGCAAAATGGCAACAGCTTCGTTTGTCACATTGGAGATGTGATCCCACCTTGCCCTACCCTTCCTGCTGTTCACAGGGCAGGAAACTGAGCCCTGAGAGGGTGAGGCAAGTTCCAGATCACTCAGGAGCCTGCAGCAGAGCTCAGGGCTCCGGACTCCTTACCCAGTGCTCCTCACGGCAATAATCCCCAAACCATAAGCCTCCCAAGGTTATATGGACATAGACGACATGCTAGGCGGGAATGCACTTTGGAAAAGTGCACAAGGTGAGTAAGAGTGTGGGGCTAAGGTGTTTCCAATGGGCAAAGGGATGGGAGAGAAAAAGAGCAGTTTGCTTCTGTCCATTGGAAGCCGAGGACCTAAGGCAGCAGGAAGGGCAGAGGCCAGCAGGTGAAGAGCCCTGCTTAGCCACAGGTGACTGAGAGGCCAGCAGGGTGTCAGCCCTGCTGAAGAAAAGTGCTCTTTTCAGCTATAAAAATGAGGAAGTCAGGAAATGTGACATTAGGCAGGCCTTTAACTGATTGTGGGAGAACAGGGCTGCGGGAGGCATGCCAAAGAAACGACTGGCATTCACTACGCACACTATACCAAGCTGGGCCCTGGAAGTGGGTGGAGCTGGCCATGGCCTGGCTGTGGGTCTCTGGGCCTTGGTTTCCACAGAACCCAGAAGCAGCCTTTACTTCAAGATCATCACAGATAGCCCTGGGCATAGCTGTTACCAGGCATATTCCCAGTATGGTCTTTTCATTCTCTGAAAGCGTCAGTCAGGGCAACGACTGCAAAAGCCAAGGCTCTCACATCAGAGGCTGCGAAAGAGGAAGAAGGCTTCGGCCCAGGAGGAGTGTGCAGCTCAGAGCCCCCTCTGTGTGTGCGCTGCATCCTTCCTTCCCATTAGTCTGTCTACCTGACCCCTTAGCCTGCCTCTGGACATTTATTCCACATGCTGGGGCTTCCCTCATACCACAGGGACTCCATTCCCTCTAAATCCTCTGCATTGCCCAACTAGAAAGACAGCCCCCACCCCCCGTATGTCCTGGCACTGCCCCCAGAATCTCCCTTCTCTCAATTCTCTGGGGAGCCTTCAGGCCCAGAGCTGTTGTTCCGAGTGGGTAGTGAGCAGCTGACAAATTTCTGGGGGACCCCAGCGACACACCAGGTCAAGCCTAATTCATAGGGTGGACACTAATTCAGAGGCTGTGGCAAGGCACTAAGCATCACCAGGAGGGCTCACTAAACAGCGACTGCTAGGCCCGCCACGTGCTGGGCTTTCTGCCTGCGGTATTACCTGCATTTGCTCATGGGATGCAAAGTATATACTGTATTTTTCTGGAACACATTAGAATAGATTAAAAAACAAGCAATGCAGTGACATCAATCTATCATTTAAGAAAACGTGGCATAGTGATATAATGGAATACATAACCTGGGAGTTCGAGGCCGCAGTGAGCTGTGATCACCCCATGGCACTCCAGCCTGGGTGACAGAGTGAGACTCTGTCCCAAAAAACAAAAGCGAAACCAAAAACAGAGCAGTGTGTATATTGTATGCTACCTTTTGGGTTAAAAAAAAAAATTGGCTGGGGGTAGGGGGAGAATATACACATCTATTTAAAAGAATGCACAAGAGGCTAGGCACGGTGGCTCACATCTATAATCTCAGCTTGAGGCCAGGAGTTCGAGACCAGCCTGGCCAACATGGCAAAACCCTGTCTCTACTAAAAATACAAAAATTAGCTGGGCATGGTGGTGCGTGCCTGTAGTCCCAACTACTTGGGAGGCTGAGGGACAAGAATCACTTTATCTGGGAGATGAAGTGAGCCGAGATGGCGCCACTGCACTCCAGCCTGGGCGACAGAGCAGACTCTGTCTCAAAAAAAAAAAAAAACAAAAAACAAAAAACAAGAATGTACAAGAAAGGTAACATTCTAACCCCGGGGGGGCCTGGGTGACTGGGGACAGGGTGAAAGGGAGATTTCATTTTATAGCCTTTGGCACTTTTTTGAATTCTGAATGGTGTGAATGGAATCACCTATTCAAAATAATTTTTACAAGCCCTGTGATTTCATATTACTTAGAACAAAGCAATTTAAATAAAAACATTAAGTGGAAAATAATACAAATGATCCATGGATCTGGCAAAAATTATGTTGGTAGAGCATGAGTGAATGACACTGGCTATGTGAGGTAAGTGCTATTATCACAGGCCCTGTTTTACTGAGGTCTGCATCTGATGTTCCAGGGGTCTGGAGCCTCTGAAGTCATCCCTGGGGCCCCACTGAGCAGCTGCTCGACTGTAGCCTCTGTCAATGGGGGCTGCTGGAGGCCAAGGACATACCCCTCCGCTGGACCTTGTCATCAGCAGGTCGAGGTCAAACTCGACTTTAGAAAACCTGCCTACCCACTCCCTGGGTCATATCCACATCCACCCAGGCAGCTGCTGCACTAGGACTGACTAAAATACCAGTGACCCATGCTCTAGGTCTCATGCTAAGTAGAGCTGGGGCCCCGGATGAAACTGGACCCAGTCCTGACACCAAGGAAGGAGTTTCCAGTACAGTGGGGTGGGGGCAGTGGGGAGGCAGATGAAGATGAGAGGCTAGTGTGGTCTGGGCTTCAACAGGGGGCTGGTATGAGGCACTGTGAGAACCCTGGAGGGAAAGATTTCCAGTTTTGCCTGGGTACAAAAAAAGATGAGTTCCCAGGAGGTGACATTGGAGCTGGGCTGTGAAGGACACACAGAGAGTCTGCCAAGTGGGAAAGCAGTGGCAAGGCTACATTCCAGGTGGACAGAACAGTATGTGCAAGGAGAAGAAATGGGGACCAGTCAGATTAAGAAACAGCGTGCTCAGTGTGGCTCAGTGCTAGGTGTAGGGGGAGGGACATGGCCCCTGCTCCTCAGTAGGCACAAGACACTGCGACCAATCTCAGATTCATGCTGCCACTCTGCTGCGCCCACTATAGCCGGCTTGATCATTGCTGGGCTTGGAAGCAGACCCACGTTTAAATGCAGCAAGCTGCCTCCTTTCACCTTGGAGTTGGATACAAGGCAGCCCTGCTCTGGGCCTTGGTTTCCTCACCTAGAAAACGGGGATGAAAGTTCCTTCCTTAAAGGGTTGCTGTTACGTTTTCTATCAGTATCCATCATGAAGCCTGGCAGAATTCCCTCCACAAGTGTTTGCTGGATCGGTGAAGAATAGCAAGCTACCCTCGATCGGGCAGCCTCAGCACCATCTGCCCCCACCAGCCAGTGGCTAGAACTGGAACATGGCAATGAAGTCCATTCACTCAACGTGTATTTATTTATTCTGGTGTCAAGCTGATGAACAGTTGGTGATGACTTAGAGAAGGGTACTAGCCCCATAGAGCTTGTGATTTTCTTGTGGGAGCCTTTTTTACTGGTGGGGAGCAATGTACAGCCCAGAGTCTGGGATCCCCAGCAGCCCATCAGCACTCCCTGGGGATGAGACTACTTTCTAGAACATTCCATTCTCTTCCAGGCCTTTGCTCTTGCTATGTCCTCTGCAGTCTCTAGCTTATTACCCATCTGCCACTCAGTTTGGGAACTCCTTAAGAATAGAACCAGGGGCAGGACGCGGTGATCCCAGAACTTTGGGAGGCCAAGGTGGGCGGATCATTTGAGCTCAGGAGTTCAAGACCTGCCTGGGCAATATGGTGAAACCAGGTCTCTACTAAAATTACACACACACACACACAAAAAAAAAAAAAAAAAAAAAAAAACAGCTGGATATGGTGGCACACATCTGTATCACCTGAGCCTGGGAGGCAGAAGTTGCAGTGAGCCAAGATCATGCCACTTCACTCCAGCCTCGGCAACAGAGTGAGATAAAAAAAAGGAATGGAACCTGGGTCATACCGTGTCTGCAGCCAGAGTGACGAGAGTAGGGAACAGCACATGCTAATTGCCAAACAAAGAAACCTGCCACTTTTCAATTTGGCTTTTGGGCAAAGCTGGCTCTGTGAGTATCTGTTGTGCCAGACCAGTGTTCATCCTTAGCCATTTATCAAACCCCTGACGAGTGCTGGAACATCAGAGCTCTGAGAGGTAAATACAGCACCCCACAAAACCCTCCACTCCAAGCCCACAGGGCTGTCAAGGAAGGACCTCTGAAGTCAGGCAGACTGAGTTCAAATCCTGACTCTCCTAGGAGAGTCATGGCCTCCCAGCTTGGCCAGCAACTGGGCTCAGGGTCCAGCACAGAGAAGCATTTCTCATGTCCCCACCCCTCACCCTCCCTATCCCACCGCTGGGGGTCTCACGACCCACAAGAGCCCTCCCTCTCCCAGGAAGCCATGGATGAGGTGTTAAGATTCAGGACCTCTCCCCCAACGCTCGGATGCCAGATGGCCCTGGCCACATTGTATAACTTGCCAAACACTGTGGCCTTTTGACCCATGTCAGTGTGTCAGCATTGCGCTCCAGCCCCAGGGTTGGCCTGCAGCAGGTTCTCAATCTATATTGGCACAGGAAGGGCACGTGGCTACTGCTACTCAGAGGCAGGGTATTCCTGGCAAGAGGAGGGTCCCAGGGCTGGCAGACTCCAGATGTTGCTCCATCTTGTCCTCTTCCCACAGCATCCCACATGGGTTCCCCAGGTGCAGGGAAGCAGGGGACGCAGGGCTTTCCAACTGCTTAGTCCACGGCTCAAAGGAGTGGGGGAGGGGTTTACCTGAATCCATGACAGCTCCCTTTTAATTTGTTTTGTTGTGTTTCTTACTCATTTAAATGAACTTCTGGGCATTAAAAGAAAGAACCTCAAGGCTGGGCGCGGTGGCTTACACCTATAATCCCAGCACTCTGGTAGGCCGAGGCGGGCGGATTGGTTAAGGCCAGGAGTTCCAGACCAGCTTGGCCAACACAGCAAAACCCTGTCTCTACTAAAAATAGAAAAGTTGGAGCCGGGCACGGTGGCTCACCCCTGTAATCCCAGCACTTTGGGAGGCAAGGCGGGCAGATCACGAGGTCAGGAGATCGAGACCATCCTGGCTAACACGGTGAAACCCCGTTTCTACTAAAAATACAAAAAAAAAATTAGCCCGGCATGGTGGCGCATGCCTGTAGTCCCAGCTACTCGGGAGGCTGAGGCAGGAGAATGGCTTGAACCCAGGAGGCAGAGCTTGCAGTGAGCTGAGATCGCGCCACTGCACTCCAGCCTGGGCGACAGAGCAAGACTCTGTCTCAAAAAAAAAAAAAAAAAGTACAAAAATTAGTGGGGTGTGGTGGCACATGCCTATAATCCCAGCTACTTGGGAGGCTGAGGCAGGAGAATAGAATCACTTTAACCTGGGAGGCGGAGGTTGTAGTGAGCAGATATTGCACGACTGCATTCCAGTCTGGGCGACAGAGTGAGACACTCTCAAAAGAAAAAAAAATAAGACAGCTTTGGCTGCAATAAGAAAGAAAGAAGCTCAAGAAATTGCAGACTGCTGTAACATCGGCACTTGACAGGAGGCACCTGAGGTCAGAGGGCAGGTGCCCAGCCTAGCATACAAACAAAAGCCAGGGTTGGGACTAGAGTTGTTTGGTTTCCTAGCCTGGCATTCTACCCTCTGACCGGTTCCATCCTGCCAAGCCTTTTAAAAAAGAAGAGTGATGGACTAACAGTCCAAAACCTGACCTTAGGGTGACCTCAAGCATTAAGTGCTCCTGAAGCCACTTCCTTTAAGCCTTCCAATGATATCAAGACCCTTGCATGACTGAACCTCCAGACACCCCTGGTTGCCCTCGAGGCAGAAGGCACTCGCCAGTCTTCAAAGTAGAACTGAGAGGAGGGGGCTGGTGCATTTAGCAGCAGCAGCAGCAGCGAGCTGAGGCACCCTGCCAGAGGCTGCTCACACATTCTGATTAACCACCATGAACAAGCTTTTGGGGAGCGATTACTCCCTTTTCACAGATGAGAAATGAGAGAGAGGGAAAAGCGCAGAACCAGGGGACTCTAGGCTTCAGGGAAGTTTCCAATTGGGGGTCTCTGATGCCAAATTCTATGGCTTTCCTGCTTAGGTCCTCCCCCTTGTTTCCGGGTACTGGTCCCTGAAGGAAACAAGGTTTCTACCTGGTGCTTTCTATGTAGGTCAAATTCCATAAAAGCAACTCTCTGAGCCTTGCCCACTCTGAGCTGAGACAGCCCGGGCACAGGCTCAGAAACCTTTGGGCCACTTTGCTGCATTTGCTATAAGCCAAAGTTGGCAAACTATGGCAGCTAAGAATGAGTTTTACATTTTTAAGTAGCTGGGGAGAAAAAAAAGACAATGACTAATATTTTGTGATATGTAAGAATTATATTAAATTCACATTTCAGTGACCATGAATAAAGTTTTATTGGAACACAGCCACACTCATTTGTCTACAGCTGCTTTTGTACTGCAACAGCAAAGCTGAGTGGCAGGCCGAGAACTACATGTCCAACAAAGCTGACAATATTTACGCTCTATCTGGCCCTTTAGAAAAAAGTTGATCGGCCTCTGCTTTAAGCCCCACGTCCCCTGAGCTAGCTGCCCAGCATTCTCAAAGCCTTCCAGGCAAAACCACATCCTCCCTAAATAACCGAAAAGGTATGCATCCTATTATGGAATGTTAAATGTAAATGGCTCCTTGGCCATGTGTGGGTGTGGGGCCAGGATCTGGACCCTGGGGAAACTGACACCCCTGAGAAGATACACATTTGGTGGTGAGATGGGCAATAATTCAACTAAGAGAACATTAATTTGGTAAGATTGGGCACATGCAAAGTTCACTGTCACTCTCAGCAGACACATTTAAGTCCCAGCTCCTCCACTTGTGTGACCTTAAAAAAGTCCTTTCCTGGCTGGGCATGGTGGCTCACGCCTGTAATTCCAGCACTTTGGGAGGCTGAGGTGGGCGGATCACCTGAGGTCAGGAGTTCAAGACCAGCCTGACCAACATGGTGAAACCCCGTCTCTACTAAAAATACGAAAAATTAGCTGGGCGTGGGGGGCGCGCGCCTGTAATCCCAACTACTCGGGAGGCTGAGGCAGGAGAATCACTTGAACCCGGGAGGCAGAGGTTGCAGTGAGCCGAGATCGCGCCATTGCACTCCAGCTTGGGCAACAAGAGTGAAACTCCGTCTCAAAAAAAAGTCTCTTCCTCTAAGCTTCAGTTAATTCTCCATAAGAGAGGATCTTCTATGAATAAATGATATTGCTAAGGAAAGATTATGCCTGAATGCATGCTCCCAACACTCTTCTAGTCAATGGAAATTCAGCGATAAAACTATACCAAATCCCTGCCTATGGAACTTGATAGGTTAGTTGAAGGCTGGGGCAGAAAATAAATACATGTAATACATCAGGTGGTGAGTGGTATGAAGAAGGTGATGGGGCTGCTATTTCTTAATCATGGTGGGACATGCCTGTAATGAAGTATTATGCAGCTATTGGAAAGAATGAAACACATCTGTGTTTCACATAACATGTATGTGTTATGAAGAGTACCAGGGTAGATTGTTCAGGGGGGAAAAAAAGCAATAGGATGTACATATTGTGTAAGGAACAGGGAGTTAGTGAACTTGTATAGTGGCACTTGGTTGTATGTGCAGAGAGAAACACTGCCAGTATTTACCTCTAAGGGTTGGTTTGGTGAACAGAATGGGTTGCAAAGAACTATGCAGAAAGTGGGATCCAACTACACAAATATTCTATTTATAGGCATGTATCTACACATGCACAAAGAGAAGTCTTTAGGGTAAACACCAAACTGTCAAAACTAGAAGACACTCTTTCATTTATTATGCTTCTCTGTAGTTGGCTCTGTAACTTCTGAAGCTTTTTTTTAATCCAATTTTTTTTCCAGTCACATCTAAGAACTTTATTGGACACAGCTTGGATGCCAGGACCTGGTAGGCCCCACACACTGCCTGCTAGGCCCTGGACTGTCCAGGGCTGGAGTGAGGGTAGTTCATGCAAGGAAGTGTCAGACCACATGGTAACCCCACAATGCAACACTGTGGTTAGAGACTTTATATAGCTGGGAGATGGAGGGCTGCCCCACAGATGTATGAACAGGTCCAATCTTCCATAAATAAACCTACAGAAGAGAGAAAATTACACTGGAATTCATCCTTAGACGCAGAGTACCCTAGATGGGAGGGGGCATCCTCACTGGTCAGGGGGCCAGGATGGGTGATGAGGGGGCCCAGATATCCACAGCATGGGGCAGGCAGGGGCAAGGATGGGGTCAACAGATGATGGGCATTTGCACTAGGACACTGCATTCACAAGACCAACTACTGAAGGGATATGTGTCTCAGGCTGTTCATTCTGGAATAAGCAGGGGTGATCTTTATATCACATTCTGTGGCTGGTGGGCTCAAAGGCTACTTTGTGGAGAGAATGAGACCATGCAGTGAAAATGAGGATCAGGATCAAGCCCACAAATAGCCCGGGCTTCTAGGCAGCACTGTGTCCCCCACAGTGCTGATGACATAGCTGGCTGCCGGGCCACTCAGGCCCACACTCAGCCTAGCGCTTGGCTGGAGGAGATTCCCGTAGAGGCTGATGCAGTCGATCAGCGAGTTGGGGATAAGGACTTCCATCACCAGGTTGTAGATGGTGATGATGCCAGCCATGACCGCTGGGACACTGGACTTCAGGATCAGCTCCAGCCGCATAAGGGCCAGGGCCACGAGGCAGTGCTGCTCTAGGCTGTGCCACAGACAGCACACAGGGCTGTGGGATGGAGGCAAGGCGAGCCCAGAGCAGAATCTGTTTACCTGGGGCCAGAACCCTCTGGGAATAGCTTCTGCACAGCTGTGAGGGCCACACCCAAGTTATCACACGCAGCAGGGAGCTGAAGGCAGCCCCCACCTAGGGGCAGGAAGTCCTCAAGAAGAACTGCCACAGCTGGGTGATCAAGGAGCCCAGTGTAGCTGTTTGTTTCTTTCCTTGAACTGGGCCCTCCAGCCCAAGAGAGTCCACCTCTTCCTCCAGCAGAGGTGCTTATGGCTAGCTGGCCTGTCTGGGCTCCCACTGTGCTATGAAACCCAATCTGTGCTGCTCAGCACTCCCCAAGCCTGCTGCACAGACCACATGCTCCCCTGGAGCCTCAGTGCCGCTGACCCAGACAGCTAGCTCTCATCCCCAGTACAGCTGAGGACACAAGCTCCAACAAGAAGTGTGGCTGGCCTAAGGTCCAATGGTAGAGCTGTTTCTGATGGAGCCGTTTCCTCCCCACTCCCAAATGCCAGGGCAGGGGGAGATAAACTGGGCTAGGAGACATAGGCAGACTTCCTGTCCAGCAGAGGCCTCAGTAGCCAAAGGCTCCATCAGCTGAGGCCTGGCAAGAGCTCTCTCCCATTCCAGGGTGCAGAAGCCTCAGGGAGGCAAGTCAGTGTGGTCACAAAGAGAGGAGATGCTGTCTTCTTTCTGCCCAGGTTCAAGGCCTGGGAGCCCTGCTCAGTTACTGCAAAACCCTAATGTTTATGCATCAGCTACTGCCAGGCCTGGTGGCTGGAAGACAGAGCCTCAGGCTCCAGTCCACCCCTCCCGTGGAGAGAGGTAACAATTGGAGGCTTGTTAGGGTAGCCAGGGCTGGGCCTGCAGGCCTGGACACAGCCTCTCTGAGCCCATGAATCTGGTCAGGAGGCCTCCCAGCCTCCGCCATCATGGGGACGTCGGTTACCAGACTGCAGACTGAGTGAGCGGCTTTATCACCTTTATGCCCAGGAGTGAGGTGGGGGAAGGGGTGAGGTTGCAGGCCCCAAGCCAACACTGCACACTTTCCTCTTTGTTCCAGGCCTCCCCAGCTTTGCCAGTCTTGGGGAAGCAGGGAGCTGGATGGCTGTACCCTTGGTACTTGAGCAGAGCTCTGGGCCGACACCCCGTGACCAGGAGGCACTGGGCAAAGCTGAGCTCCTTGAAGTCACAAGCTGATTACGGGGGATTTGAGGCTGGCCCAGCTCCGGGGCAAATAGGGTCGAATCCCTGGATGGCTCGGTACTAGACAAGGATCATCTTGGGGCTGTTTACATCATTTGTACACCCAGACTGGCCTTACAAAGGGTCTTTCCACTTAAAATAGCCACTTCTCTAATTTAGGGCACGGGGCCAGTCTCACCACATCCACTGGGGGTAGCCAAGTCTCTATTTACTGAGAAGGAAACCAAGGCTCCAAGGAAAGCCACTTCTTCAAGGTCAGAGTTTAGTGGGAACATCTAGTGTTTTGTTTCCATTCACAGTAGAGTTTCAGTTGTCAAGTTACGTCTAATCCAACTTTCAGGCTCCTATGGCATGGCAAGTCCTGTGTCTGGGGATTCCTGCTCATTTGGGGTGGGTGGAGGATGGCACAGACAGGCATGTGGAGAAGAAAGCATCTTTAAAAAAAAAACACAGCTAGGCCAGGCGCGGTGGCTCACACCTGTAATCCCAGCACTTTGGGAGGCCGAGGTGGGCGGATCACCTGAGGTCTGGAGTTCGAGACCAGCTTGACCAACATGAAGAAACCCCATCTCTACTAAAAAAAAATACAAAAAAATTAGCCGGGCATGGTGGCACATGCCTGTAATCCCAGCTACTCGGGAGGCTGAGGCAGGAGAACCACTAGAACCTGGGAGGCGAAGGTTGTGGTGAGCTGAGATTGTGTCATGGCACTCCAGCCTGGGCAACAAGAGCGAAACTCCGTCTCAAAAATCAAAACAAAACACAGCTCCATAGAACGCCTCAAATCTTTTGTGATAGCCTTATCTCGGACAAATCTCTTCCCTTCTCTGGACTCAATTTCCCCATTTGTCAAATGGAGGGCTGGGCCATGGCTGGAAGGCCCCTCCTGCTCTGGGTTCCTTCCACCCTCTAATGTCATCCTGGAAAGGCTGGCAGCATGTCTTGGGGTGGGAGGCTCAGTGTGTGATCTTGGCAAAGTCATTTTTTATTGGACCATGAGGTCACTGTAACTTGTATCACAGGGCAGTTGTGAGGACCCTTGGAGTTAATGGACATGAATGTCCCTTTCAAACTATCCCAAGGGTGACCCAAATTCAGAAAGGTAGGCAGGAAGCCTAAGGCAAAAAAGCAAAGCAAAGAAGCCCAAAGCAGCGCAGGGCACTCACATGAGCTGACCCTCCCTGGCCTGGCACTCTCACCCATGTGCCATGCCTACTCACTTCCCAACAAGCCCCTACTAGGAAGAATGGGTTAGTGGGAGCTTTAATGATTTACCTGACTTAATACCCATGGGCCAGCATCCTGACTCCCCAAAAGCTCATACTGCCAGAATGCCAGCTTTTGGATAAAGGCCAAGGCCCAGGTACAAGTCACCCACAGCCCAGGTAAGGCATCATGGGAGTCCAAGGAAGCAAGAAATATTTATGGAGCATCTATGGGGACAGAGACGTACATTCTTTTCTGAATTCCTAGACACTGTAATGATGAAAACTGGGCAACTAAGCTAAGCTGGGATTCAAAACCACATATGCAAACATCTATGTTTGGCCGGGTGCGGTAGCTCACGCCTGTAATCCCAACACTTTGGGAGGCTGAAGTGGGCGGATCACCTGAGCTCAAGAGTTCGAGACCAGCCTGGGCAACATGGCGAAACCCTGTCTCTACCAAAAATACAAAAATTTAGCTGGGCACGGTGACGCATGTCTGTGGTTCCAGCTACTCAAGAGGCTGAGGTGACAGAATCGCTTGAGCCTGGGAGGTAGAGGTTGCAGTAAGCCAAGATACTTGCCTGGGTGACAGAGTGAGACCTCGTCTCAAAAAAAGACAAAAAACAAAAAACTATGCTGTCTGCACCACAAAGGGGCTGAGAAAGCCTGCAGATTTCTGATTTTTCCTTTTCTGGAAGGTAGAGACTGGCCAGAAAAGTGATGAGTGATGGGCATAGGCAAGGCTAGTTACAAGTTCTTCACGAAGGGTGGGGTGAGACATCTGGGGCAGGGCTCACCCTTGCGTGCTGCCCAGGAGAGATCGTGGGCGAACCCCTGGCTTGTAGGCAAGGTGATTCCATCTGTCCCCTACTTCCTATTCAGCTAAGCTCATTACTGTGAGTTACAGAGGAGCACAATGGAACACGGGGAAGTTAGTTAAGTCAGTTCCCATTTCCTAGGAGACAAAGAGGAACATAGCAGAACCAAGGCTTTGGAGCCAGACACACCTGGTTTTCAGATCTTGTGTGAAAGGCAAGCGATATGACCTCCCCAGGCCTCTAACATCATGCACAAAAAGGCTGTGCTTGCAGGTCAAATCAGCAGTCTCCAAAGGGAAGGGCTTTATTCCAGAATGTATATGGAATGATCTACACAAGATTTGGAGGGGAAAATGACTATAACTGCTGTCTTGTATCTATCTGTCTTTTGAAATTTCTATTTTATGAAGGCATATCATCTGTTAGTATCAAACTGCATGTGCATGAATTTAAAAATACAGCCGGGCGTGGTGGCTCACGCCTGTAATCCCAGGCCTGTAATCCCAGCACTTTGGGAGGCCGAGGCGGGCAGATCATCTGAGGTCGGGAGTTCGAGACCAGCCTGACCAACATGGAGAAACCCCGTCTCTACTAAAACTACAAAAAAAAAAAAAAAAAAAAAAAAAACATTAGCTGGGTGTGGTGGCACATGCCTGTAATTCCAGCTACTCGGGAGGCTGAGGCAGAAGAAACGCTTGAACCCGGGAGGCAGAGGTTGCAGGGAGTTGAGATCGCGCCATTGCACTCCAGCCTGGGCAACAAAAGCGAAACTCCGTCTCAAAAAATAAATAAATAAAAATAAAAAAATAAAAATACAGATACACCACTGTGAAAGAGGTGTTCCAACATTAATTACTGACGAGGTAGACAGTGGAAAACTTGGAGAACACTCCATGAAGAGCACCCACCTGCTACACTATTTAGAACCAGCTGGCACAAGGGGCCACCTTTGAAGATAGGCAAACTCTCTCCCTTCTGCCCAAAATTCAAGAAATGTTGTGGTGAAGAGAGACAGTGGAGACAGAAATGAAATTAAATCTGATGGGCCTGGGTTCAAATCCAGTTCAACCACTTACTAGCTGTGTGACTTTGGCAAACTTATTTCCCTTCTCTGAGCTCCAGGCTAGTGAGTAACCAGCAGGGCTATAAGGTCCGTGACGCTTAAAGTAGTTTGGCTAAGAACCTGCTGATTTTCTCCTCCACTTTTCTGTCTCCACGTAGTATTCCCTTATCCACTCAACAAATAAATACCCATGTCTGGCATAGTATGCTGAATAGATAGTTCCTTCCCTAGAGGAAGTGACAAAAGTGATCTCTTTCAGATGGAAAAACTGAGGCCCAGAAGTTAAGTGGCCTGCAAGAGCCCTGAGATATTTGGACTTCCTTGCCACTAGCTAGAAGAGCTTCTCACTGAACTTTTGTTTAGTTATATCCCACCCTTACGGCTCACCTAAGATCCTGGGAGCCTTCCCCGGGAACTTCCCCGGGGTCTCACCTCAAGCGAGGGCCCAGGAAGGGTGAACCAAGTCGTCTGGATTTATGGATTCAACAGGTGTGGGGCGGAAGGCCTTTTCCTGCCGAGGGTGCGGCCCAGCGCCACCCCGCTCAGTCTCAGCGGGACACCTCCACAGCCAGTAGGAAGGGCAGTTCAAAATTCAGTGCTACCCCCGCGTCCCAGCTAAGAAAACAAGGGCCATCCAGGTGCCCTCCCAGCTGACGAGATGGAAAAATCAAAGTATAATAGATAAAGAGGGACCGTTTCAAAAGAAAAAGGGGACTTGAAAATATTGTAGACTAGGGGGAGGAAAGGAGGTGGAAAGAAACAATGCCCTACACACAGGAGGGGCTCCACAAACAATTTGTTGAAAAGAAATCGCTCTGCGGACGCTACAAAGATGCCCTGCAGGACAAGCCCACTTACACAGAAAAAAAGAAATCCTATCTAGGGAGTTGTTGGTCCCCAGAGTCCCCATCCCTCATTCCCCAACCCCGTGGCGTGCGCGCTTCCCGCTAGACTTCAGCCTGGGGCTCTTTCCTGGCCCCCAGATCCCCCGCCCCTCCGGTTGCGCTCCCCGCCTGGCCCCGAGGGTAAACCTGCCTCCGCGGAACACATCTCCGCGAGACTGGGCCAAAGCTTTGGGGCCTGCACTCCTCGCAAAGGAGAGCCTCCGAGACCGGAGGTTCATCTCAACCCCCGCGTTCGAGCCCGGGCCTGGAGAAAAGTGCCCTCCCCTCGGCCTCGGCCTCGTCACCGCGGGGGACTGGCGGGAGGAGTAGGGGAGGCCGGTGGGACACCTCGCACCAGGCCGCCCACCTACAGGGGCGTCCGGGCTAGGGGAGCAGACGGAGAGCGGGGGCGGCTCCTGACTCCTCCGCGCGCCGGGGCCGGGGCCGGGCCGGGGGCTCGGCCCGCTCAGCCAATGGGCGCCGCGCTCGGGCCCCCTCCCCCGCACCGGGAGGGGCCGAGGCTGGGCTGCTGCTGCCGAGGTCGTGTGCGACGTGCCGCTCCCGGGCCCTGTGTCCCCAGCCCCAGCAGGGCCGCGTGGACGGCGCGGCGCCCCCGGAAGGAGGCCATGTGCTCAGTGCCGGCGCCAACTACGCACGCGGCGCCCTCCGGCCCGCTAGATCCGAAGCCCATCCCCACTGCGGCCAGCGGCCCGGCGGGGCGCTGCGCTCGGGACCCGCACCGAGCCAGGCTCGGAGAGGCGCGCGGCCCGCCCCGGGCGCACAGCGCAGCGGGGCGGCGGGGGAGGCCCTGGCCGGCGTAAGGCGGGCAGGAGTCTGCGCCTTTGTTCCTGGCGGGAGGGCCCGCGGGCGCGCGACTCACCTTGCTGCTGGGCTCCATGGCAGCGCTGCGCTGGTGGCTCTGGCTGCGCCGGGTACGCGGGTGGCGACGGGCGTGCGAGCGGCGCTCTCCCGCTCAGGCTCGTGCTCCGGTCCGGGGACTCCCACTGCGACTCTGACTCCGACCCCCGTCGTTTGGTCTCCTGCTCCCTGGCGTGCTCACTCGGGGACCCGCGACTAGCGACCGGCACGCTCGCTGTTGCTACCTCTTGCCTCTTGCCAGAGAGCGCGCGGACCGTAGCGTTTATAGGACCCCGGCCATTGGCTGGCGACGCCGGTGTGTCAGGGGTGTGTGGGCAGGACCTCGGGGCGGGGCCTGGGGCCCAGCCTGTCCTGGGCGGCGCTCTGCGGGGAGGGGGTGAGGGGAGTGGCCGGGGCCGGGGCCCCCCCTAACCACTGCCTCGCTCAGGCTGCCGATCGGCTCGTTCTCTCTGCGTTGGGACCGCGGAGGGCATTCGCTGTGTGACTCAGGGCAAGTGTGCGCACCTCTCTGAGCCTCCGCGGCCTTCTCTAGCAAAATGGTGGAGCCGGTACCCGGCTGTAAGGCAAGCTGGGATGCGCGGAGTAGCGGGTGGAAAGCTGGACTGGAGTTCTCACTCGGCCGCTGGGTGACTTCGGTGCACTAGGGATAGTAACAGTACCACCTCGTAGGGTTGTAGAAAGACCAAGTGAGTTAATATTTGTAAAGTGTTTAGAACAGCGTCTACTGCATGGAAAGTAGTATTTATTTGTTAGAGAGACTCCAGGAGGTCTTGCCCAGGGATTGACTTCTCCCTTCCCTGTCTCCACCCCCCACATTCCCGTTTGTGAGCCAAGCCTTGCTTTTGCACCGGCCGGGCTCTCTTGCCTGGAAATGCATACCCATCTCAAACCTGGGCTTTAAAATCACCTCCTCTGGGACGCCTTCCTCTACTTCTCACAGTTCAGGTGAGTCTATGGTGACCTGTAAGTGTGGAAAATATGAAAGGCAGGCTAACTGACTGACATGATAGGACATTAAGGACATGATAGACCTCGGGTTTGAACCAGCTCAACTGTATACTGGCCCGGCCGCGATCCTGGGCGAGTTCCTGGCCAGTGAGGCTGTTTTCGTTTTTTTCTTTAATTTTTTTTTTTCTCAGACAGAGTCTCGCTCTGTCGCCCAGGCTGGAGTGCAGCGGCACGATCTCGGCTCACTGTAACCTCCGCCTCCCGGATTCAAGCAGTTCTCTGCCTCAGCCTCCCGAGTAGCTGGGATTACAGGCGCCCGCTATCACCCCTGGCTAATTATTTTTATTTTTAGTAGAGACGGGGTTTCACCATTTTGGCCAGGCTGGTCTTGAACTCTTGACCTCGTGATCCACCCACCTCGCCTCCCAAAGTACTGGGATTACAGGCGTGAGCCACTGAGCCCGGCCGAGGCTGTCTTCTTATGAGTAAATGGAATTCCCACACCAATCTCATTGCTATCAGGAGAGGTGCAATTTCCAGATAAGCTCATGAAGTGTTTAGCATGGAAGTTCTCATTTACTGGTTGGTGGTATTGTTGGTTTATTTATTTAGTCTGTTAGTAAATAAATAAATGCTGGTCTCAAACTCCTGGGCTCAAGTGATCCTCCCACCTTAGCCTCCGTAGTAGCTGGGAGTGCAGGCATGTGCCACTGCACTGGTAGTGGTATTGCTATCATCTGACTTCACCTTATTTCCTCTAGACCAGTGCCTTACTTGAGACACAGTGAAGGGAAGGACCCCCAGTCCAAAGGTCTGATCAAAGTCTTGAGGGTCCCTTTCCCGATGGAGGGAGTCATGGTGGGCTTACTGTCTGTCGGAAACCGGGAGGCTGAGCCGACCAGATGACCCCTGGAGTTCTCTGGCAATGTGTCCAGTTCTGGCTGAGGGGCACCTTGGTTGAGTATGGAGCCCTGAAACAGAAGGCAGGTGCATTCTGGGCACCCCCCTGCCCAAGGCTTCAATTCCTGTGGTCTCTCTATGCTCAGCCTGGAAAGCTTGGGCCACCTCTCTCCTCACCCCTGGACAGACCAAGTCCTGCTGACTCCGCTGTCTACACCACCTCATCCTCCTTCCCTCCCCTGCTGTCTGCAGGGCCTCCATCTCCTCTGGTCTTTTGTCCTCCAGTCCTGCACCCTGCCACTCTCCTGCTCATCTGTCTGAAATTGTCATGGAGGGAGTAAGGGCCAAGCCTGGCCATCACGGTCCTTCTTCATGGCACCAGTTTACACGCTCAGCCTCGCCCCTCACACCAGCAACTCACATCCACACATTTGCTCAGCTTGTCTCCTCTGCCTGGGAAGCCCTCCCCGACCTCACCATGCCAAAAAGCACCATGGGTCCTTCCTCCTCCGGGAAGTGTCCCTGGTTCTCCCAAGTGGAAATCTTTCTCTCCTTTACCATTTGGTGTTTTGTAGGTTGCCACTTGTCCTCTGTCTGCCTTCCCTCAGCCTGTGAGCACCTTGAGGACAGGTTCTGCAGCTGAGGCACGTGGGTGAATGACTGAAGGAGGGAAGGAATGCACGAATGAGTGAGCAGCTAATCTACCTGTGTTGAATGTTCCTTCCCCTCCAGTCCGTCCTGCTGATACTTCCAGTCTTTCCTTAAGTACCTTTTGGGTTTTGCTACTTCCCTCCTCAAAGTCTCTCCACAGCTCCTTGTTTCTTAGCACATCCAGTCTATGCCTTTTCCCAGTTGCGGGTCTGCCTTACTCAGCCCATGGGTCACACTCACCAAACAGCCACCTTGTCCTTCTCTGGGCCAGCCCCATGCTGGCCACTTTCCCAGGGACAGAGACATGTGACCCCATTGTTAGCCTCATGGAGGCCCCAAGCTGGAGGAGGAGCAAGAGGGGAAATGAGCAGCAACAATACCAAGTCAAGCGTAGAGGGTTAAGAATCTGTACAGGTGCAGAACTTGTACCACAGGGGAAGGAGAGTGAGTAGAGAGAGCATCTGGGAAGGGGGAGGTCATGCTAAGCAGGGTTTGGAAGACTGAATAGGAGTTCACCAGATGGATTGAGGGAAGGCCATTCTCAGCAGAGAGAAGAGCATGTGCAAAGGCAGCAGACTGCCAGAATGATTACCTAGGGAACGTGAGAATCTCTGGGCCACTCTTAGAGATTCATGATGGAGCCCCAGATCCGGACTCTTTGAGTCCCAGCTCTGCTATTTACTTGCAAACATTCATGGGCAAACAATGCCTTCTCTTCTCTGAGCCTGAAGACCCACATCTGTAAAATAGATATAACAAACCCTTCCTGGGTAGGCCTGAGGGAAAGTGGATGTTTATAAAGGCTTAGCTATGTAAACTGTACTCATTCTTGACGTGAGAAGTTCAGTCAAATCCCCATCCCATGGTAGGGCGGTGCTTGAGGAAAAAGCACAGTGGCCAAAAAAAAGCTTTTCCTTCACCCACCCCACCCCACCTGCCCACACACAGACCCCCATTACCTTCTCTGTGTTCCTCTCTGTGAATGTTTTATGACCCCTGGAGGCTACTGGTCAGAAGCAAATTCATCAGAAGCTATTGACGCTGCATCACAGACTAGATTCTCAGGTGGACTGGTTTGTTATTTGGGTGGCTGATTCCTTGGAAGCAGAATTTAACTCCAACTAGGGAATGAGCCCTAGAGAAGGCCCCAGGAAATAGCACATGAGCAGAGAAGGTTTGGGTGCAAGGGGAAAGGGGAGCAGGAGGGGCACCTAAGTAGCCCCTGTGGCTGGGGCATGGGGGCTTAGGGAGGAGAAGAGACTGAAGAAGTGGAATCACAGAGGCTCCCAAATGCCAGGTATAGGAGTTAGGGCTTTATGCAGTGGGTAGTGGCGAGCCATGGAGAGTTATTGAGCAGGGAAAGGACCTGAG
This sequence comes from Homo sapiens, assembly GCF_000001405.40. Classification (NCBI taxonomy): domain Eukaryota; kingdom Metazoa; phylum Chordata; class Mammalia; order Primates; family Hominidae; genus Homo; species Homo sapiens. The sequence continues at coordinate 42,962,503 of NC_000001.11, forward strand.
GAAACCTCAGTGTCCCCACAAGCCTACTCTACCTGAGGCACTAAAGGGGGTGTGAGGAGGCTGTGGAACCCCAGCATTCAGCTTGAACGACCTAGTGCCCCTTCCCTAGTCTGCGCCCACACTGACAGCTTTATTCCCTGGAGGCTGCCTTTAGTCCTGGACGGAACTCGGCCTCTTCTGGGTCCGATTCTAAGCAGTTCCAGCCCCAGCTAGTCTGGAGGAAAAGAGCTCTCTGGGACTGGCTAGCAGGGAGGTGTCAGGTGCCAGGCGGATGCTGGAGCCTAGTGTGTGCCTCAGAGCACGCAAGTGGGTGGGGGAGGGGTGGTGGTGGTGATGGTGGTGGTGGCAGGGCCGTGCAGGGCGGGTCCTAGCAGCTCCAGAGTTAGGAGTGAGTAAGGCGGGCTGGGAAAAGACTCTGTTGCCTTTAAAGGCAAGCGTCCCTGGCAGCCAGGAGGAAAGGTTTTGCTGAGTCAGCTACAATTGGTACAAGAGGGGATAGCAGGGGCTGGGACGGAAGCCCCCCTAATCCAAAGGGTGTTTTGCAATTCAAATCCTCCTGGATTGCAGGTAAACACAGTGATGGATTCCAGGAAGGTCTGATGGGCCAGGCAGGACAGTTTTGTGTGTTTAATGTTTTCATTCTGATTTGCACATCTGCTTGAACCACCTGCTTTCAGAAAGCTTTTCGGCATCCCTTCTTTATCTTCTGTATGCCCTCCGACCCTCTGCAAATGCACTTATCAGGGCTACCACCTGCTCGCTGATGCTGGGGGAATTGAAGGCACATACTCCCCTCCCTTCTCTCCTGACTACCAGGCTTTTCTGTCCAGCTGCCTCCAGGATGTCCCTCTGGATGTCCCACAGGTCCCTCACACTCACCATGCTCAAACCTGAACTCATTATCTTTGCCCATCCCTTCCTGTCCCCACCCTAGAAATGGCTCCTCTAGCCACCAAATTGCCCTAGCCAGAGATCTGGTATCTTCCCTGACCCCTCTCTGTCTCCCTCATTCCCCATATCCAGTCAATCCCGTGGACTTTGCCTGCCCATCCCGTGGACTCTGCCTGCCCTCTCCATGCAGACAGTCCCTCCTCCAGCATAGGCTAGGACCACTATTCATTCATCCTCCTCCCTGCCACCACACTGGTCTCTTTAAAATGCACAGCTGACCACATCACTGCTTTGTTCAAACATCTTTCCATGGCACGCAATAATGTGGCTGAATCTCACAGACATATTGAGTGATAGCAGCTGTGCGAAAGAGTGTGATGTCATGTGTATAAAGTTTAAAAACAGGCAAAACTTATCTCCGGGGTAACAGTAGTTACCCTTGGAAGGGAGGGTCGCGACTCTGGGGGCGGGTGCTGGTAATCAGGGTGAGGCAGGTGGAGACCAGATCAGCAGTACTGATGTTTTTTCCTTTTGCCTCGAGCTTTAATATGACTCAGCACAGCATGTTACTAATCCTGTTTTTATTTAAAATTTTGATATTTTGTCATCATGGATTTTTTGCATTAATTCTGGTTTTTCAAAAATACTGCATTAAAAATATTATTTATCCTGATGACAGAGTCCGCCGCCCCCCTCTACCCCCCTCCACCCCTGCTTAAATTTTACAGGGGAGGTGAGTGCCTTTCTTGTGACACCCTGTTTCTGACCGTGTTGGTAATGTTGTTTCCTCATCAGGGTGCTGGTTGCGGGTGTGTTTAGTTTGTGAAAATGCATTGAGGTGTGTACATTTCTGATTTTCGTACTCTTCTGAATGCATATTTTGCTTCAATTAACCAAATTGAATTTTTTTTTTTTTTTTTTTTTACTTAAAATATTTCTGTAATTCCAAGGGAGTGTCTCCATCTGCTTCTTCCAGTGTCCCCAGCACCAAAAACAGCACCTGCCTCACACTGGGTCTCCTACATTTTTGTTGAATGAAGGAATACAACATTTCAGTTAATTTAATTCCAACAGCAACTCTATGAAATAAGTATTTCTCTATTTTCTTTTTTTTTTCTTTTTTTGAGATGGAGTCTCACTGTTGCCAGGCTGGAGTGCAGTGGCGCAATCTCGGCTCGCTGTAACCTCCGACTTCCGGGTTCAATAGATTCTTCTGCCCCAGCCTCCCAAGTAGCTGGGATTACAGGTGCGCACCACCACGCCCAGCTAATTTTTGTATTTTTAGTAGAAACGGGGTTTCATGATGTTGGCCAGGGTGGTCTCGATCTCTTGACCTCGTGATCCGCCCGCCTTGGCCTTCCAAAGTGCTGGGATTATAGGCGTGAGCCACTGCGCCTGGCCTTTTTCTCTCTGTTTTCTAAAGGAGAAAACTGAGGCTCAGGGAAGTAATTTGCCCAAAATCACACAGGTAGTGTGAGTTCCAGCACCTGGATTGAAAAAATAAATGGAGTCAGGTGTGGTGGTGCGTGCCTATAGTCCCAGCTACTAAAGAGGCTGAGGCAGGAGGATTGCTTGAGCTCAAAAGTTCAAGTCCAGCCTGGGCAACATGGTGAGACCCCATCTCTAAAAATAAATAAATAGGCCAGGCGCAGTGGCTCACACCTGTAATCCCAGCACTTTGGGAGGCCAAGGCAGGGGGATCATGAGGTCAGGCATTCGAGACCAGCCTGACCAACATGATGAAACCCCATCTTTCCTAAAAATACAAAAATTAGCCAGGCGTGGTGGTGTGCACCTGTAATCCCAGCTACTTGGGAGGCTGAGGCAGAACAACCTATTGAACCCAGGAGACGGAGGTTGCAGTGAGTTGAGATTGCACCACTGTACTCCAGCCTGGGCAACAGAGCAAGACTCCGTCTCAAAAAAAATTTTTTTTTAATAAAAATAAAAAATAATAATAAATGGATGACTTGACTCTAGAGAAACTTGTTTTAAATCAAATGCTGCCAGATTCTCTGCCTTTAAAGAAAGCAATAAAAACAACAAAAACTCCAACTGGCACTGCCTGCTCTGATCCAGCAACAGTACAAGCAGTTTGCTTTGCCTGGCTCTTATCGCTTAGATTACAATTATTTGAGCCTTATCTTCCTCTGAGATAATGACCTCCTCTAGGGCTGGGGCTCAGGTATTCCTGTCTTGCCTCTGTCCAGCAAGTTATTTGGCACAAGAAAGAAGCTATAAATGTTTAATAAATGAATTAATCAAAGAATGAATGAAGGAGGAGGCTGACAGTGGTATTTGGTGGGTGGACCACAGGTTTTGGAAACAGACCTGCTAGCTATGTGTCTTTGGGCATGTTACCTCACCTGAATCTCAGTTTCCCCAACTGTAAGATGGGGATAATAGCAGTACTCACCTCTAAGAATTATTGTGAATATGAAGTAAGGAAACGTGTATCAGGTGACTATCCTACAGTAAATACTTGAAACGTGGTAACTATTATTATTTCCATTTTTTTACATTCTCAAAGCCTGATTTTCTTCAGGGTTGCAGGGGTCTTCCCCTCTCAATTTCCACGTATTGTTTTCTGGAGGTCTGTGAGGTTGGAAGAAGAGGACCTGATGATGCCTCCCCGAGGAGCTTTTCTTCCCCGTGGGGTGGGCAGAACTCTGGAACGTTCCAAAAGTCTGGCTTCATGGCCCAGCTCCACCTTGTGATTGGCGAGTTCCTTATTACCAGTGAGCCTCAGTTTTCTCTCTGTAAAATAAGGCCCATAATAATCTTTTTTTTTTTTTTGAGACGGAGTCTCACTCTTTTTGCCCAGGCTGGAGTGCACTGGCACAATCTCGGCTCACTAAAACCTCTGTCTCCCGGGTTCAAGCGATTCTCCTGCCTCAGCCTCCTGAGTAGCTGTGATTACAGGCGCCCACCACCACGTCCACCTAATTTTTTTGTATTTTTAGTAGAGACAGGGTTTTACCATGTTTGGCCAGGCTGGTCTTGAACTCCTGACCTCAAGTGATCCACCCGCCTCGGTCTCCCAAAGTGCTGGGATTACAGGTGTGAGCCACCGCGCCCGGCCCTCTTTTTTTTTTTTAAGACCCAGAATGATGTTGACCTTGGAGATCTCTGGGGAGGATTCAATGGCTTGGCCCTGGGCCTGGTGCACAGTAAGCCCTCCACAAGTGTTGAGTCTGAGGAAGTAACCTGGCACCCTGAGGCTGGGGGAACAGCAAGGAGACCAGAAGGATCCTGAGAAGCCCAAGGACTGATGGGAAAAACAAATAGCCTGGCACAGTTTTGTTTTATTCTTAGAATCATATTTCTCCAGAGAAGTGGAAAAACAATGCCTTTCATGCCGATATAACTTTTTCTTTCTTTTTTTTTTTTTCTTTTTAGAGGTAGGGTCTTGCTATGTTGCCCAGGCTGGCCTCAAACTCCTGAGCTCAAGCAATCCTCCTGCCTCAGCCTCCCAAGTAGCTGGGACAACAGGCCAGCACCACTGTACCTGGCTTTGATATAACTTTGTAACTCTGCAAAACTCCTTCCCACATGTCATTCCTTGGGTCCTCCCCACACCTTATGCTGCAGGCAAGACTAGAATTATTCATGTATCCACAGTTGTGAAAACTGAGGCACAGAGAAATTAAGCCACTTGCTTGAGATCACAGTGAAGAAGGAATTTGGAAGCAAATTGAAGGTGTAAAACCTGGGCCTCCTGACTTATAGATACCACCATGCAGCAATTTGGATCTGAAAGAAAGCACACAGCTTATGCCCAGACAGAGCAGCCGGTGTCTAGCTGTGCCCGCTTGCCCCGCCCAGCTCCCACCTGGATGCCACCTGGCAGTCATATGCACATTCATCACGGAGGAGCTGGCTGACTCACACATTATACTGGAGCTGACTCATGCTTTGCAAGAGGGAGAGAGAATCGGTTGAGAGCCACAGGAGCCCCTGCTTTCCACATTGAGGCTTGAAATTCATGCCTCAAATCCACCGCAGTTCATTTCTTTAAAAAGGGAAAGCAGTGTGAGCTGGCTGGAGCTGGGGATCTCTGGACTCAGAGAAGAGTGGTTTGGTTCAACTCTGGGCTCTGTTACAAGTTGGCTGGGTGACTTCGGGCAAGTCATTGTCCCTCAGTCTCTTCAGCTTTGTAACAAAGGGGTTGCAACAGATAAGCGCCAAGACTCTTCAAGCGTCTGAAAGGCTGTTCTTGCTCTGGGTTGAGAAACCTTGTCATAATAATGTTGTATGTGTTGCTAATTTACTATGTGCCAGGTAAGTGATTGGTATGGAGTTATTAATATCTCATTTAATTCTCATAACGAATTCTAGATTTACTGTTTTTTATCCTGTTTCTCAAAGGAGGAAACTGAAGCACAGTTTCAGAGTGATTTGCCCAGGGTTGAGTAGGTCAGCAAGTGGCCGAGCTAATAATTGAACCTGGTTTGTCCCCAGACTTTGTATAAAATCTAGTCTAAGGCCGGGCGTGGTGGCTCATGCCTGTAATCCCAGCACTTTGGGAGGCCAAGGCGGGTGGATCACAAGGTCAGGAGTTGGAGACCAGCCTGGCCAACATGGTGAAACCCCATCTCTACTAAAAATACAAAAATTAGCCAGGCGCAGTGGCAGGCGCCTGTAATCCCAGCTACTCGGGAGGCTGAGGCAGGAGAATTGCTTGAACCCGGGAGGCAGAGGTTGCAGTGAGCCGAGATCGTGCCACTGCACTCCAGCCTGGGTGACAGAGCAAGACTCCATCCCAGAAAAAAAAAAATCTGCTCTACACCTTTATCCTGTTAGACCTCAGTTTCCTCACTTAAAATTAAACTACATGACATAAATTTTACCATTTTACCTATTTTAAGATTACAGTTCAGTGTCATTAAGTGCATTCACACTGTTGTGCAACCATTGCCATCATCCATCTGAACCCACTAAATAATAATTCCCCATTCCCTGTTACCCCTAATCCCTGGCAACCTCCGTTCTACTTTCTCTGTGAATTTGACTACTCTAGGTATCTCATTTAAAGTTTCCTCATCTTTAAAACTACGATAATAAAGATCAAGTGTTATTCAATCCTTCTCCCAGTAGCGCGGTTGGCTCAGACTTGAATTTAAGTCCCAGTTCTATTCACCTACCCCTCAGGCAGGTTGCTTAACCCCTTTGCCTCCCTCATTCCCATGTCCCTAAAGTTGGGCTGGTGGACCCTGATGGGATGATCACAGGAGACAGTGGGGATGAAGGTACTTGGAAAGCCCAATGCCACTTCTAGAACTTGTTATACCATCTTCCTGGTGGGCTGGAACCCTGGCTTAGATTTATAGGTGTGACAGCTGGGGAGGCTTTAGAATGGCACATTACAACCTGGCCAGTGCCCAACCCAACATTTGGGGCTGAGGCTGGGAGGCAGAAGCCACATCAAGGAGGGCTTTGACTGTTTGGCTATAGAGCCCTCCCCTCATGGAGCTTACATTCCAGCCTGTACACCTGGTATTGTAAAGTGGCTGGTGTAGTCTTTACTTACAGAGACTGCTCAGGCAGTAGTCTGTCCTGCGTGTTTCTTTTAACTGGTTCCTGCTCAGGCAGTAGTCTGTCCTGCGTGTTTCTTTTAACTGGTTCCCGGAGGCCTGGTCTTGTGGCTGAGAGTCCTATCTTCCCTATTTCCTTAAAGTAATGATTGTTAGGATATTTTGGTTGCAAGTATCAATGCATTTAAACCAGCTGTCACCAAAAAGGGAGATTTTTTTTTTTTTGAGATGGAGTTTCAGCTCTTGTCGCCCAGGCTGGAGTGCAATGGTGTGATCTTGGCTCACTGCAACCTCTGCCTCCCGGGTTCAAGTAAGTCTCCTGCCTCAGCCTCCCGAGTAGCTGGGATTACAGGTGCCTGCCACCATGCCTGGCTAATTTTTGTATTTTTAGTAGAGATAGGGTTTCACCATGTTGGCCGGGCTGGTCCCAAACTCCTGACCTCAGGTGATCCACCTGCCCCAGCCTCCCAAAGTGCTGGGATTATGGGAAAAAGGGAGAATTTAATAAAGGATATAGAGATTGGATGCAGTGGCCCACACCTGTAATCCTAGCACTTTAGGTTTGCCAAGGTGGGAGGATTGCTTGATCCCAGGAGTTCCAGACCAGCCTGGACAATATAGCCAGACATTGTACCTCAAAAAAAATTTAAAAATTAGCCAGGCATGGTGGCATGTGCCTACAGTCCCAGCTACTTAGGAGACTGAGGCAGGAGGATGGTTTGAGCCTAGAAATTCGAGAATACACTAAGCCGTGATTGTGCCATCACACTCCAAACTGGGTGACACAGCAATACCCTGTCTTTAAAAATACAAAAAAGTTAAAAAAAAAAAAATAGGCTGGGCATGGTGGCTGATGCCTGTAATCCCAGCACTTTGAGAGGCCGAGGCGGGCAGATCACCTGAGGTCAGGAGTTCAAGACCAGCCTGGCCAACGTGGCAAAACCCCATCTCTACTAAAAATGCAAAAATTAGCCAGGTGAAGTGGTGCGCGCCTGTAATCCCAACTACTCGGGAGGCTGAGGCAGGAGAATCGCTTGAAGCCGGGAGGGAGGGTTTGCCGTGAGCTGAGATCGCACCACTGCACTCCAGCTTGGGCAATAGAGTGAGACTCCTTCTCTAAATAAATAAATAAATAAATAATTTTTTAAAAATCTTTAAAATATATTTTAAAATAAAAAAGATAAAGGATACAGAGATGTCTCATAAACCAGGCACAGGGATGCAACAAGACGCTGACGAAGATCTGGATTCAGTGAGTAGGCTGCCACTAGGATGCTCTACCTTTCTCATCTGTGTTATTTCTCTGTTTCAACACAAACAGGCCTGTTCTGCCCCACACAGCAGAAAATGCCCACGATGCAATACCAGAGTCTGCATGGGACCATTTCAACAACCCTTAGAAGCTGACTCAGCTGTCTCCTGGCCCTGACTTTTCTAAGATGAGAGGAGCTGGTAGGAACAATTTGGGTGAGATGTTTGTCCTGAGTCCATTTGGTTATGGTCAGGTGATACGGTCACAGAGCACAAACAAGGCTGGCAGAGCCCCACTCTGTGTGAGGATGGGGTGGAGGAAGCATGTGTTCCTCCTGATGTTGTCACACAGGCACACATGCATTCATTAAAAATGTTTTTGGGCCAGGCGCAGTGGCTCACGCCTGTAATCCCAGCACTTTGGGAGGCTGAGGTGGGTGGATCACCTGAGGTCGGGAGTTTGAGACCAGCCTGACCAATATGGAGAAACCCCGTCTCTACTAAAAATACAAAATTAGCCGGGCGTGGTGGCACATGCCTGTAATCCCAGCTACTCGGGAGGCTGAGGCAGGCGAGTTGCTTGAACCCAGGAGGTGGAGGGTGCAGTGAGCCGAGATTATGCCATTGCACTCCAGCCTGGGCAACAAGAGCAAAACTGCATCTTAAAAAATATATAGTAATAGTAATAATAAAACAGTTCCTACCTCCCAGGGATACAGTGTGTGTTAACTAAGACATTTATTCACTTATTCCATAAATACTTATTAAGTACCTAGTACGTGATGGTATTTGTGGAAGCTGCACAATGACTGGCCAGTGGTGGAGGCTCAGTAAGTTGGAGTCACTTAAAGCTCTGCCTTCCAGGTGTGCACAACTAAGTTGATGCTCCACACAGGTGCTTCTGCTCTTGTGGTCTGTGTGCATTCTGAAAATCTAGGAATGCAAACAAGGTGCCACAGCTATCTATTGCTGTAGATTATCCATGTCAGGCCGGGTGGGGTGGCTCATGCTTGTAATCCCAGCACTTTGGGAGGTCGAGGCGGGTGGATCACCTGAGGCCAGGAGTTCAAGACCAGCCTGGCCAACATAGCGAAACCCTGTCTCTACTAAAAATACAAAAAGGGGCCCCGCTCAGTGGCTTACGCTTGTAATCCCAGCACTGTGGGAGGCCAAGGTGGGCATATCACGAGGTCAAGAGATCAAGACCATCCTGGCCAATGTGGTAAAACCCCGTCCCTACTAAAAATACAAAAATTTAGCTGGGTGTTGTGGTGCGCACCTGTAATTCCGGCTACTCGGGAGGCTGAGGCAGGAGAATCGCTTGAACCCAGGAGGCGGAGGTTGCAGTGAGCCGAGATCGCGCCACTGCACTCCAGCCTGGTGACAGAGCCCCTACTCACCCCCACAAAAAAAAAAAAAAACAAATGAGCTGGGTGTGATGGCACATACCTGTAATCGCAGCTATGTGGGAGGCTGATGCACAAGAATTGTTTGAACCCAGGAGGTAGAAGTTGCAGTGAGCCAAGATCGTGCCACTGCACTCCAGCCTGGGTGACAGAGTGAGACTCTATCTCAAAAAAAAAAAAAAAAAAAAGAAAGAAAAAAGAAAAAAAGAGTAACCATCTCAAAACTTAGTGGATTTAAACAGCAACAGCTTATTATTTCTCATGATTTTGTGGACTGACTGGGCAGTTCTGCCCCACATGATGGCAGCTGGGGTGACTCATGCGGCAGCATTCAGCTGGACACATGGCTGGGCCATTCTCTCCATATGGTGTTGCATCCTCCTCTGTCTCCTGAAGGATAGCTTGGACTTCCTTATAGCGTGGTGGCTGGGTTCCAATGGGGAGCGTTCCAAGGGGACAATCCTCATGTGGAAAAGCTTATCAAGCCTAGTTATATCAATGCAAATCATTCTGGATTTAAGTTGCTTTGTCTCTTGATTGCTCATGAACATTCCTATGTGAGTAAATATTCTTCCCAATGTGATTTTTTTCTTGTTGTTAAAGACAGGCTCTGGTTTTATCGCCCAGGCTGGAGTGCAGTGACATAATCATAGTATAAGCATAGCTCACTGCAGCCTTGAACTCCAGGGCTCAAACAATCCTTCTGCCTCAGCCTCCCATGTAGCTGGGACTACAGGTGCGCACTACCATGCCTAGCTAATCTTTTTTTTTTTTTTTTTAAAGAGATAGAGTCTCGTTGTATTGCCTAGGCTGGTCTCCAACTCCTGGGCTCAAGTGATCCTTTCACCTCAGCCTCCCTAGTACCTGGGACCACAGCCATGTGCCAATACACTAATTTAAAAAAATTTTTTTTGAGAGATGGGAGTCTTGCTGTGTTGCCCAGGCTGGTCTCAAACTCCTGGCCTGAAGTGATCCACCTTCCTCAGCCTCCCAAAGTCCTAGGATTACAGGTGTGAGCCACTGCACTCTGCCCCCAACATGATTTTTTTTTTTTTTTTGAGACTGAGTTTCACTGTTGTTGCCCAGGCTGGAGTGCAATGGTGTGATCTTGGCTCACCGAAACCTCTGCCTTCTGGATTCCAGCGATTCTCCTGCCTCAGCCTCCCAAGTAGCTGGGATTACAGGCATGCGCCACCACACCCGGCTAATTTTGTATTTTTAATAGAGATGGGGTTTCTGCATGTTGGTCAAGGTAGTCTCGAACTCTGGACCTCAGGTGATCTGCCCGCCTTGGCCTCCCAAAGTGCTGGGATTACAGGTGTGAGCCACGGTGCGCAGCCCCAACATGATTTTGAATGGCTGACTGATAGACCATCATTGATTGAACCAATCTCCTCTTGATGAGTAATTAGGCAGTTTTCATTTGGAGGCAGTTATAAACAACTCTATGAAGGACAGCTTTGTGCCAAGAACTCAGTACATATCGTTGTAGTAGAAGGATTACAGGGCCAAAGGACAGGTGAATTTTTAAAGCTTTGCCAAATTTCCCTTCAGAAAAAATGGTACATTTTGCACTTTTATCGGCTGTAAAGAGACCTGCTCTTTCGAAGTCTTCTGGTCAATACTGGGTGTGGTTTGTCTTTTCAGTCTTTGTCAATCGAAAAATGGTGTTTTATCATTGTCTTCAAAAGAGAGAAGATTAGAAGTAAGTTACCCAGAGCCAGATGCTTAAGAAGAGTTCTCGTCTTTTACTCTGAGGTAGCCCGAATAAATCAGCAGGGTCGAGGCCGGGGCAATGCAAAGTGTCTCTCTGCACAATGTCAGGCTATTAAATGCACAGTGTCCCTCTGCCCGCTGACTCAGGCTGTAAAATTGGAGCATGGTGCTGACAACAGTGCTCATGGCTGTGGGGATGAGGTCACTGTGTCCTCACTGTGCGGTCGACTGGGACAAGCCCATGGCTTTCCTGTCCCATGTCTGTGGGCCTTCCGGCAGACACAGGGCTCGTGGCCTCACCCTCCACGCCCGTGTTGGCTTTCACCTTGTTCCCTCTGACCCAGTCTGGAGGACCTGGTGCTGCATCTGGGCCAAGCTGGCTGTAACTAATAAGAGTTGTAACAAGGGACATCTAAAACAGGACCCTGAGATTGGTCTTTGTTTTTGAGCAGCCAAAGCCATACCTCATAGTGTCAGAAGTTTTAAAACTGGGGGATCCTTCTTGTGTGGAAGCAGAGCTCCTGGACTCAGAGCCGACCCTGCTTCTTCCTAGCTGTGGAGCAAGTAGGGGAGCTTTTCCAAACCTCAATTTCTTCATCTAGAGAATGAGGGTAATGGTGATTTAAGGACTATTATCTTCTTCCTCTGTGCCTGATACTTGTGATTCTCACAGGAACCCTCAAAGGCTGAGAGTATCCCACCCACTTCACAGATGAAGCAAACTGAGGCCCAGAGAAGGGAAATTACTTGCCCAAGATCACCCAGCAAGTAAGAAACAGAGCTGGAGATGAGCTCAGGCCAGCACGGAACCACGCAAACTCCTTCTGTAGGCTTTGTAAAGGATTGATGAGAAAAGCAGATGGTTAAGAGCTCTACAACTTCTGTGAGGTAAAGAATATCTGCAGGGCTGGACGTGGCGGCTCTTGCCTGTAATCTTAGCACTTTGGGAGGCCAAAGTGGGTGGATTGCTTGAGTCTATGAGTTCAAGACCAGCCTGGGCAACATGGTAAAACTCTGTCTCTCTAAAAAAAAAAAAAAAAAAAAATTAGCTGAGTGTGGTGTTGTGTGCTTGTAGTCCCAGCTACTTTGGAGGCTGAAGCGGAAGGATCCCTTGGCCCAGGAGGCAGAGGTTGCAGTGAGCTGAGATTGTGCCACTGCACTTCAGCTTGGGTGACAGAGCCAGACCTTATTTAAAAAAAAAAAAAGGATATCTGTGATTACAAGATTACCATGCAATTTTGAAAGCCTGCTGTTGCCCAGCTGGACAGCTAGAGTTATTCTCAGTGGTGGGATGGCTGAACTGGGGGCCCACTGTGGAGAGCTGGTTTCCCACTGGAGTTCTCTGAAAAGGTGCCTGATTTCACAGCTCTGATTCTACAGAAGGAGGCCGGACCCTTCACGTAATTGCTACCCTTTATTTATGGAGCTATTCCTCTGTCGGGATGCCCTTTATATGTGTACAGTCTGTGCTGCAGTCGATTCTTATAGTGATTCTATGCAGAAGTTACTTTAGAGGAGGCTGCTGGGGCGCAGGGTGGGTAGGTACCTTGTCAGCATGGTGGGGCTGGGTCTCCAGCTGGTTGGGACCCCACCCTCCTATCATGGCCCAGGAGTGAGGCATTCAGGGCTGGACCACCAGCATTTGTGAAGCTTTTGCCCCATTATCCCATCAGAACATCTTCTTGGCCCTGGCAGGCAGCCAGGGCAGGGCCATTCTCCACCTTACTGACAAAGAAGCCCAGGGAGGGGAAGAGGGTGCTCCCCCAACACCTCCATTGCCTCTGCCTGCTTAGTCCAGAATGCAGGATAGAGAAATAATGGGAAAAGCTCCCAAGTGTTGCTGGATCTCTGCCTGCCAGGGAAGCTGTGACCCCAGTAAGGGCAGGGTGTTCCTTCCAGGGAACTCGAGGTGGGGCAGGATGGGTAGGGAGTGAGATCAGAGGGAAGGCCATGTTGGGAAGATGGGAAGGCAAGTCTCTGGGGGTTTGTGGGATAGAGGAAGGGAACATCATAGAACAGGCCAGGAATAGGAGCTTGACCTGGAGATTACTTTGCAGCAGGTTTAAACAGGGGCCATGTGAGAGTGTGGAGCCCTGGGGTCAGAGGTTACTGGATGCAAATTATGACTCTGCCACTTATGGGAATGGTGAGTTAGGACAAATGATTTCCCTGGGCCTCAGGGTCTTCATGTATAAAAGGGCTGAAGCTCAGTGGGTAACTGGAGCACTGCCTGGGTTAGATCCTGGCTCCACCCCTTTCCAGTGTGACCTAGGGTGAATGAGTTCACCTCTCTGGGCATCAGTGTCCTTGTCTCTAAGATGGACTTGATAATAATGAAAGCTACCCCTCACAGGGCTGTGGTGAGGATGAAGGGGTCTGGCAGCACATGTAGAATTCTTAGAGCAGGCTTTTTTCCTGCAGAGTCTTTGTTGCTATCATCATCATCATCATCATCCTCATCCTCATCATCATCTACCTCCAGGGATTCTTGGGGGGCTTAAACAAGGCAGGTTGTACAAATTATCTGGCACAGACGTCATTAAATAATAACAGGGCAGAGTGACGGGTGCTGTGATACAGGGAAGAGCTGGGAGAGACACAGGAAAGAGAAAAGACTTCTGTCTGGCTGGGTGGAAGAAGGGTGTGGAAGGTATGGAAGCCAAGGGAAAACTTCCCCTTTGCCCTCTGAAGGTTCACTGAAAAGTCAACTGACAAAAGGCAGATGAATAGCAGAAATGGCATGCAAATTTATTAATGCGCACACAGGGAGAACCACAGAGTGATTGATTACTCCCCACTCTGCAATGGGGTGCAGAAGCTTATATGCCATCTTGAGGTTACAGAAAGAATGGGGGCTTGGGGCCTGAGCGCAGTGGCTCATGCCTGTATTCCCACCACTTTGGGAGGCCAAGGTGGGTGGATCACCTGAGGTCAGGAGTTTGAGACCACCCTGACCAACATGAAACCCCGTCTCTACTAAAAATACAAAAAATTAGCTGGGTGTTGTGGTGCGCACCTGTAATTCCAGCTACTCGGGAGGCTGAGGCAGGAGAATCACTTGAACCAGGGATGCTGAGGTTGCACGAGCTGAGATCGCACCGCTGCCCTCCAGCCTGGGCAACAAGAGCAAAAAAAAAAAAAAAAAAAAAAAAAAAGAAAGAAAGAAATGAGGGAGGGAGGGAGGAAGGAAGGAAAGAAAGGGAGGCTTGGATCCTGGCAAAACAGTTTATGAGATGGGGAGAAGAGGAGGCCTCCCTAGCAAAGGTGGTCTTGTTATGTAGATGAAAGCTCACAGATAGCAGCTGTCAGAGAGAGTAGACCTTTGAAGGTACCAGACTCTCATCAGTTAGTCTGTCCTAGATCTGACAAGGGAAGGTCCGCAGAGGAAGCCTGCCTGCATCAATGCAGATGTCCCTATAGATGCAGGTCTCCCCTACAAAAGACAGCTTTGCAGGCCTACTTCTGTTCCCAGGCTCTCTGAACAGCCATCTCAAAATATGTCAAAGAAGTATATTTTGGGGTGAAATATTTTTATTTGCTGCAAAGCCTCGCTCAAAGGACATGTAGAAGTTCCCTGTGTAGATGAGGGGAAGACAGAAAGATGAACTTCTATCATCTTTGGTTGTGAGAGAGCAACCAAAGATAAGGAACATGGAGCAGTTTCATGAGCTGCGTGCTTGGAGTGAAGGGCGTGAGGCTGCACGGGAGCACTGGGGCCAGATTGCAGAGGGCTGGGAATACCTTGCTGGAGGGTTTAAACTTGACCTGGTAGGTGAGGAGTTCTTTTAATTTTTTTTTTTTTTTTGAGACAGAGTCTCGCTCTGTCACCCAGACTGGAGAACAATGGCGCAATCTCAGCTCACTGCAACCTCTGCCTCTCTGGTTCAACTGATTCTCCTGCCTCAGCCTCCTCAGTAGCTGGGATTACAGGCACACGCCACCACACCCGGCTAATTTTTGTATTTTTTACTAGAGACAGGGTTTCACCACGTTGGTCAGGCTGGTCTTGATCTCCTGACCTCGTGATCTGCCCGCCTCGGCCTCCCAAAGTGCTGGGATTACAGGCGTGAGCCACCGTGCCCGGCTTTGGTGAGGAGTTCTTACCCGTCTAAATGGCAGAATCACCCAGGGCACTAAAAATAAATACTGTTTTATGGTCCTGCCCAACAGTATTCTAAGTCAGTAGGTCTCAAGTGGGACTCATAAATCTTTACATTTTTCCTTCAACTTTTATTTTAACTTCAGGGTTACATGTGCAGGATGTGCAGGTTTGTTACATAGGTAAACGTGTGCCATGATGATTTGCTGCACTGATCATTCCATCACCTAGGTATTAAACCCAGCATCCATTAGCTATTCTTCCTGATGCTTTCCCTCCCCCGATCCTACCCCTAACAGCCCCCAGTGTGTGTTGTTTCCCCCTCCCCAATGTGTCCATGTGTTTTCATCATTCAGCTTATAAGTGAGAACCTGCAGTGTTTGCTTTTCTGTTCCTGCATTAGTTTGCTGAGGATAATGGCTTCCAACTCCATCCATGTCCCCACAAAGGACATTATCTTGTTCCTTTTTATGGCTGCATAGTATTCCATAGTGTATATTTGCCACATTTTCTTTATCCACTCCATCCCAGATGGGCATTTAGATTGAAGAATCTTCACTTTTTAAAGCTTCTCAGGAAATTCTGATGCCCACCCAGAATTGGGAACCTTTGCCATGGAAGAGGGTGGGGGGATATCTTTAAACAGGAATAGGGTCCATTGAGATGCCCACCCCAGACCTCCAATATATGGGGAGAGAGCTTGAGAAGGTGGGAAGTGTGTGTAGGAGACTCTGACCCCCAGCCTTCCACCCCTCTCCAAAGCAGTCCCACACTCTGATGTTTACCACCAGGGCTGACCCCTGGAAGTGCCTCTTCCCTATAGCCCTCTGGATCCAGCAAGGACAGACAGCCTTCCCTCCTTCCTTCCTTCTTCCCAACAGTTTTTGAGCCCCTCCACGATGTGCTGAGCATGCTGTTGGGTACTGAAAGTGAATAAAATAGGTAGTTTCTCCCCGCAACCTCCTGACCTAAAGCTTTGGGTGATTCCTGCTGTTTTGGCTCTGCTAAGCATGAAGTGCGTGTCATCAGGCATGTGGCTAAGCACAAGAGAGCTGGGACAGGAGTCCACCCTGGGGGCTCAAGCAGTGGCTGCAGGGCTCAGTGGTCCAGCCTCCAGGCCCTGTGGCTTCCTGGTTCCCCCTTCTCACAGGCCCGGTCTCTTGTCCTGGCTCTAGCCTTGCAGGCCAAACTCCCAGGCCGTGCCCTCGGTGCCCCCTACCAGGGGGGTCCTGGTGCATGGGGTAGGAGTGAGCTGTGCAGCCGCCTTCCCACCTCATCTTACACAGGAGACAACAACATTGGGTAAGGTCTGAGCAACTCTTCCCAGGGGCAGGGTTAAGGATCATTTCCTCACAGGGGTAGCAGAAACAACAAACACAAGGAAATGACAGGGATGCCGAGGATTTCAGAGCACACAGCTCCGGTCCAGGACGGACTCCCACAGAGAGATGGGGGGAACGCTCCCGGGGCAGCTTCCTCACCTCCCTCTTGGAGTCGGCTCTTGTGTCTTCATGCTGTGTTCTGTTGTTTCCTTTCATCAGGATCCCTTGCCCACACCAACCCCACCCACACCATCACCGATGGCACTGTTTCACTCGCTCATTGCCATTCATTTACTTCTTCCTTTCTCATTCAACACATAGGTACCATGTGCCAGGCACAGGATAAAGCCATAGGCAATATACAGCCTCATGTGGTGTTCCCAGTTGGATGGGGTCACCAACACAATCAGACAGCTCTAATATAACATGATAATTGCCACTGTGGAGTTGTGCATAGGGTGTTATAAAACCAAGGAGTAACCCAGGGAAGGCTGATTCTTGAAGAATGAGTAGGAATTTATGCAGCGCATACCAAGCAGTGAGAATAGCAAATGCAAAGGCACGAAGTTTGTGATGGCTACAGCATGGCAGGTTCAGGGGAGCAGAGGGAGTGGAGGCAGGGAGATGAGCAGGGGCATCCATGAAGGGCCTGGGAAGCTGGGCTGAAGAACTAGAACTTTCTGCCTTAGGCAGTGGGCAGCCATTGGAGGATTTTAGGGAGAGAAGGGACATGGTCAGATCTGCATCTTTTTTTTTTTTTTTTTTTTTTTTTTTGAGATGGAGTCTCACCCTGTCGCCCAGGCTGGAGTGCAATGGCGCAATCTCGGCTCACTGCAACCTCCACCTCCCGGTTCAAGCGATTCTCCTGCCTCCCGAGTAGCTGGGATTACAGGTGCCCGCCACCACGCCTGGCTCATTTTTTGTATCTTCAGTAGAGACGGGGTTTCACCATGTTGGCCAGGCTGGTCTCCAACTCCTGACCGCCCGCCTTGGCCTCCCAAAGTGCTGGGATTACAGGCGTGAGCCACCACACCCAGCCAGATCTGCCTCTTAGAACAATGCTATGGAAGTTGATTTTGGGGAATGGGTGGAAGAGGCAGAGGTCAGGCAGAGTGTTCAATAAAGAGGATCAGACAGGCCAGGTAGGAGAAGCTGATGCCTAGCCTAGGACAGGGCAGGTAGCTCAGCAAGTGTGAGCACCTCTCAGTGTAAGAGCTGAGGTGGGAGAGGGGCAGATGGGCTGTGGAGCTGGCCACACTAAAGGCAGCTGTGTGTTTGCAGGGCTCAGGACCAAAGGGAGGCTGAGTCAGGAAGGCACTCCTGGGCTTCTGGCTTGAGCAGGCTCAAAGTCAACAGATGCAGCTGCATCTGTGTCTAGCGATTGGGAAGGTCCACAGCAGGACTCCAGCTCATACCTGGGAGTCAGGGCAAAGTCCAGCCTAGGGAAGAGCCCCCAAGAGCCAGGCTGGGTGTCAGGTGGGGCCCTTGTCCTGAAGGGAGAAGAGACTACAAGGTAGAGCACCAAGCACACCTGGCTCTGGCACCTTTACGTCTCTGGCCACTTCTCTCTTATGGCTCCCTGTAACAATGAGATACGGACACCTGGAGGCACCTGGGGCTAGTTTCTTCCTCATACCTGCCCCGCTCCGATGAGGCTCCCTCCAGGCTCCGCATCTTGACTTAGTTACAACCTGATCCTGAGCTGGGACCCAAGGGTGTCCTGCTCCTGGCTCCAATCTCCTGGTGAGGATGAACTTTGGTTTGGCTCCACCTGCTCAAGTGCCTTCGGAAGTGTGCCCACCTTGCCAGCCTCGTCAGAATGCAGTCTCAGGATGATGAAAGAGTTCAGGAAATGCCACCCCAAGGTACGTCACTTTGGACTTCAAACTGAGAGCATTTGAGGAACAGCAAATGCAGGGAGGGACTTTCTCTGAACTTCCCTTATCTGCTTCAAGATAAATCCTCCAAAAGGAACTCAATGGTTATAACTCCCCTCCCCAGGAACCTCATCAACCAGAGAAGAGTAAACTCAGATCACAGGACAGGAGACTGGGGGTCAACACCACCCCCAGACAGACTTTATCACATATCACCTATTCTTCTGAAGGCCCATTCATCTTTCCTCCAAATCATTTACTCTCTCCTAAGTTGCCTGAACCCTCCCTCCGCTCACCCCCTTTAAGAGGTATATATGCTCTCACTGAGGTTTAGGACATTTGCTTTTCTTTCATGTGATGCCCCCATGCATGTAGTATATTTGTGTACCTTTTCTTCTGTAACTCTTTCTTCTACTGTCAGTTTATTTCATAGAGTCAATTACCGAACCCTCAGAGGGTAGAGGGGAAATCTTCCCTCCCCTGCAGTGATGCTCTGGGACTGCCAGACACCTGGTGTCTAATAGACACCAGAACTCACTCCCAACAGCCCATTTGGGCAATTAGTCGCTCATATGATAAACATTTTTTTAAACCCCCAAAGTGTACCAGTCCTTGGACTGAAAGCTGGATTTACAAGGTCAAATCAGATTCAGTCCTTGTGATAGAAGAGTTCATAATACAGTGGAGCCAAACGCATGAAACATAACACAGCCTATTACAACACAACGCGACATGACAGCTTCACACATCCCAACACAGGATACAAGGGCTCAGGTCTGGTTTCTAACTTCTGGGGCCTCAGCTGAGAAAAGGGCAGCTCCCAGTGAAAGGAGGCTTATTAATTAGGGAGGGAGCTTATTGGAATGTCAGCAGTGGAATGCAGAGGGGAAGAGACTCTAAGTCAGACTAGCTGCTTCAGTCCTGGCACCATAATCTTGGATGGATGACAGAACTCTCTGTGCCTTAGTTTCCACATCTACAAAATGGAGAGAATAATAGTGTGTATGTCATAGGGCTTAAGGATTAATTGAGATAATACACGCAAAGTGCCTGGCACAGTGCCTAGAAGGTATAGCAAGCACAATAGCATTAGCTGTGTGGTTCTTGTTGCCATAGAATTATAGAACCTGATTATACTCTTAGGTTCTTGGAGTCAGAGAACTGTAGAATCATAGAACCCTAGGACCTTAGAACCTTAGACATAGAGGTTTATAAATATATATAAATATAACGTGCACCAGAATATTAGCTAGGAGGGTGAAGAAGGGAGATCTCCCCATTCCTTCAGATTGAGGCGAAATGTCCTCTAATGCCTGAGTTCCAGGGCTGTCACATTCAGTTGCTCAGGTTGTACCTAATATACCTCTAAAGAAGGCCATTCACATAGACTTCGATGTGAATGGAGTTCCTTAGACGCAGCATGACATGCACCATTGCGTGAGAAAGCCCACATTTCTCCCAGAGAAGTCGGCTAAGTCCCAGGGGGCTTACACTTAGTACCATAATCTCTGCCTCCAGCAAAACATGCTGGCTTTGTCCTGAGCCACACTGACCTGAATGTGATGAAACTGAAACTTGGATTCCATATAAAAATAAAATCACTCCTGCACGTTGTGCACATGTACCCTAAAATTTAAAGTATAATAATAATAAAGTTAAAAAAATAAAAATAAAAAAATAAAATCACTCTCCTTAAGCATTCCCAAGAGCAGATTACACAGAGGTCCAGAATGTTCTGGAGAGGTATCACATCTTGTGAAGCACAGCTTATTGCTACCCAGATGTACAATGAGATGTGAGCTATTCCTCCCTGACCTGTCATCTTTCTGCTCACTTCTCTCCCTCCCTCCCAATTTGCTCCTCAGGAGCCCAGGCATAAGCTATCCCAGGCTCTTGGTGGGGTCTTAACTCAAAGCCCTTATCAAAGCATTTTCCTCAACAAAAGTAGTTCCTTTTCCTAACAGGAATTTGGGCCATATGTTTAGGTTGTAATTTTTGTATGCCTTATCATATTTAGTGCCACTTATAAAACCTGAGACTCACAGAATTTTAATAGCAAATAATCTAAGAAACAAAAATTTTGGAATAACCCAGCCTAAGGACCACAAGTTCTAAGAATTGTGGAGAATTTCAGAATCCCAAAAATCTTAACAATTAGAAGAGGCCTTAAGGGGTCATTGAGTCCACACCTTATTCAACACAGGCATCTCCTCTGCAACATTGCTGGCAAGTGCTGATACTGCCTCTGCAACAACAACAAAAAAGCATACTTCTGAGAAAAATTGGAAGACAGCTTGTTATCTGAACTATGCGTAGACTTGAATAATCTATTTTTGTTTTTTTTGAGATGGAGTTTCGCTCTTGTTGCCCAGGCTGGAGTGCAAAGGTGCGATCTCAGCTCACCGCAACCTCCGCCTCCCAGGTTCAAGCGATTCTCCTGCCTCAGCCTCCTGAGTAGCTGGAATTACAGGCATGCACCACCACACCCAGCTAAGTTTGTATTTTTGGTATTCTTTGTATTTTTAGTTTCTCCACGTTGGTCAGGCTGGCCTCGAACTCCCACCCTCAGGTGATCCACCTGCCTTGGCCTCCTAAAGTTCTGGGATTACAGGCATGAGCCACTGCACCCAACCTGAATAATCTATTAGAGTCTTTATCTCTAAGAAGAGAAATACATCTGAACTAAAGGGTAAAAAATGGCATGTTTTAATTGGTAAGTCTAAATGCAAAACGATGACAATAAAATTTTAAAGGACTGCTTCCTTCTTAAGCTTTATTTTCGTCCTCTGTCAGTGTATTGCTAGACTCATCTTTCCCAGACACCCAGACCTCCCACGAGAGTATGTACATTCCATTTGGCTTGATTTCAAGTGCTAATGTATAAAGCTTCTGGGTTCTGGGTCTGGCAAGCTATTTCTCATGTTCTCTGATAAAATATTGAAAACCATCTCTAAGGTCTTCCAAGAGGGGATATGTGGAAGATACATTTCAATTTTCCACTGCATTTCAACCTTAATATAATGTGATTAGCTACAGCATTGAAAATTAGCTTAATACTGGCCCATCTTATTATAGGGGCCAAGGAAAAACTTTCCCTTTATCCTCTGAAGGTCCACTGTAATCAACTGACACAAAAGGCAGATTAATAGAAGAAAAGGCATAACCATTTTATTTTAATGTACATAGCACAGGAGAACTGAAGGAGAATGATTACCCTGCTATCTTAATTTAATTCCAATGTGGTCTGAGAGCAGACATTGTATGGTTTCTATTATTATAAATTGGTTAAGCTGTGCTTTATGGCCCAGAATGCAGCCTGTCTTAGTGAATGTTCTGTGGGAGCTTGAGACGAATGTGTTTTCTGCTGTTGCTGGATGAAGTATTCTATAGACACCAATTATATCCAGTTGATTGATGGTGTTGTTGAGTTCAACTATGTTCTTACTGATTTTCTGCCTGCTGAATCTGTCCATTTCTCAGAGGGATGCTGAAGTCTTCAGCTATACTAGTGGATTCATCTATTTCTCCTTGTAGGTCTGTCAGTTTTTGCCTCCATAGTTTGCTGCTCTGTTGTTAGGCACATACCCATTAAGGATTTAACTATGTCTTCTTGGAGAATTGACCCATTTATCATTATGTAATGTCTCTCTTTATCCCTGATAATTTTCCTTGCTCAGAAGTCTGCTCTGAAATGAATATCGCTACTCTCACATTCTTTTCATTAGTGTTAACCTGTTATATCTTTCTCCATCTCTTTACTTTTAATCTATATGTGTCTTTGTATTTATTTTTTATTTTTTTTTAATTTTTTTTTTCTGTGGGGTCAGCCAGGAGAGAGGGGGGACAGGTGACTGGTCCATCCCTGAGGCAAGGATCCCAGCACCTACCAGGCTTCCCCCGAGACCAACACTCTGCAGCTCTGGGAGGAAGTGGAGAGCCCCAGAGTCTGGCGAACTTGGCAGGACGTGAGAGAACAGCTCAAGGGAGAACCATTCCAGTCCCTTCCATGGCCCCAGGAGGTGGGAGACAGGCCCTCCCCATTCTGCAGGTGAGAAAGCAAGGCTCTGAGAGGGACAGTAGCTTATATAGGGGACACAGCACAGGCAGGTGGCAGAGGCAGAAATAAAACCCTTGTGGGTGGAAGGCGCAGGTTCTTCCACCCCATGGGAGTCCCACCATGGCTGGCTAGGAGGCTGAGATACCCACAAGGAAAAGCCTGAAGTGGCAGCAGAGCCTGGAGATGGGGCTGAGGGAAGAAGGAGGAGGAGCGGGGAGAGGGAGACAGGTGTCTCAGGAGACAGAACCGCAGAGTGAGTTTAGTGCTTGGGGATTAGGCTGACTGACCTGGCTTTGCCACTTACTAGCTACATGTCCCTGGCATAGGACCTAGTGTCTCTGAGCCTCAGTTTCTTCATCCAAAAAAATGGAAATGGCACCACCACAGGGCTGCTGTGTCATACGAGAAGGTACTGTGTGTGGGCGATGCATACTCTCTGCCCACTACCTATGGGGCTGGGCTGCCCGCCCGGCTCGCAGTGGCACACCTGCACGACACCGAGCAGTGAGGAGCAGCGAGTCTTTGTTGAGATGGGCTGCAAGCAGCCCTCTGGTCCAGATGAACTCCCTCAGGCCGAGCCTCATCTCACCCAGCCCCGGCTTTCCTCCTTCCCAAGACACGGGGCCTGGGGAAGACCCTGCCCTGTCCCTGCACGAGGCCTTGATCCTTGCCTACAGTTTTCTGACTGTTGTGTGCTTCAAGGAGATGTGGATAAGGATCCCTCTCCTCATATCAAACCTGGTGCTTCTAAGCTGTGCATGCTGCAGGAGCGCCTGTGGGCATGGAGGCAGCAGGCCTATGTCTGGATTCTGCCCTCTGAGGGCCACTAGGCTGCATGGGGTCATCTTCTAGGCTCACTCTCCTACCACAGAGCTGCTACCAAGGAACCCCAGTCCAAAGCGTGGCTGCAAGCCTCTCATTCCCCAGACTGAGCCTGTACTGTTTGGTTGTCTCATGAAGACAAATATGGAAGAGACTAATGGAAAGCCCAAAAGAGAAGCTGAGATGTGGTTCGCCATCTGCCTTTGGTCTTGGCAGCCCAGGGGGTTTGGGCCCTTTTTTTTTTTTTTTTTTTTAAACACGGAGTCTCACTCTGTCTCCCAGGCTGGAGTACAGTGGCACGATCTCAGCTCACCACAACCTCTACCTCCCGGGTTCAAGCGACTCTCCTGCCTCAGCCTCCTGAGTAGCTGGGATTACAGCCACATGCCACCACACCTGGCTAATTTTTGTATTTTTAGTACAAATGGGGTTTCACCATGTTGGCCAGGCTGGTCTCGAACTCCTGACCTCAGGTGATCTGCCCATCTCAGCTTCCCAAAGTGCTGTGATTACAGTTGTAAGCCACCGCGCCCGGCTGGTTTGGGCCTTTTCTGTACATTGCCTGTCCCTGTAGGGGCTGGCATGCTGTCCTGGGTTCATCCCAGTGCCCAGGTCCACTGACAGTATCTAGCTTGAGGTGCTAGCGTAGCCAGCTGAGACCAAACCCCAGGGAGTGGCTGATAATCTGAATCTCCAGTACTCTCCCTGTCCCTCCCACTCTGGAGTTAAGAACATGTTCCCCAGGAGACCAGGTGATACTCCACTTTCAGCTGTGTGCCCTCCCCTGTTGCCTGGGATGGCTGTGACTTGGGCCCCAACAATGGCAGTAGTGCCCTCTATCAGGATCCCCTCCCCAAGTGATGGGGCCTTCAGTCAGGGCATGGTGGGCAGTCTCTTGAGGGCCAGGCAGGCCTCTGGTGTCTTTGTATTTAAAGTGGGTATCTTGGCCGGGCGCGGTGGCCCACGCCTGTAATCCCAGCACTTTGGGAGGCCCAGGCGGGTGGATCACGAGGTCAGGAGATCAAGACCATCCTGGCCAACATGGTGAAACCCCATCTCTACTAAAAATACAAAAATTAGCTGGGCGTGGTGGTGCGTGCCTGTAATCCCAGCTACTCGGGAGGCTGAGGCAGGAGAATAGCCTGAACCCGGGAGGTGGAGGTTGCAGTGAGCAGAGATCGCACCACTGCACTCCAGCCTGGTGACAAAGCTAGACTCCAACTCAAAAAAAATAAAATAAAATAAAATAAAATAAAATAGAGTATCTTGGCCAGGCATGGTGGCTCACGCCTGTAATCCCAGCACTTTGGGAAGCCGAGGCAAGTGGATCACCTGAGGTCAGGAGTTCGAGACCAGCCTGGCCAACATGGTGAAACCCCGTCTTTACTAAAAATACAAAAATTAGCTGGGCATGGTGGCAGTTGCCTGTAGTCCCAGCTACTCAGGAGGCTGAGGCAGGAGAATCGCTTGAACCTGGGAGGTGGAGGTTGCAGTGAGCCAAGAGCGTGCCACTGCACTCCAGCCTGGGCAATAGAGAGAGACTCTGTCTCAAAAATAAAATAAAATAAAAAAGTGTTCTTTTTTTTTTTACACAGCGTATAGTTGGGTCTTGTTTTTGGTTCACTCTGACCAAATCTCTGTCTTGTAATTGATATATTTAGATCATTGATGTTTACAGTGATTATTGATGTAGTTGGATTAATATATACCATATTTGTTATTGTTTTCTCTTCATTGCCCTTGTATTTTTGTCTTCCACACATTTTCTTCCTTTTTAGACTTAAGTGAGCATTTTACATAATTACATTTCGTCTTATTTTCAGCATATTGATATTGATTATACTTACTTTTTTTTTTTTTTTTTTTTTTTGGAGATGGAGTCTCGCTCTGTCGCCCAGGCTAGAGTGCAGTGGCGGGATCTCAGCTGACTGCAACCTCTGCCTCCCGGGTTCAAGCGATTCTCCTGCCTCAGCCTTCCATGTAGCTGGGATTACAGGTGCATGCCACCACGCCCAGCTGATTTTTGTATTTATTTATTTATTTTTTTTTAGTAGAGACGGGGCTTCACCATGTTGGTCAGGCTGGTCTCAAACTCTTGACCTCATTATCTGCCTGCCTCAGCCTCCCAATATACTTACTTTTTAAAAATTTTTTAGGCTGGGCATGCTGGCTGACGCCTGTAATCCCAGCACGTTGGGAGGCTGAGGCGGGCGGATCACCTGAGGTCAGGAGTTTGAGACTAGCCTGGCCAACATGGTGAAACCTCGTCTCTACTAAAAGTACAAAAATTAGCTGGGCATGGTGGCGTGTGCCTGTAATCTCAGCTACTCGGGAGGCTGAGGCAGGAGAATAGCTTGAATCCAGGAGGCAGAGGTTGCAGTGAGCTGAGATCACGCCACTGCACTCCAGCCTGGGCGACAAAAGCGAGACTCCATCTCAAAAAAAAAAGTTTTTTTAGTGCTCGCCCTAGAGTTTGCTGTATACATATACACTAATCCCAGTCCACTTTCAAATGGCACTATTCTGCTTCAATAATGAAATATTCCTAATTCCTCCTTCCATCCCGTTTCACTGTATTCATTTTGCTTATATATAGCTATATTCATTGTTGCTATTATTATTTTGAACATTCTCTTATTTGTTAGATTAAGAATAAGAAGAATAAAAGTATTAATTTTCTCTCTACTTGTTCTTTCTCTATTGCTTTCTTTCTTTAAGTGGATCTGAGTTTCTGATCTATATTATTTTCCTTCTCTCTGAATAACTTCTTTAAACATTTCTTGTAAATTAGGTTTACTGGCAACAAATTCCTTCAATTTTGTTTGAGAAAGTCTTTGTTTTTCTTTCACTTTTTAAAAAACAAAGCCGGGCGCGGTGGCTCACACCTGTAATCCCAGCACTTTGGGAGGCCGAGGCGGGTAGATCACCTGAGGTCGGGAGTTTGAGACCAGCCTGACCAACACGGAGAAACCCCATCTCTACTAAAAATACAAAATTAGCCAGGCGTGGTGGCACATGAGGCAGGAGAATCGCTTGAACCCGGGAGGCGGAGGTTGCGGTGAGCCGAGCTAGCGCCATTGTACTCCAGCCTGGGCAACAAGAGCGAAACTCTGTCTCAAAAAAAAAAAAAAAGGA
This sequence comes from Homo sapiens, assembly GCF_000001405.40. NCBI lineage: Eukaryota > Metazoa > Chordata > Mammalia > Primates > Hominidae > Homo > Homo sapiens. Next base: position 42,988,613 of record NC_000001.11, read on the forward strand.
ATATAATTTTTATTTTGTTAATATAATCAAGTACACAAATTGATTTTCTTTCTTTCTTTTTTTTTGAGACGGAGTCTTACTCTGTCACCCAGGCTGGAGTGCAGTGGCATGATCTTGGCTCAATGCAATCTCCACCTCCCAGGTTCAAGCAATTCGCCTCTCTCAGCCTCCCGAGTAGCTGGGACTACAGGCACGCATCACCATGCCTGGCTAATTTTTTTATTTTTAGTAGAGATGGGGTTTCACCATGTTGGCCCGGCTGGTCTCGAACTCCTGACCTCAGGTGATCCACCAGCCTTGACCTCCCAAAGTGCTGAGATTATAGGCGTGAGCCACTGTGCCAGGCCACAAATTGATTTTCAAATACTAAAACAACCTTGCATTCCTGAGATTAAACTCTATTCAGACTAGATTTATTAAACTTTATATATATGTCTAGATTTGTTGACTTTTTTTTTTTGAAATGGAGTCTTGCTGTGTTGCCCAAGCTGGAGTGTGGTGGTGCCATCTTGGCTCACTGCAACCTCCGCCTCCTGAGTTCAAGTGATTCTCCTGCCTCAGCCTCCCGAGTAGCTGGGATTACAGGTGCATGCTGCCATGCCTGGCTAATTTTTGTATTTTTAGTAGAGATGGGGTTTCACTATGTGGCCAGGCTGATCCCAAACTCCTGACCTCAAGTGATCTGCCTGCCTCGGCCTCCCAAAGTGCTGAGATTAACAGGAGTGAGCCACTGTGCCTGGCCAACTTTTTTCTTTTAGAGACAGGGTCTTGCTATGTTGCCTCAGGCTGGCCTGGAACTCCTAGGCTGAAGGGATACTCCCACACTAGCCTCCCAAGTAGCTGTGATTATAGGCACATGCCACCTCACCCAGTTCCTTCACTTTTGAAGGAAAGTTTTCAGGATACAGAATACTAAGTTGGTGGGTTTTTTTCTCCCAACATTTAAAATATTCACTTCATTCTCTTTTAGCTTGCTTGGTTTCTGAGAATTCAGATGTAATGTCTTTGCTCCTCTATAGGCAAGTTTTTCCCCACTGTGGTTTCTTTTTTAAAAAATTTTTCCTTTTTTTTTTTTTTTTTTTGTTGGCCGGAGTACTGTTGGCTACCCCTCTGCTTTCATTCCAAGATTTTTTCTTTATCTTTGATTTTAGATTTTATGCAGTTTAAATATGATATGCCTAGGTGTAGCATTTGGGGCTTTGTGTGTGTGTGTGTGCGCGCGCGCGTGTGTGTGTATGAGGGCGAGAGAGAGAGAGACAGAGAGAGAGAGAGAAATCTCTGAGTTTCCTGGAACTGTAGTTTGGTGTCTGACATTAATTTGGTGAAGTTGCAGGGTGCGGTGGCTCATGCCTGTAATCCCAGCACTTTGGGAGGCCGAGGCGGGTGGATCACCTGAGGTCAGTAGTTTGAGACCAGCCTGACCAACATGGTGAAACCTCCTGTCTACTAAAAATACAAAAAAGTTAGCTGGGCGTGGTGGCAGGCGCCTGTAGTCCCAGCTACTCAGGAGGCCGAGACAGGAGAGAGAATCGCTTGAACCCGGGAGGCAGAGGTTGCAGTGAGCGGAGATTGCGCCACTGCACTCCAGCCTGGGTGACAGATTGAGACTCTATCTCAAAAAAAAAAAAAATTGGTGAAATGTTCAGTTATCCTTGCTTCAAGTATTTCTTTTGTCCTCTTTTCTCCTTCAGCTATTCCCATTATGCATATAATATAGCTTTTATAGTTGTCTCACAGTACTTGGATATTCTTTCTCATGTTTTTTCAGTCTTTTCTCTCTTTGCTTTTCAGTTTTGAAAGTTTCTACTAATATATCTTCAGTCTCAGAGATTCTTTCCTCATCTGTGTCCAATGTACTAATGAGTCCATTAAAAGCATTCTTCATTTCTATTACAGTATTTTTTATCTCTATCATTAAAAAAAAATTCTTTCTTAGAATTTTTGTCTCTGTGGTTACACTGTCTATATGTGCTTGCATGTTATCTACTTTTTCCATCAGAGCCCCTAACATTAATTATAGTTGTTTTAAATTTTTAGTCTGATAATCTCAACATTCCTGTCGTATCCCAGCCTGGTTCTGACGCTTGCTCTTTTTCTTCAAAGTGTGTGTTTTGCCTTTAATATGTGTTGTAATTTCCCATTGAAAGCCACACATGGTATACTGGTGTTGGGGCTCAGAAACCGATACAACAAAATATGGTGCTTTGACATGCCAAACTGAAGAAGAAGCCTCAAGGTCTCTCTGACCTTCCCTCATCTCCTGTCTCTCAGTCCTCCCGTCCCTCCCAAAGCACATGATAAAGTTGTTTTCTGAAGTTCCCCTATCTGCCTAAAGTCCAGTTCCGCCAAAGAAGAAAACAATTACCTCTAGTCCCTTCTTTGAGTTTTCATTAACTGAATTCATGTCACAGGAAGAAAGACCCAAGTCTGTCAACAAATCCAGACAGACTTTTTTTTTTTTTGAGACAGAGTCTCACTCTGTCGTCCAGGCTGGAGTGCAATGGCGTGATCTTGGCTCACTGCAACCTCTGCCTCCGGGTTCAAGCGGTTCTGCCTCAGCCTCCCCAGTAGCTGGGACTATAGGCTCTCACCACCACGCCTAGCTAATTTTTGTATTTTTAGTAGAGATGGGCTTTCACCATGTTGACCAGGATGGTTAGACAGACTTTTGTCACAAACCATTGTCTGCTCCGCAGGCCCAACAGACTTTGTTCAAGGAAATTGTATGTTCTTCAAGCCCATTGAATTCTCCTAAAACTCATTTCCTATCCCCTAAAATCATTATAGTTTCCCATCTTCCTTTCCCCTAAGAAGAAGGGTATATAGTGCTCGCTTTGGCAGCACATATACTAAAATTGGAACGATACAGAGAAGATTAGTCTGGCCTCTGCGCAAGGATGATATGCAGATTCGTAAAGCATTCCATTTTTTTTAATTTAAAAAATTTATAAAAGTTTTAAAAAAAGAAGGGTACCATCTTACTCCATTGGGATATTGGGTAATCACTCTGTGATTCTCCCCTGTGCATGCTAATAAATTTGTACGCCATTTCTCCTACTAATTTGCCTTTTGTAAGTTGATTTTTTTTTTTTTAAAAGACAGAGTCTTGCTGTTGTCGCCCAGGCTGGAGTGCAATGGCGCAATCTTGGCTCACTGCAACCTCCGCCTCCTGGGTTTAAATGATTCTCCTGCCTCTGCCTCCCAAGTAGCTGAGATTATAGGCGCCCGCCACCATGCCCAGCTAATTTTTGTGTTTTCAGTAGAGACGGGGTTTCTCCATGTTGGCCAGACTGGTCTCGAACTCCTGACCTCAGGTGATTCACCCACCTTGGCCTCCCAAAGTGCTGGGATTACAGGTGTGAGCCACCAAGTCCAGCCTGTAAATTGATTTTTTAGTGAAACTTCAGAGAGTGAAGGGAAAGTTTTCCCATAGCTCCTACACTGGGTAAAAGGAATTCCCGTAAAATAGGCCTTTAGTCATGTGGTGGAGGAGGTGTGGGGCAGGGGTGGCGTTCCACAGTCCTGTGATTAGCTCTCACTCTTTTCATGAGCCTGGGAACCCTCCTGGGCTGTGAAGTTCACCAGTGCTTCTCCATTTTTTTCTCCCCTTAGGTGGGACAGAGATGGGAGTGGAATTGGCTATTTCCCCTCCCTCAGGTCAGCTAGGCTCTGATAAAGCTCCAGAAGATTGGGCTGGGCTAAAATAGTTTCTCTTGAGAAGCAGGCCTTGTTAAGAACAGAATGCTCTGGCATATTTCAAAATGGTTACTTTTCCCATCCCCCTGCTGAAAGCACAAGGAGATTTTTCTCTGACATTCACTGGGAGGACTCGATAGAGATCCTGAAGATTAAACTCACAAACATGTGGGGACGCCCCTATGGCTGGCTCTTGCTGGAATGTTTAATGTTCAGATTTGCCCACGCTGAGCCTCCAGCTATTCTTCAATTACAGGTTAGGTTGTCCTGTCCTGGTACCGGTTCTAGAGCAGGTTTCTACTTGGGGGTTTCTCCTTCTCTGTCTCTTCAATTTTGAGGGCAGTGATTTGCCCTGTGACCTGACTCCTCTAAAGGATCTAAGAAGAATTGTTGATTTTCCAGTTTGCTAAACTTTTTACTTATTATTAGGACAGAGAGACAACGTCCAAGCCCCTTACATGCCTGACTGGACACTAGACGTCTCACTACCATGTATTGAACACCCAGGTGGAAGTAAGCACTTTTTACATATTATCTCATTTAATCCTCACATTCACCCTGTGAAGTAATACCACTACCCCATGTTGTAGAGGTGATTCTTATGGCTCAGCAAGAATTTAGTGACTCCCTCAAGGTCACACAGTTAGAAAGTAGGATTTGAGCCGGGCGCGGTGGCTCATGCCTGTAATCCCAGCACTTTGGGAGACTGAGGCAGGCGGATCACGAGGTCAGGAGATCAAGACCATCCTGGCTAACGTGGTGAGACCCCGTCTCTACTAAAAATACAAAAAATTAGCCAGGCGTGTTGGTGGGTGCCTGTAGTCCCAGCTACTGGGGAGGCTGAGACAGGATAATGGCGTGAACCCGGGAGGCAGAGCTTGCAGCGAGCTGAGATCACGCCACTGCACTCCATCCTGGGCGATAGCGAGACTCCGTCTCAAAAAAAAAAAAAAAAAAAGAAAGTAGGATTTGAACCTCAGTCTGTCTGTTAACAAAGTCAGTGTGTGTCCCGCGCACCATGCCATGCCCCAGAACTAAGCAGATTCGGATTAGGTCTTCAGACCCAGAGGCAGACAAAAGCCAGAAACAGAGACAGGAGCCCAGGCCAAAATAGAGGATGGGACCCAGAGCCTCCGAAAGTTCCCAGGATGTATGTTTGACAGACCATCCCCCAGGTCTCCAGAGGTAAGTGTTGAATCCCCCTTTTTCCCCTTTCCAGCTGCGTCACTTGGGTGAGCAGCTTTACCTCTTCTAGCCTCAATTTTTTGGTAGGTAGCTCAGGGCCTGGCAAATAGTAACTGCTCGAAAAATGGAAGTTTGTCATTGTTGTTGCTAGGTAGTGGCTAATGTTACCAGCTGGGAGGCCGTAAGTGCTAATCCCCTCCAGCTCTGGCCAGGTGAGGTCAGTAACTGGAGATGAGGTCAGAGCCCTTAGAGGAAGGCACCCTGACCCCAGCTGGGCTGGCTGGAGAGGTGGCAGCATTGGAACCTCGGTGAAGAAGCATTCTGTTGACAGTTATAATGAGATATGCCAGCTCTAGTTTCCCATGGGCACACCAGTTACCTCCTCTCCCTGGTAACTGACCCAGTTGGCACCCAGTGCCTGAGAGCTTGACGGCACAGTAGGATCAGTCTTTCTCTGGGGGCAGGTGTGCCAGCTGGTATAAAGGAAGAAAAGCCTCCCCGCTCCAGTGCAGAGCCAGCTCTGACACTTCCTGACCAACTCCAATGCCAACTCTGACACCGCAAACTTCTGCTTTTTCAGAACGGAGTCACAGAGACTAGATTTACCCTCCCTTCTGAAATGCCTTAAAATACAAAACCAAACAGACAGACACACACACACACAAAATGGCACTCAAGACACTATCTATACATTAGATAATGGCAAACAGTGATCAATGAGAGAAACGAAGAAATACAGGTTAGTCCTACTGACTTGTCACCTGGAGAAAATTCCCATGCCATGGCTCCCCTCATTAACAAGACATGTCCAGGGGCCTGGGGGAAGCCAAAGAGGCTGAAGTTTGTAAGGCAGAGCACTGGAGAGAGGAGAACTACAGAGAAAGAGCACTGGAGACACTCAGAGGGTCCCCCTTAACTATTCAGTTGAGTATATATATATATATTTTTTTGAGACGGAGTTTCGCTCTTGTTGCCCAGGCTGGAGTGCATTGGCGCGATCTCGGCTCACCACAACCTCCGCCTCCCGGGTTCAAGCAATTCTCCTGCCTCAGCCTCCCGAGTAGCTGGGATTACAGGCATGTGCCACCACCCCGGCTAATTTTGTATTTTTGGTAGAAACGGGGTTTCTCCATGTTGGTCAGGCTGGTCTTGAACTCCCGACCTCAGGTGATCCGCCTGCCTCAGCCTCCCAAAGTGCTGGGATTACAGGCATGAGCCACCGCGCCTGGCCCATACGTAGAATTCTTTGAGCAAACTTTTCACCTGCTAAACCTTTGCTGCTATCGTCATCATCATCATCATCTACCTCAGAGGGTTCCTGGGGACCTGAAACAAGGCAAGCTATACAAACTGTTTGACACAGGCATCACTAAATAATTATGGGGCAGAGTGATGCATGCTGGGATATAGAATGGTGGGAGGTGCTGGGAGACTCACAGGAAAGAGAAAAGACTTCTGACTGGCTGGTTGGAAGAAAGATGTGGAAGGCTTCCCAGAGGAAATAGTGTTTTAGCTGGCCTCAGAGGACATGTGTGGAAGTTTCCCAGGTAGACAAGGGGGATATAGAAAGACGAACTTGTGTGAAGACTCAGATGTGAGAGAGCCTAAGCATGTCGGGAACATGGAGTGGTTTCATGAGACTGCGTGTCTGGGTGAGGGCAAGGTGTGAGCCTGCACAGGACATGGGGGCCGGATGGCAAAAGGCTGGAAATGCCTTGCCTGAGGTTTTAAACTTGACCTGGCAGGTGAGGTCCTGTTAATATGGCAGAATCACAAAGGGCACTTAAAAGAACAAATTCTGTGGTCCTACCCGGCAACATTCTAAGTCAGCAGGTCTCAGATGGGACCCAGAAATCTACAGTGTTTATTTTTATTTATTTGGGTTTTTTTGGATACAGGGTCTCACTCTTGTCACTCAGGCTGGCGTGCAGTGGCACAATCTCGGCTCACTGAACCTCAACTTCCCAAACTTAAGTGATCCTCTCACCTGAGCCTCCTGAGTAGCTGAGACCACAGGTGTGTGCCACCACGCCAGGCTAATTTTTTTGTATTTTTATTTTTTTATTTATTTTGAGACGGAGTCTCACTCTGTCGCCCAGGCTGGAGTGCAGTGGCACGATCTCAGCTCACTGCAACCACTGACTCCTGGGTTCAAGCAATTCTCCTGCCTTAGCCTCCCAAGTAGCTGGGATTACAGGTGTGAGCTACCACGCCCAGCTAATTTTTGTATGTTTAGTAGAGATGGGGTTTTGCCCCAGGCTGGTCTCGAACTCCTGGGCTCAAGCGACACTCAGGCCTCAACTTCCCAAAATGCTGGGATTATATGTGGGAGCCACCGCACCCGGCCTACAATGTTTATTTATTTACTTTATTTATTTATTTATTTATTTAATTTATTCACTCCTCTCAGCTCATGCCTAAGGAATCTACAGTGTTTAAAGCTCCCCAGGGCCAGGCGTGGTGGTTCACACCTGTAATCCCAGCACTTTGGGAGGCTGAGGCAGGCGGATCACCTGGGGTCAGGAGTTCAAGACCAGCCTGGCTGACATGGTGAAACCCCATCTCTACTAATAATACAAAAAAAAAAGCTGGGCATGGTGGCATGCACCTGTAGTCCCAGCTACTAGGGAGGCTGAGGCACAAGAATGGCTTGAACCTGGGAGGCGAAGGTTGCAGTGAACCAAGATCGCGCCACTGTACTCCAGCCTGGGCAACAGAGCAAGACAGAGACTCCATCTCAAAATAAATAAATAGAAGGCTCTCCAGGACATTTTGATGCCCACTGGGATATGGGAACTCCTGCCATGGGGAGGAGGGCGTCTTTAAGAAGGAATAGGCCCTATTGAGATGCCAGCTGTAGACCTCTAGGAGTTGACCATCGAGCCTGAGAAGGTAAGGAGAGGGTGTAGGAGACCCCTGACTCTGACCTCCACCCTCTCATTCCTCTCCAGGGCAGTCCCGCACTCTGATGGCCACATCTGGTGCCAGGTAGTTTCTCGTAAAGATCTACACTCACATTACAACCTAGACATCCCACTAGTAGGTATTTACCCAAGACACCTGAAAGCATGTGTGTACCCAAAGACTCGTAAATGAATGCAACTCTATATGTAATAGCCAAAATTAGAAACAATCCAAATGTTCATCAGCAGGTGAGTGGTAAAACAAGTTGTGATATGTTCATACAATGTTGCTACTCAGTAATAAAAAGAAATGAGCTACAGATACAGATAAGGAAACTTGGAGGTGATATGTTCATAATCTTGTTTGGGTCAAAGGTTTCAGGGATGTATACATGTGTCAAAACATATCAAACCGTATAATTTAAATACGTGCTGCTTATTGTATGTCAATTATATCTCAATAAAGCTGTTATAAAAATCTGATGCCAGTTCTGTGCACCCACGGCCAGTGACAATCCCAAGGCCACATTGAATGATTACTGTGCATGAGGTACTGTGTGCTGAGCACTCTATGGAGATTTTTCCTTTAACCTTCACAATAGCCTTAGGAGGTGGCACTATTATTATTAATACCTCTGTTTACATAGGCAGAAAGGAAAGCTCAGAAAGGTTAAATCACTTCTCCAAGGAAATGTCACCTGACTGAATTCCAGCCCCAGCTTTACCCCTAACCTAATCCAAGCTGTGTTCTAATTTGTTTTTATGATTATACAAGCATTGTAATCATTATGGAAAGCAAAAGAAAACATGTTTCAATTGCTTTCAGCCAACCCCTGTACATCATTGAATCCCTATATGTCTAGTGATTTTTTTTTTTATTTGAGATGGACCTTCACTCTGTTGCCCAGGCTGGAGTGCAGTAGCGCAATCACTCTGTTGCCCAGGCTGGAGTGCAGTGGCGCGATCTCGGCTCACTGCAACCTCTGCCTTCCGGGTTCAAGTGATTCTCCTGCCTCAGCCTCCTGAGTAGCTGGGATTACAGGCACACGCCACCACGCCCGACTAATTTTTGTATTTTTTAGTAGAGACGGGGTTTCACCATGTTGGTCAGGCTGGTCTCAAACTCCTGACCTCGTGATCTGCCTGCCTCAGTCTCCCAAAGTGCTGGGATTACAGGCATAAGCCACTGCGCTCGGCCTATGTCTAGTGACTGTTATAGGCAGTATTTTTTTTTTTCTTTTTGAGACAGGGCCTCACTCTGCTGCCCAGTCTGGAGTGCAGTGGCACAATCAAAGCCCACTGCAGCCTTGATCTCCTGGGCTCAAGTTATCCTCCCAGCTCAGCCTCCCAAATAGTAGCTGGGACTACAAGTGCATGTTAGCATACTCAGCTAATTCTTAATTTTCTTTTTTTTTTTTTTTTTTTTTTTTTTTTGGAGAGACCAGGTCTCACTATGTTGCCCAGGCTAGTCTTGAACTCCTGGGCTCAAGCGATCCTCCTGCCTCAGCCTCCCAAAGTGCTGGATTACAGGCATGAGCTACCACACCCAGCCTAGCCAGTATTTTTTTTATCACTATCATTCAGTAATGTACATAGCATTTTGTTTGCCCCACCCTTCCTACCCCAACCTTATCTCTTTCCATGTGTTTTTTGTTGTTGTTGTTTTTGTTTTTGAGATGGAGTTTCACTCTTGTTGCCCAGGCTGGAGTGCAATGGTGCAATCTCGGCTCACCACAACCTCCGCCTCCCAGGTTCAAGTGATTCTCCTGCCTCAGGCTCCTGAATAGCTGGGATTATAAGCGCACCCCACCATGCCTGTCTAATTTTTGTATTTTTAGTAGAGACAGGGTTTCATTCACCATGTTGGTCAGGCTGGTCTCGAATTCCTGACCTCGTGATCCACGAGCCTCGGCCTCCCAAAGTGCTGGGATTACAGGCATGAGCCCCCGCGCCTGGCCTTCCATGTGGTCTTATACTCTTCTACATAAAGAACACCATGAACAACAGCTTTTAGGGAAGGTGATTTTTTTTTTTGTTTTGTTTTTAAGAAAAGCCCTGGGAGTGGAATGCAGGGCTCAAAAGTGTTTATGCATTTTTCTCTCATCTGGAAAAACACAACTGAACCTTTTTATTGCTTAGTCTAGATTGGAACCTTCCTGGCACTCTAATCCAGACCCTGAAATTCCTGTAACATTTGTAAGTTTGGCCACTAAGCATCTGTTCTACCCATGCCTGAAGGAAGTAGCTCATGCCCCAGGACCAGGAATAGGTTTTGATGGGTCTTAGCCAATCCACATGTCCCACCCGCCGTCTGCAGCCATTTATTCAGGGCTGGCTCTGAACCAAATCAGAGCCAAGGAAAGCAAGAGACTTTTTTGGCATTCTTTTTTTTTTTGCTCTGTCGCGCAGGCTGGAGTATAATGGCACCGCCTTGGCTCACTGCAACCTCTGCCTCCCAGGTTCAAGTGATTCTCCTGCCTCAGCCTCCCAAGTAGCTGAGACTACAGGCATGTACCATCACACCTGGCTAATTTTTTTGTATTTTTAGTAGAGACGGGGTTTCGCCATGTTGACCAGGCTGGTCTCAAACTCTTGACCTCGTGATCCACCCGCCTCAGCCTCCCAAAGTTCTGGGATTACAGGCGTGAGCCACCGCACCCAGTCTTTGGCATTCTTGAGAAAGAGAAGTGGCTGCCCCCCACACCCGTGGGTGCTACCAGGGAGACCTTTTCTGGGACAGTGTAGGGAAGGACAAGGAATCCTTTAGCACAGTGGTGGTAGGTCGTGGATAGTGGGTCATCTAAGCATGACATTGCAGAGATCAGAGCAGGTTGAGAGAGAGAGAGAGAGAGACCCCCTCTCCATTCCTGATTATGTTGTTTGAGTCACTTGAAGCCAGCTAACAGATTCCATTTGCTTAAACCAGTTTCCATTCATTCATTTCTTTGACCAATATATACTGATCACTTACTATGTGGACAATTTCTAGGAACCATTTGAGCTAGGTTTTCCATGAGCATAATTCTAAATCTAATCTTAACCTAACCCTTAGTCATAAACTAGAACTCTGACCCTTTTCTAGTGAAGAGCTTTTAGTGGCAAGAAACAAAGTCCTGGACCACTCACACTGACCCAGTCCAAGGGGCATTGGTGTAAGAATATGCATGAATCACTAAGTGAAATTCCAGGAATATTACAAAGATTTTACCAGCAATGGGCCTCATGAGGGACCTAACTGATGAGGAATTCAATCCCTCCCTACTACCTGTGTCTTCAAAGATTCTGAATGTCAAAAACCCCAACTAATAAAGAGATCCTTAAATGATTCATTCCCTGGACAAACTCCGTGACCACCTATATAGATCTTTAATAGGAATCTCCCCTGGACAAATTTTTTTTTTTTTTGACTGAGTCTTATACTCTGTCACCCAGGCTGGAGTGCAGTGGCGTGATCTCGGCTCACTGCAACCTCCGCCTCCCGGGTTCAAGCAATTATCCTGCCTCAGCCCCCAAGTAGCTGGGACTACAGGCACCTGCCACCACACCTGGCTAATTTTTGTATTTTTAGTAGAGATGGGGTTTCACTATATTGGCCAGGCTGGTCTCAAACCCCCGACCTCAAATGATCCACCCACCTTGGCCTCCCAAAGTGCTGGGATTACAGGCGTGAGCCACCACACCCAGCCTAAGAATGGTGTCTTTCAAAGAGCAAAAGTTTTTCATTCTGATAAAGTCAAAATGAAATCTTAACCTAAATAAACACAATCTTAACACAAAATATTGATTTTGTGTATCATTTTTTTTTAATGATTTCTGTCTTTTATGTTCTCTCTAAGTCTTTGCTTAGCCCAGGGTTTCTCGGCCTCAGCACTATTGGGATGTTGGCCCAGATAACTCTTTGTTGTAAGAGGCTAGTCTGTATACTGTAGAGTGTGTAGCATCATCCCAGCTAGGAGAAACCAACTGCAAGGTTGTGAGCAGCTCTATGGAGAGTTCCATCATGTGATGAGGAACTAACTGAGGCCTCTGTTAACAACCATGTCCAGCCCCCAGATGACTGCAGCGCTGGTCAACACCTGGATTCCAACCTCATGAGAAACCCAGAACCAGAACCACCCAGCTGAGCTGCTCCTGAATTCCTGTGGAAACTGAGATAGTCAATGTTCATTTTAAGCCACTAAGTTTAGGATAATTTGTTACTCAGCAATAGATAACTAACACATACATCTTGCACATATTTAATTAAGTGTATCACTAAGTATTTGATGTGGCTTTTTTGTTTTGTTTTGTTTGAGACGGATTTTCGCTCTTGTTGCCCAGGCTGGAGTGCAATGGTGCGATCTTGGCTCACCACCACCTCCGCCTCCCGGGCTCAAGTGATTCTCCCGCATCAGCCTCCTGAGTAGCTGGGATTGCAGGATGCGCCACCACACCTGGCTAATTTTTGTGTTTTTAGTAGAGACAGGATTTCTCCATGTTGGTCAGGCTGGCCTCGAACTCCTGACATCAGGTGATCCGCCCGCCTCGGCCTCCCAAAGTGCTAGGATTACAGGCGTGAGCCACTGCATCCAGCCTAAGTATTTGATGTTTTTATGTACTTTTAAGAAGTGTTTGTAAAATTCCAGTTTCCAATTGTTGGTTGCTTGTATATAGAAATATAATTGATTTTAAAATATTGACTTTGTGTTCTGCCACCTTGCTAAACTTACTTAGTTCTCACTTATTATTAGTTCTAGTAGCTAAGAAGTCTGTAATTTTGACATGTTAAGAACCTAGTGTGATGGTCCTCAATTCCTGGCTGTGAATACTCTCCTCCTCTTTTCCCGGAATGCATTTTTAGAAACAGAGTACTTATAAGTTCTAGGTCTGTGGTCTTTCCCCTTCAATGCTAAGAACCTTTAGGACCACCTGTAGCAGGAGGGCATGAACTTTTACTTTCACAGCTCGACATTAACACAACAACTTGACTATCATCCACACCTGCTTCAACTCACTAACTCAATCCTTTTGATTTCTCTGCTCAGTCACTGGCTTGAACAGGCTCAGATCTCTGGACCTCTCCATATCATGATTTCTTTGCCTCCATTTTCCTACTATGTTTTCCCAATTCAGGTTCCCAAGGTGAGAATCTAGTTTGGCTCATCCCATCTTTTCCCTCCATGTCATTGATTGTCAGGCAGCCCTTGAGTCAGATTCCTTCTTCTTCCAATTGGCTCCATCCACAGAGGATGTCTTAGTCCATTTAAGCTGCTATAACAAAATGCCATAGACTAAGGGGTTTATAAACAACACAAATTTATATTTCTTACAGTTCTGAAGCCAGGGAAGTCCAAGCTCAAGGCACTGGAAGATGTGGTATCTGGTGAGGGCCCTATTCTTGGTTCATAGATGGTACCTTCTCACTATTCTTACATGGTAGAAGGGGCAAGGCAGCTCTCTGGACCCTTTTTTTTTTAAGGCACTCATCCCATTCACGAAGGCTTTGCCCTCATGACATAATCACCTCTTAATATTATCACCTGGGGGTTAGGATTTCAACATATGAATTTTGGGAAGACACAAACATTCAGACCATAGCAGAGGACAAGGTTTAATGTCCAAATGTACCCACTTGGGCTATGGGGATTTTGGACAGAACCATCTTCCTAGAAAGGAATGTGATGGGGCAGGCCCTATGATGGACACTTCCCATATAGAAGATCACCTGTCTTGCAGATGGTCCCCTCTCTTGCAGGTGGACACCTGTCTTGCAGACCTCCAATCCTAAACCCTCATTCCTCCCAAGCCGTGAGGTTCACTGTTACCTGACACTGCTCTTCATCCAGCCTCTAAGAGAAACTGAAACCCCATTTATAGCACTGCACGTTTTTACTCTTGAGCATTGATTATCTTCTTCCTTCCTCCTAAGCTTCCCACTCCTTCTTCCTCTGCTCATTCACAGTCAGAACTGAAAGGACATGGAAAAATCACACAGTCCAATCTGGGCACGTGGCAGGTGAGAAAAGTATGACCCAGAGAGGTGAAGTGACTTGCCCAAGTTAATGCGTAGGCTAAATGTAAATATAGGCCTCCTGATTTTTACTATTAGTGTTTTCTCCCCACTAGCCAGTAGTTGGCCCCAGTAGGCATGCCTCCCCCCAACTTCCACTGGGGTCTAATGGGGCAGAAAAACTGGTGCTGCAGCCCAATGGAGGCAGACAGGGCCAAGGAGCAGGTGACAGCTATGACCCAGACTAGGTGGCGGGTAGCAGGAATCCCATCCCACCAAGATCAGGCTTCGGGGTTTGGTGGGTGAATGCATGAAGGCCTAGGTCCAGATTTGGCTAGAAGATGAGAGGTGCAGAGGCAGGGGACTGGCTGATTTGGAGCCAGAATCGATAGACCTGTATTACTTTCCTGTGGCTGCTGTAATAAATGATGATGAATTGGGTGAGTTCAAACAACAGAAGTGTATTCTCTCACAGTTCAGGAAGCTAAAAGTCTGAAAGCAGGGTGTCAGCAAGGCTCCACTCCCTCCCCAGACTCTTGGGGAGAATCCATTCCTTATCTGTTCCAGCTTCTGGTGGCTGCAGGTGTTCCTTGGCATGTGACTTTATCACTCTCATCTTAGACTCTGTCTTCACATGGCCTTCTCCTCTATTTGGGTATGTCTTCTCCTCTCTCTGTCTGTCCCTCTCCTCTCTCATAAGAACACCTGTAATGTCATTTAGGACCTACTTGGACAATTCAGGTTAAGCACCTCCTCTTAAGAACCTCAACTTAATCACATCTTTTGCTATATAAGATAATGCTCACAGGTGTCAGGGATTCCTGTGGGTATCTTTTTTTTTTTCTTTTATTTATTTTTGAGACAGGGCCTCACTCTGTCACACGGGCTGGAGTCCAGTGGCACGATCGTAGCTTACTGCAGCCTCGAACTTCTGGGTTCAAGTGATCCTCCTGCCTCAACTTCCTGAGTAGCTAGGACAACAGGCACCATCAGCACACCCAGCTAATAACTAAATTTTTTGTAGAGACAGCATCTCACTATGTTGCCCACTATGTTGTTCAGGCTGGTCTTGACCTCATAGGCTCAAGTGATCCTCCCACCTCAGCCTCCCAAAGTGCTGGGATTACAGGTGTGAGCCACCATGCCCAACATAATGATGTGGATATCTTTTGAGGTACCACTTTTGGCTTCCCCCAAACCTCACCACCCCACACTACTATCCTCCTTATGATGGCTTCTAGACTGTGGTGGAAGGGGCAGCAGCCAGGAATCTTTCCTTATTCCATCCTGGAAGTAGAGGGGAAACTGAAGGTAGGAAGGGAAGAGATGGTCTTCTTACTCTGGACTCAGATGCTTTTGCTTATGTTCTTACTGAGTCGTCTCAACTGGATTATCAGATAGGAATTCATATTCCAATATTATGGAATTATGGGTGAAGAAACTGAGGCTCATAGATGAAATAACTTGCCCAAGAAACTCGCCCAGCTAATGGGTTTCAGAGTCAGGATTCAAAGCCAAGTTGGTGTGACTCTGAAATCCATACTGATTCCACTGTCCTGGGAATGACAGTGGGAAACCTACAGTGAAGATTCCAGCTCTGCCTTGCTGCTGTCACTGCCTCTGCCTTCTACTGTAAGTGCACACTGAGCGTTCACAGCATCTTTAAAACAGCACCCTGTCTTTGGCCCTCAGGAACCCCGGATGCATTCATGGCTGTCAGATCTCTTGGGGAAGGCAGTCACTGGGAGACAGGGTTCCAAGTACTGGCTTACCCTTGTCTGCACTGGCTGAAGCCATGCAGAGAGGAGTGTCTATAGGGAGGCCCCTCTCTCCTGGGAGTTAAGATACTTCAGTTGAGGTCCGTATTAGTCTGTTTTCATGCTGCTATGAAGACATACTCAAGACTGGGTAATTTATAAAGAAAAAACGTGGTCAGGTGCGGCAGCTTAAGCCTGTAATCCCAGCACTTTGGGAGGCCAATGCAGGCGGATCACAAGGTCAGGCGTTCGAGACCAGACTGGCCAACATGGTGAAATCCCGTCTCTACTAAAAATACAAAAATTAGCCGGGCGTGGTGGTGCTCACCTGTAATCCCAGCTACTCAAGACCCTGAGGCAGGAGAATCGCTTGAACCAGGGAGGCAGAGGTTGCAATGAGCAAAGTTCGTGCCACTGCACTCCAGCCTGGGCGACAGAGTGAGACTCCATCTCAAAAAAAAAAAAAGAAAGAAAAGAAGTTTAATTGACTCACAGTTCTGCATGGCTAGGGAGGCCTCAGGAAACTTACAATCACGGCAGAAGGCAAAACAGTCACGTCTTATATGGTCTCTGGCGAGAGATGTGAGTGCCCAGCCAAGGGGGAAGCCCCTTATGAAACCATCATATCTCATGAGAACTAACTCACTATCATGCTATCCTGAGAACAGGATGGGGGAAACCACCCTCATGATTCAATTATCTCTACTTAGTCCCTCCCATGAAACGTGGGGATTATGAGTACTACAATTCAAGATGAGATTTGAGTGGGGACACAGCCAAAGCATATCAAGGTCCAAGCTGGACAACCTCTGTGAGTGATCACTGGCAGTCTGTTTCACATTCTGGGCCTCAATTTCCTCATCTGTCAAATGGGAGAACTCAGTTAATCTGTAAGATTATGTTCAAGTCCTAAACTACTGTGATTTAAAATATTATCATGACACAAGCCCTCGTATTCGCACAGCCTTCTCTGGTTAACAAAATGTTTTCACTCATTGCTTACCATTCCACCAACACTGACTTCCATGGGCATGTGCTGAAGCATATGTTGGGCAATGCTGGGCAGTAGTGGCACAGAGAGATGGAGGCCATCGCCCTTGGGGAGCCACTAGTGCAGGTATAGATGCAGATAAAAAGGGAGAAGTAGGTAAGAGCATGTACAGGTTGAACAAAGAGCCCTGGGTGCTGAGGAGGGAGCTGAGGGGGAGGGGTAGTGCTGCACGTGACCCCAATCCCATCAAGTGGAAAAGGCATCTTTGCCTCCATTTTACCGATAAGGAAACTAAGGGTCAGAGAGAGAAATGACTGCTCAGATGCACATAGCCAAGAAGTGACCAGGCCTGCCTTCATTCTGGTATTTGTCTTTTGTCACAGTTTGCTTACCCTATAGGGGATATTGGGATGGAAGACGGGGGAAGGAATCTGAGCCATACCTGAAGATACGTGCAAGGAGTACTGTTTGGTGGGGAGGTGGACACATCAGCATGCTACTCTGGATTTTCAGGAAGCACAGCTTGACTACCTTGTAAATGTCAGGCCTTGGGCTGGGAGTCGAATCAGAGGGTTTCCTGGCCCAGGGGAGCTGCAGTCTGACCACACTAGGGTCAGAGCAGTGACAAACTGCAAGAAGCCCCAGCCTGGGAGTGCCTAGGGTTTTCTATCCAAATGAATTCATGGACGTGCATTCACTCATCCGCTTATCCATCTAATCTTTCTGAACACTGGTCTGAGCACTGAGCACCTGGGGCTGTAGCCCGTCTGCATCTGTGTTTGTGCCTGTTGCTCAGCGCCCTCGACACCTCCAGGGCAGGGGCCTGGTCTCATTTCTCTTTAGCTGACATAGAGGAGACTGGGCCAGACTATTCGGCGCCTCAGAGCCTCTCTCTGCTGCTCTCAGGGCTCCCTTTCCAGGAATGGGGGCTCTAGGCCAGGCTGCCAGGGTAGGGGAGAGGGCGTGGCCATGTCGGCCCCTATCCCCAGGTCGGCTGATAAGCTCCAAAGCAGTCGGGACTGAGGGCCTTGGAGCACAGCCATCAGCCACCCCGTGCCCCACGGTACTAATGAGGCAGCCACCTCCACGCCCAAACGCTGGGATGGGGGCCTGGCCTCTTAGCTCTCTGCTCCCCCTCTCTATCCTGGGTGGTCTTGCCCATTTGTTAGCTTTGGTGGGGGGATGGAGGATTCCTCTGCAAAGGACTGAGCTGTGGGGTCCCTGGGGGAGGGCAGCTGATTCCAGTAGAGAGGACACTTCCCTCCCAAAGTGTCTTTGTTCCCTAAGAGTCTGACCCAATTCTTTTCTTCCATCTGCCCCTGGATTGCCCTGCACAGAGGACAAAGGACCCCGGCGAAAGGGGTGGGGGAAGAGCAAGAAGGATCTCAAAGGGTCATTCTAGGGTTCACTCTCCAGCACCCCTTGACAGGATCTCTTGCGTGTGGGGAGCACAAGCCGACCTGTGCACGTGTGTGAGGTCAGGCGTGGACAGGTCTGTGGGACCACACGTACGGGCACGCGCACGGGGATAGTGAGTTCCATGGAGGCATCCTGTAGTAGGGAACCCGCGACGGTGACGCCACAGATGGGGTGCGGAGGCTCTGGTGGCCCCCAACCTCCATCAGGCCAGCCCTCCTCGCTTCCTTTGATGTGGACAAGACTGCCTTTTTTTTTTTTTTTTTTTTTTTTTTGAGACGGAGTCTTGCTCTGTTGCCCAGGCTGGAGTGCAGTCGCGAGATCTGGGCTCGCTGCAAGCTCCGCCTCCCGGGTTCACAACATTCTCTAGCCTCAGCCTCCTGAGTAGCTGGGACTACAGGCGCCCGCCACCACGCCCGGCTAATTTTTTGTATTTTTTAGTAGAGACAGGGTTTCACCGTGCTGGCCAGGATGGTCTCAATCTCCTGACCTCGTGATCCGCCCGCCTCGGCCTCCCAAAGTGCTGGGATTACGGGCGTGAGCCACCATGCCCGGCCGACAAGACTGCTTTTTAACCTTGTTGGAAAGAGCCACTTGGAGATCAGCCCGTCTAGGGGGACTCTTCTCGCCTCTTAGAGAAGAAATTACGGGGCGCAGAGCCGTGCACCCGAATATCCATGCATCCGAATTCCAACTCCGCTCAGAAGCCTGGGGCAGACTCCCCGCCCCACCCAGCGAACGAGCATGTGGCCGGGACCTGGGTGAGGATTTCCTCGCCAGCCCTCCTTGGCACAGAGCTGTGCATCTCACGACTCCTGCGCGACCCCGGGCCAGGCCCTATTAGTGTCTGGGCTTCGGGCATCTAGTCTGCAAAACCGACTGTGTCGCTTTTCTCGGGCTGCGGCTCCGCTGGGGAGGCTGCGGCAGGGGAAGGCTCGGCAGAGCGCAGGCCGCGGCCTACTGTGCCCAGCAGCCCCCGCTGCCCTCCCCTTTGGGGCCCCGGCCCCCCGCCAGACAGGTATCGGGCAGCCCCGCCCCGCCGCCGGCACACTGGCAGCTTTGTTACCTGCCCTGGCGCGCCCGGCCTACGAGCGCTACGTGCTGCCGGCCCGCGGCCCCCTCCTTCCCCTCCCCTCCCCGTCCCCGCCCCACATTCCCGGGCCTGGGGCTGCGGCAGCTCCAGGCGGGTCTTTGTGAAGCTGGACTCTGGCACCCCTCTCCTGCGTGGGCTTTTGGGGTCGGGGCCCTAGCGCCCTTCGCCCACTTCATCTCGCCCCTTTCCTTGCTCGGCCACCCTCAAAGAAGCCAGACTTCGCCTTCCCGTCCCCTGCGACCCCCCTGCTTGCAATGGCCGCCTTCCCCACCCTCAGTCGCACCCTAAGGCCCAGTTCAAAGGCTGCTTCTCAGAAGCCTCCGCTGATTCCCAGTTTTAATCACTCTCCCTGGGGCACCCGCTTTGCCCTGATCGCTTGTCTTTGAACCCCTCCAGGTCCTGGGTGGGGCCGGCATACTGCCTGGCCGCCCAGGAAAGTCTTCTGTGGGTGATAGGATGAGTGAAGCTGGAGACCGATAGGGATGGAAACCGAGGTCTCCCAAGTCTAGCGTGGAGTCCCGTCCACCGTCTGGGCTGATGTCTGAGCTTCCCTCTCGGGACTCCGTGTGTGCCCTGAGGCCCTTCATTCGCGTGTCCATGCCCAGCCACACTGCACACCCGGTACCCCTGGCCTCCCAGCCTTTTCCTAGGCTGCCCCTTCTGCCGGATACACTCTCCAGCCACTAGGGCAAAGCCGGCCTCTCCAAGGGCCATCTCTCCTGGAGAAGCCGTGCCTGATCCTTGGGGCTTTGCGGTAATCAGTTCACCTGACTTTTTGTTCCAGAAGCATTACATGTAAGTTACATTTGACCTTCACTGCAGCCCTGCAAACTAGTGATGCGATGTGGCCCGAAAGTGGCTGGCCTGGGATTTGACCTTGGTTCTAGAATGACGTCAGACTTCACAAGACATCAAAGACGGGTTCTTTCTTCCACCGCGTGCTGTGGCCTTTCTCTCCCAGGCCTTCCCCCAAGGACAGATGTTCCTCCCCACCTAGCCCCGTCTCTCCTGCTTTCAAGCTGGAGCAGGGCGGGGTTGGGATTCTTGCTCTAGGGCTAGGCCAGGGGCTGGGTCCCCTGTGGCTTTGGGCCTCCTTGAAGAATTTCGAGGGAGGATGTGCAGGGCGTGGGGAGAGGTGAGGCAGGAATGTGGGGCTCCGGAGGGAAAGCAGTCAAAAGTGGAGAGGGCCTCCGGAGGTGGCTTTCCCAGGGCCCTGGGAAGCAGCGGCCTGTTTGAATGACAAAGGTTCCCTGGAGAGCAAAGGAAAGCTCTAGAGGATGGGAATGTGGGAGGAGGAGGGTCAGAAGGGTGGGGAGGAAGCTGCCCGTGGGCTCCCATCTGCAGCGGCCCTTTCAAGTCCTGCTAAACCCTTAACAATAAGAGGAACTGACCAGTGGACACACGCAAAGGATGATTAACGTAGTTCACTGAAGAAATACAAAAACCTGTGAAAACGCTAGAAATCCCAAAGTACAAATGAAAAAAAAGAGTATGCTTTTTCCTATCTATAGAACTGGTCAAGATAATAGAAGTGAAAACACCAGATGTTGGTGAGGTGTGGGAAAGGGAGTGCTTTTTTCACTGCTAAGGAGGTAAATTGTACCACTTTTCTGCAGGAACATGTCACAGTATGTACAAAAGCCTTTAAAAGAATTAGAATTTGACTTAGCAATTCTGTTTCTGGGGCATATCCTAAAATAAAAGATTATTTATCCCAGTCTTATTTATAACTGGGAAAAACTGGAAATTCTCTAAATGTTCAATGACAGGGAATTGGGTAAGTAGGTTATGCCTCATTCGCAGACTGAAGACTGCAGAAATTAACTGTCATGTTCTTGAAGAATATGAAAGACATGGGAAACACTGAAGATAAGCTGGTAAGTGAAAAGAGGAAGTTGTAAAACAGCATGACTCCAATTTTATACAGTAACTGTATAAATAATATCTACCATGCATGGTGCTGGACTGGGAGCCAATCCCAATCTCCCATTCGAGCATCACAGCAGCCCTGGAAAGAAGATTCTAGTAACTGCATGAAAAAAAAATAGATATATATTGAATACATATATTTTGCATATATAATGTATATATTGAATATATATATTCAAAGAAATATATATGCGAGGAAATGCAACAAAATGTTAACAGCAAGGGGAGAGGGCATGTGTTTTTACTTTTTTCCTTCATTCTTTCTAATCTTTTCCCAATTTTCTTTTTTTTTTTTTTTTGAGACAAGTTTCACTCTCATTGCCCAGTCTGGAGTGCAGTGGCGCCATCGCAGCTCACTGCAGCCTCCGCCTCCCAGGTCCAATTCTCCTGCCTCAGCCTCCCAAGTAGCTGGGATTACAGGTGCCCGCCAACACGCCCAGCTAATTTTGTGTTTTTAGTAGAGGCGGGGTTTCACCATGTTGGTCAGGCTGGTCTCAAACTCCTGATCTCAGGTGATCCACCTGCCTTGGCCTTCCAAAGTGCTGGGACTACAGGGGTGAGCCACCACACCTGGCCCCAATTTTCTTCAATAAAAAATATAATGAAGACATTACCAAATTTGAAATCACAAAAATTATTTGTTCAAAAATATCTTCAGGATCCCCTGTTTTGGGGGTGGGTGGCAGTTTTCCCTTTATTAATTTACTGGGGTTTCCATAACAAAGTACTACAAATTAAGGGGCTTAAACAACAAAAATGTATTATCTCACAGTTCTGGAGGCTGGAAGTCTTACATTAAGGTATTGGCAGGGTTAGTTCCTTCGGAGGGCTGTAAGGGAGAATCCGTTCCATGCCTCTCTGGTATGGAACATGCCAGGTGAATTCTGGTAGCTTCCCATGTTCTTTGTCTTGTTTCTTCTTGTGTCTCTTCCCATCTTTTTTCCTCTATGCTCGTCCATCTCCTTGTCCAAATTTCTGTGCCCCCTAGCCATTTTTTTTGTTTGTTTTTTGTGTATGTTTTTTTTTGAGATGGAGTTTCGCTGTTATTGCCCAGGCTGGAGTGCAGAGGCGCCATCTCGGCTCACTGCAAACTCTGCCTCCTGGGTTCAAGGGATTCTCCTGCCTCAGCCTCCCAAGTAGCTGGGACTACAGGTGCATGCCACCACACCTGGCTAATTTTGTATTTTTAGTAGAGACGGGGTTTCACCATGTTGGTCAGGCTGGTCTCAAACTCCCAACCTCAGGTGATCCGCCAGCCTCGGCCTTCCAAAGTGCAGGGATTACAGGCGTGAGCCACCGCGCTTGGCCCCAAATGTCCCCTTTTTATAAGGATACCAATCATATTGGTTTAGGGTCCACCCTAACGGCTTCATTTTAACTTGATTACCTCTGTAAAGACCCTGTCTCTAAATAAGGTCATATTCTATGGTACAAGGGATTAGGACTTCAACTTATGAATTGAGAGGGGAGGGGCATAAATTTTGCTCCCTCTCAAATGGGTGTGGCAGGGAGGGGAAGTCCTCTGTAGGGATGAGAGTCTATCTTGCACCACAGTGTGACCTTGGGGAGGTTGTTTAGACTTCATAGACTGGGGCTGACATTACTCACCCTCCAGGGTTGTAGTGAATGAGGGTAATTGCTAAAAAGTCCCTTCCCCGGGTTGGTCATCCCTAGGAAGTATCTTATCTGTCCCTTGTTCCTTATCAACATGGACGGCTGGAAGAGCACTGGCCCAAGGACATCACATAGAGCTGGGTTTGAGTTCTAGCCCCGTCTCTAGCTGTGTGGTCCCTGTGAGCCTCTGTTTCCTCATTTGTGAGATGGGAAAAGTATCTATTCCCATTGAGTTGTTGTAGCTAGAAGATAGAGATAAGATGAGGAAAGCCAATGGCAGTAAGAATGCTATAGAAGACCGGAGGCAGTGGGAGGCATCAGCCTGATTAGTCTGAGGTAGCTGGCCTCTCCTTTAGGAAGTTTTCCTTCAGCCCCACAACTTGGATTAGACTCTCCCTGCCATCCTGGGCTCCCACAGTCTCCTCTGCTACCCTCCACACCCCACCCCTCTGTTATGGCACTTGTCACACCCTACCATAGCTGTCTCTCTAGAATTATAGAAGCCTCCCTGAAGGAAGAGACCATCACCTCTGCATGCCCGTTAAAGTAGCAAATATGAATGAAAAAATAGTAAAACCCACTGCTGGCAGTGTTGCAGGTGTTGAGGCTCAGAACGTGATAGCCCAATGTATGGCACTTTGGCATGCTGAGTACTTGAACTCAAAGAGAAGCAAAATATCCAGGCCCTGTGTCTCCCGCTCCTCTTTCTCCCTTGAAGCAAATCAGAGAAAACAGAATTCCTATTCCCCAAAGCACGTCATAGAAACTAGAACCTCTCTCCCCCTAAGCCAGCCATAAAATCTAGAAAGGTTACACTCTCTGTTTTCCCTTGCCCCTTGAAGACCCTCATCCCAGAGCAGTCCTGCCCCATACACTGCAGGAAGGAATGCTTCGCAAGGAGACCAAAAAGAATCTGGATAGGCTTTGCTGGATCTCCCTGCTCAGTCTATTACCATGAGGTCATGCCCCTTTGTCCAATCACATCTCCACATGGCTGTTCATTCCTCATTGAACCTAAACACAAAACACAGTTTTCTCTAGGCTTTTGGGTCTTTATTTCTGAAGGCTCCTATGTCATGTAAAACTTTGATTCAATAAATTTGTTGTGCTTTTTTCTTGTTTATCTGTCTTTTATTATAAGAATAACCTTGCTTGGTATGGTGGCTCACGCCTCTAATCCCAGCACTTTGGGAGGCTGAGGCGGGTGAATCACCTGAGGTCAGGGGTTCAAGACTAGCCTGACCAACATGGAGAAACCCTGTCTCTACTAAAAATACAAAATTAGCCAGGTGTGGTGGTGCATGCCTGTAATCCCAGCTACTTGGGAGGCTGAGGCAGGAGAATCGCTTGAGCCTGGGGGACGGAGTTTGCGGTGAGCCGAGATCGTACCATTGCACTCCAGCCTGGGTGACAGAGTGAGACTCCGTCTCAAAAAAAAAAAAAAAAAAGAATAACCTTATGATGGATGAGGAAAGGTATCATACCTTTCCTGTATACATAGTGGTGATGTGAATAAACACAATCTTTCTGGAGAACTATTTAGCAGTTCTAATAAAAACCACACACTTAAGTACAACCCCTGACCAAGAGAAACCAGTTTGGGGAGTATATTCCAAGTATCTAATGCAAAGGTGAAAAAAAAAAAAAACTTGCTGTGTAAAGATATTTTGAGCTGACTATGTGTCATGAAGAAGAGTGGAAAAATAATGGTGCAATGAATTTGTAAACTGCAAATGATGGCAGCTTGGTTCACACTGTGACAATTCAGCACAGTCCAGGAAACATTAACTGAGTACAGAGCATGTGTGAGGTCCTGGATTCCACTCTGGGAACCCAGACATGTCCCTGCACCAACTAGTGGGTAGACAGGCAGGTAGACTATCACCATACAGTGTGAGCAGATGAGAGAAGTGGGGGCGAGCACACGTGGAGAAGTTAACTCATGGGAAGGAGGGTCAGGAGAGCTTCTTGCAGGGGGAGATACCTGAGCTGGCTTCAAGTGGACACTGGTGGGAAGGAGAATAAACAACCTAGATGAAGGTGGGGGGCATTTGTGAAATGGCAAATCATAGGTGTGGCTGGAGGGTGGAATACATGCGGTCATGATAAGGCTGGAGAATATGGCCAGAGGCAGATCATCAAGGGCCTTGAATGCCAGTTCGTGCTTTACCCAGCAGAAGTGGAGAAGCCAACAGACATCTTTAAAGAGGTGAGCAAGAGGATCATCTTTGTGATTTAGGAAGATCATGGGGTAGCCATTTGGAGGATGGACTGGAAAGGCCAGCAGGCAGGGGGAGCCTGTTGTAGGGTCCAGGTAAGCCATGGTGACAAAGCCTGGGGATGGAGAGAGGGAGGCAAGGTCATGAGATATTTATGAGCCAAAAGAGACAGATAACTCTTGGTGACTGACAGGATGCTGGGGGAGAGGCAGAGGCAGAATTGTGGCAGGTAGTGCCAGCAACTGACAGGGAACATGAGAGGAGGAGCCCGTTTTGGGGGAAAAGGGATGAGTCCAGTTTGGTATCTGTTGGGTTTGAAGTACCCATGGGACGCCCAGATGGACAGGGGAGTGGGCAGCTGGGTATATGAATCTGGAGCTCAGGAGACAGGGCTGGGCAGAAGATTAGGTTTGGAAGGAATAGACTAGAGGTATGAATTGGAGCCCAGGGCCACCAGAGCCCACCCTGGGAAACAGTTTAGTGGGGGAGAAGTACCTGGACAGCGCCCACTGTAAAGGGTCGGAGGAGCAACAGGCACTCTGGAAAGGATCTTGAGAAAGATCCAAGAGGTGAAAAACCGGGAAGATGTGTCTCATAGAAGCCCAGGGAGGAGAGTGCAAAAGGGGAAAAAGAGCAACAGTATTTTAAGTGTTCAGTTTTTGCAAATTAAAACCACAGTGAGATACCACTTTGCCTTAATGCAAGAATGACCATAATTAAAAAGTCAAAAGACAATAGATGTTGGTATGGGTATGGTGAAAAGGGAATACTTTTACACTGCTGGTGGGAATGTAAATTAGTACAATCACTATGGAAAACAGTATGGAGATTCCTTGAAGAACTAAAAGTAGATCTACTACGTGATCCAGCAATCCCACTACTAGGTATGTACCCAAAGGAAAAAAAAGTCATTATATGAAAACGACACCTGCACACACGTTTTTAGCAGCACAATTCGCAGTTGCAAAGATATGGAACTGACCTAAGTGCCCATCAACAAGTGGATAAAGAAAATGCGGTATATATACACCATGGAATACTACTCAGCTATAAAAAGGAATGAAATAATGTCTTTTGCAGGAACTTGGATGGAGCTGGAGGCCATTATTCTAAGTGAAGTAACCCAGAAATGGAAAACCAAATATTGTACATTCTCACTTATAAGTGGGAGCTAAGCGGCCGGGCATGTTGGCTCACGCCTGTAATCCCAGCACTTTGGGAGGTCAAGGCGGGCAGATCACAAGGTCAATAGTTCAACACTAGCCTGGCCAACATGGTGAAACACCATCTCTACTAAGAATACAAAAATTAGCCGAGTGTGGTGGCACATGCCTGTAATCCCAGCTACTTAGGAGGCCTAAGCAGGATAATCGCTTGAATCCGGGAGGCAGAGGTTGCAGTGAGCCGAGATTGCGCCACTGCATTCCAGCCTCGGTGACAGAGCAAGACTCCATCTTGGGGGAAAAAGAAAAAGTGGGAGCTAAGCTATGAGGGTGCAAAGGCATAAGAATGATATAATGGACTTTGGGGACTCAGGTGGGAAGCTTGGGAGGGGGTGAGGGATAAAACACTACATATTGGGTACAATGTACACAGCTTGGGAGAACTAGAATGTCCGAAATCACCACTAGAGAACTTATCTATGTAACCAAAAACCACCTGTACCCCAAAAACTACTAAAATAAAAAGTGTCCATTTCTGAGTGGAAGCCTCAATAACTGCTTCTCCTTGCTGTCAGACAGAGGACCCCCCTCCCCAGGACTTCCTGGGCTTCCTGCCTCCTCAGCTGGAACTCTGAACACCTCAACTACCTATGCGTCCTCCACTAGCCCCAAGGCCTTTCTGGGTCTCGGTTTCTTCCTCTGTTCAGGTAACATTGTGATTCCTCTGCCTGCCCTCCAGCAGGAATCAGTGCTTCAGATGAGAAACTGATGAAAGTGGTTTATAAACTGCCCAGGGAATGATCCTGATTCATCCCTTTTCAAATCTCAGGTCTTCCACCAGAGGCTTGGTTGGTTTTGTTTTCTCTTGTCTTGGAGGCTCCTTGGCTCACACTTCTCTCCTCCGGCCATGTCTCTGTTCCGACCTGCTTGATGGTGGCTGGTCTGTGGCTGGCCCATCCTGGGGTTTACTGAGTCATCAATTCAGCCCTGATTTATTGATGGCAACTCAGTTCTGGGGCCAGCTCCTTGCTTCATTGTTCCTCCCTCTCCTATATCTTTAAGATCTTCCCCCGTCTTTCTCATCTTTTTTCCCCCAAGAGACTCAAAGATACACCATATTTTAAAACGGAACAAAAATCCCTCTTCTGCTTGTAGCCCTCCTCCATTTCTCCCTTCATCTGCATCCCCTCTTAACCAAGTGTCTAAAATAATCATCTAGGGTGGTCCTGGTGGCTCACGCCTGTAATCCCAGTATTTTGGGAAGCCGAGGTGGGAGGATTGCTCGAGCCCAGAAATACTAGACCATCCTGGGCAATACAGGGAAACCGTGTGTCTACAAAAAACTTTTAAAAAATTAGCTGGGCATGGTGGTGTGTGCCTGTAGTCCCAGCTACTCACTATACAGGAGGCCGAGGTGGGAGGATCACTTGAGCCTGGGAGGTGGAGGTTGCAGTGAGCTGAGATTGTGCCACTGCACTCCAGTCTGGAGACTGTCTCAAGGCCGGGCGCGGTGGCTCACTCCTCTAATCCCAGCACTTTAGGAGGCTGAGGCAGGCAGATCACAAGGTCAGGAGTTTGAGACCAGCCTGACCAACATGGAGAAACCCTGTCTCTACCAAAATTACAAAAATTAACCGGGCATGGTGGCACACGCCTGTAATCCCAGCTACTTGGGAGGCTGAGGCAGGAGAACTGGTTGAACCTGGGAGGCAGAGGTTGCAGTGAGGTGAGGTCGCACCACTGCACTCCAGCCTGGGCAACGGAGCAAGACTCCTTCTCAAAAAAAAAAGACCTTGTCTCAAAAAAATATGTATGTAAAATAATCACCTACGTTTCTTTGCCTCCTCTTTGTTGATCCTCTGCAATCTGGCTTCCACTCCCACCTCTCCACTGAAACTCTTTGTAAAGAAAATTGCAGTGGGTTGAATAGTGACCCCCCAAAAGACATGTCCAAGTCCTAATCCCTGGAACCTGTGAATGTGACCCTAGTTGGACAAAATAGGTATCTGCCAGTGTAATTAAGAATCTCAAGATGAGGCCGGGCACGGTGGCTCACGCCTGTAATCCTAGCATTTTGGGAGGCCGAGGTGGACGGATCACCTGAGGTTGGGAGTTCGAGACCAGCCTGACCAATATGGAGAAACCCTGTCTCTACTAAAAATACAAAATTAGCCGGGCGTGGTGGCGCATCCCTGTAATCCCGGCTACTCAGGAGACTGAGTCAGGAGAAATGCTTGAACCTGGGAGGCAGAGGTTACAGCAAGCCGAGATCGCACCATTGCACTCCAGCCCGGGCGACAAAAGCGAAACTCTGTCTCAAAACAAACAAACAAACAAACAAAAAGACAAAAAGAATCTCAAGATAAGATCATCCTGGATTTAGGGTGGGCCCTAAATGCAATAACAAGTGTCCTTATAAGAGCAAATCAGAGGGAGACTGGAGACAGAGACACAGAGCAGGATGGCCATGTGGGCATAGAGGCAGAGATTAGAGCAGTACAGTTCTAAACCAAAACACCAAGGACTGCCAGCAGTCACCAGGAGCCAGGAGAGGGACATTAGTCAGTGCCCCTTCAGAGCCTCCAAAGAGCCATCTCTGCAGACACTGCCCTCCAGAGCTGTAAGAAAATATGCTTCCGAGCTGGGCGCGGTGGCTCACACCTGTAATCCTAGCACTTTGGGAGGCCGAGGCAGGCGGATCACAAGGTCAGGAGTTCGAGACCAACCTGACCAACATGGTGAAACCCCGTCTCTACTAAAAATACAAAAATTAGCTGGGCATGGTGGCACGCGCCTGTAATCCCAGCTACTTAGGAGGCTGAGGCAGGAGAATGGCGTGAACCCAGGAGGCAGAGGTTGCAATGAACCGAGATTGTGCCACAGCACTCCAGCGTGGGCAACAGAGCAAGACACTGTCTCAAAAAAAAAAAAAAAAAAAAGAAAAGAAAAAGAAAATACGCTTCCGTTGTTCTGAGCCACTCAGTTTGTAGTGGTGTGTTATGGCAGCTGTAGGAAACTAGTATAGTAGTAATAATAACAGCCAGCATTTATGAAGTGCCTACCGTGTGCCAGGCACAATTCTAAGTACCCCCCCACACCCCCGCAACGAAATGAAGTAGACACACAGTAATAGAAGCAAGATTAACACAACCTATTACTAGTTACTGACGGTTTGTCCTGTCTTTGGTATTTAAAAATTGAACCTTACACTGAAGGTTCAATAATACTGAATTTTATCTGAGGGTAGAAGAACATTTTATTATTTTTCTCTTTTACAGAGAAGGAGGCTGCAGTCCAAAAACTTACATTGCCTGAGGTCATACAGTGAATAGCTGTGGAGCTAGGGTTTTAGTCCTGGTAAGTCCTGTGTACTCTCTTAACTGATTTGCACTTCTTCTGAGGCTACTGGTGAGAGGAAACCAATGAAGCTGATGGGTGAACTGACCGAGACGTGGGTTTTGTACAAATGGAAGGATGGAAGAGGCCAAGGGATTGGTGAGTTAGAGGAAAAGATTCACCTGGATGGGATTGGTAGGGTAGGCCTGGTCTAGAGAGGCTGAGAGATAGGGAGGAAGAGATTGGGGACCTCGATAACCTCATAGAGCAGGTGTCCCTGGAGCAAGAAAGCCAAAGGTATCTGTGGTCATCCAGGAAACACTAGAATCTAAGATCCCAGAACTGGGTAATGATAAGGTTTAGATCCGGCCATGGGGGTCATCAGCTGAACAAAAGTAAAGGAGAGTTTGTCAATAGACTCCGCTAGGTTGAGAAACCTGGAGGACAAAGGTGATGCTGAAGGAAGTGATAAACTGCTCTGGAGTTCAAAGCATTGAGGGATCACTCCTTGTGCTTATCATGAAAAACACTGAAACCTGAGTTGATTCTTGAACAATAGATGGGAGAGGACAGATGTGAAAGTGGGAAGTCTTTCAAGGTGAAGGTACAGCCAGACAAAGTCATAGAAGGGTGAAAGCAGGGGGCATATAGTTTTAAGTTGGTTGTACTTAAGGGTGCATGACACAGTGTGATGGGAATTATGCCTAGGCTTTGAAAGTGTCCTGATTTGGGCACCTCACAAAGTAGATGCTGAATCAAGGATTTAAGAGGGTGGGCAAGTATTTTATTTGAGAGGATGTTGAAGGGAGCACTGTGAAGAAGTGGCGAAGAGAGGCAGAGAAGAGAGGAAAGCCAATAAAAGATGAGTAAGTTGGGTAACTGAGGACCCTCTGAGAGACTCTGTACAACACACTTTAGAATTGTTCCGCAGAAAGGCAACGATGTTGGAGTATTTGTCTGCCTATTCTGGTAGGTCCAGAATTCCAGTGGTTGAGGGTTGCTCCCCAGGACATCAACTCTCTGGCTATTCAACCCTGCCCAGGTGGGTGAGCCACCTCCAGCCACCAAAGAAAGCCCTGGGGCAGAGGACTGTGAATGCTTGAGGCGTGAAACCACCAGTGTGTACAAGAATCCTTCACAAAATCCGTAGGTGACTTTCCAGATGGGCTAAGGGGCATGGGCAGGGTACCAATAGCACCTGTTTTAGAAAGGAAAGTGAGAAGTGTTCATGGAAGCCCTGCAGTCCCACTAGAGGTTTGCTGTTTATTTCTTAGGCAATGAGAAGCTCTCACCAGCTCCGGAATGTGCTGTGGGAAGAGGAGGTGAGATGGGATATAGTGGATCCTGGGTAGAGGCTGTGTGCGCAGCAGGGCCGGGGGAGTGGGAAGATGGACAGGAGGGGACGGCCTTGTGAAAGACCATTGCAGGGTTTGAATGAACAGGATTTGGCAAATGATTGGGTGTGGTGCAGGGGTGGGGTGAATGAGCAGGGGAAAGACAGAATACCAAGAGCATGGTGCATCTCAGCAGGAATGAACATCTCTAGGACATGTCTTATTTAGGAAGCATCAAAAGGGTGAAACTAGCAGGGAACATTATGTGCTGAAGAGACCAGGAAATCTTTTCTGAGCATTAGTCAGTTGGATTTCTCTTGCCTTTAGCTTCCTTAAAAATTATAATAAAGTCAATTTTTATTTATTTTATTATTTATTTATTGAGATGGAGTCTCACTCTGTTGCCCAGGCTGGAGTACAGTGGCACAATCTCAGCTCACTGCAACCTCTGTGTCCTGGGTTCAAGCAATTCTCCTGCCTCAGCTTCCCACGTAGCTGGGACTACAGGCACGTGCCACCACGCCCGGCTAATTTTTGTATTTTTAGTAGAGACGGGGTTTCACCATGTTGGCCAGGCTTGTCTCAAACTCCTGAGCTCAAGTGATCCACCTGCCTCGGCCTCCCAAAGTGCTGGAATTACAGGTGTGAGCCATTGCGCCAGCCCGTCAGTGTCTTTCTCTTCCTGCAGCCACATGACCCTTGGTTAGTCCAGCTCTGTTGACCCTGATGGACTTTTTCCCTGTTTGTTACAAGAATTGGGTCTCTTTGATTCATACCTCCCCATAGACTGGAAACTTCTTAAGGACAGATTATATCTGATTTATCTTCATATCCCCAGTACACAGCATATAATACACCTCAATGGATACTGGATGATGAGAATAATGATGATAGTTTCCATTTATTGGGTGTTTAATCTGTGTCAGACACTGTGGTGAGCCCTTTTCATATATTACTTCATCTCATGATTGGTATTTTAAAATTTCTTGGCCGGGCACAGTGGCTCATGCCTGTAATCCCAGCACTTCGGGAGCCCAAAGTGGGCAGATCACTTGAGGTCAGGAGTTCAAGGCCAGCCTGGCCAACATGATGAAGCCCAATCTCTACTAAAAATACAAAAATTAGCTGGGCGTGGTGGCGGGTGCCTGTAATCCCAGCTGCTCAGGGGGCTGAGGCAGGAGAATCTCTTGAACCTGGGAGGTGGAGGTTGCAGTGAGCCGAGATCATACCACTGCACTCCAGCCTAGGTGACAAAGCAAGACTCCATCTCAAAAAACAACAAAAACAAAAACAAAAAAAAATTCTTTGGTTGTGGGTAACAAAATTAAACTCAAACCAACTTAGGAAAAAATTAAAAAGATGTATAGCACCTAATTGAAAGTTCCATGAATCAGTGTAGCTTTAGGCTTGTCTGGAACCAGGCACTCAAACACTGTTTCAAGGAGCCTTTTTCTCCATCTTTTGGCTTGGCTTTCTTCTGTACTGACTTTGTTTTCAGAAAGATGATCCTTGTACTTAGCAACCCCAGCAGAAAAACAGCATCTTTTCTTCAACACATCCAGCGAGGGGTCCATGACAGACCTTCAGTGCATCAGCTTGGGTGTGTGCACAATTCTGGACCAATCATAAACCAGGGAGATCAGATTTGCTAACTGGCCACACTTAGGTTATATCCCCATCCCTGAAGCCATGGGAAGGGGTCAATCTACCCAAATGTAAAGGAAAATCAGATGCTATATATCTTTGTCCAGACAATGAGAAGAAAGAAACAATAGCTACTTTCTATAATAGGTATCCTTGTTTTCCAGATAAAGAAACTGAGGCACAACAAAAGGAAGTACCTGCCAAACATTATTAGCAGGTGAAAAGGCAGGATTGAATTCAGGTCTCTTTCTCTAGAGCCTGTGCTCCTCCAGGGCAACAGACAGGGTCTTTCTCATTTCTGGGTCCCCTCACTCACGCCCCCAAGATCTTAGCCGACAATTGGTCCTCGATTCCAGTGGTCCTCAAAGTGTGGTCCGTGGACCATGCAAATCAGCTAACTCCTTGTTCCTAGACCACAGTGAGCTAAGTACCAAAATCCTGAGTAAAAAATTAGAAATGTTTTATAGTAATTTGGAATTGCCACAACATGCAAGGGGTGTGACCTGAAAAGATGGGTCTGAGATCGATTGTAGATAATTTGAGAAACACTGCTCTATTCAGTTATACCTAGAAGGAAGGCATGAGCCGTGGGCCTGCAGAGGAAAGCATGGGGTCTCCAATGGATCCACCACAGGGAGGCAGGTGGGCAGACTGCCCATCCCACCAGTCAGATGGTGGTCTTCACTTGGCCAGCCTAGAGAAGTCTTCCTAGGAACCCCACTATTACCATAAGCCACCGCAGCTGATGAGCCTCTCCCATCTCACAAGAAAGGCAGGCAGGGAGGCACAGGCCCAAGCAGCTCCAGCGCCCAAGGGCTCTTGGTTCTAGTCCAGCTGGATACTGGCTGATCCTGCCCAGGGCCTGCAGACACCTGGCACCGTCCT
This sequence comes from Homo sapiens, assembly GCF_000001405.40. Classification (NCBI taxonomy): domain Eukaryota; kingdom Metazoa; phylum Chordata; class Mammalia; order Primates; family Hominidae; genus Homo; species Homo sapiens. The sequence goes on from NC_000001.11 coordinate 43,021,767, forward strand.
CCTGGGCCGCACCCACCCCGTGCTTCCACACTGTGCCCAGAGGGAAGATGATGGCTGACACAGACTCGGTGGAAAAGCCACCCCAAAACCAGAATTTATTTTTAAGCTGAGGTGGAAGGTCAGCTGCAGGGACACGCTGCCACCTCCCTTCTTGACATGAGCCTCCTTGAGTTGGCACCAGGATGTAGCATGGCTCCCACCCTTGCTTCCCCTTTGGTTGGACACTCTCCAATGCCAGGGTCATGCACCAACAGAGCAGCTCCAAGAAAGAGCATTTTCCAAAGCCCAGATGACTCAGAGTGGTGAGTGTGACCGGAGGGGAGGTTCAGCACCCAGCTCAGACCTTTGTTTGGGAGTTAACGATTCCTCCATGCTGATTTCACCTGCCTGTTCTATCGTGCCCAGTGCGGTGAAAACATCCCAGATACTCTGTATTACAAGGCCAGCTCTGCAATTTTGCTGAGTAACTGTAGGCTGCTCACATAATCTTTCTGTAATTCAATGAGATGACTGCATTTGGAAAAGGTTGGAGCACCCACATCACAAGCCGATTCTGGGGGCGAACTGAGGTAATGCTGTAAAGCACCTCCTATGCACAGACCCATGGAGCATGGGAGTGGATATGAAGATGCTCCCTCACCCCTTCCAGGAAGCTGGTAGCTGACAAGGACTCAGGCTCAGTCACTTCCAGCTGTGTGACCATGCGTAGGTTTCTCAGCTTCCCTGAGCCTTGATCATCTCATTTATAAAGAACAAAATACCCAACTGGAAAGGCTGGCGGTAGGAGTAAATGCAACTGAATATGCAGAAGAGCGTGGCACACAGTAGGTACTCACTGTATGCTCATTCATTTCACACATATTTATTGTTAATGCTAGGGACTAGGTCAACTAGGTCAGGCATTGAGGCTACTATGGTGAGCAAAGAAAGACATACCCTGTCTCTTCCCTAGGAATTTAGTAAAGGAAGTGAATTGTGAGTGAAACAGATAGGCACACAGATAATCAAATCACAGCTGTGGCACCCACTACAAAGGTGAGGTGCTAAGTGCTAAGTGAAGATGGGACAAGACGTTCAACTCACTTAGTGAAGTCAGGAAGGGCTTCTCTGAGGCAGTGATAATTGAGCCAAGGTCTGAAGCATGAATGGGAAAGCATTCAGGATGAGGAACAACATGTGCCAAGCCCTGTGATGGGGAATCCTAGTTAGTTAAAGGGACTGAAAAGAGGCCAGTGTGGTAAGAGCCCAGAGAGCAAGGTGGGGATGGGGTAAGGGAGGGCTGGAGAGGAGAGGAGAGGCCAGACCTCACAAGCCCTATAGGCCATGCTATGGATTTCAGTCTTAGTCCATATTTTATAATAAATGCGGGTGAGGATTACATGATCATACTTGCCTTCCAAATAGATCCCTCTGGCTGCAGCTTGGAGGTGAAGTGTGTGCACCAACATAATACAGTTAGCTGTTAGGAGACCACTGCTATGCTGCAGATGAGTGATTAAGGAGTTTGAGGCTAAGGTGGTGATGATGGAGATGGAGAGGAGGGGATGGAGGCAGCTGTGTAGGTGAAGTGGAAGGCGCTTTGTGCAGCATTGCCTAAGTGTGTCAGGAACAATTCCTGGTGGTACTACTGGAGCAGAAGTAGGTTTGGGGATAAGCCTATCAGTCTGGTTTTGAACAGATTGAATTTAGGATATTTCTGAGACATCTGAGAGACAATGACCATTTCCCATCAGGTTTGGTGAGAGGTAGCCCACTGGTACCATTTTAAAATAAAGACATTTTAAAAATATGGAACACATCACAAATTTGTGTGTCATCCTTGAGCAGCTGTATCATTCCAATTTCAATGTATGTGCTACTGAAGCAAGCACACCACTGGTACCTTTATCAAGGGTATTTTTAGTGAGTGATGGAGCAAGAAGCTTGTACATGGGAACAAGGACATTTGTGAGTGATGGAGATGTTCATTACCTTTATTATAGTGAGGGTTTCCCAGGTGTATACATATGGCAAAACTCATCAAATAGTACACTTTCAGTATGTGCAGTTCATTGTACATCACTTTTGCCTCCCTAGAGCTGTCAGAAAAGACGAGTGGGAGGTAAGGACATGGAGACAGTGCAGACGGCCCCTGCCTCTGCAGTGGAGATGAGAAACAGAGAGTGAGTGGTTGCTGAGGGAGATGAGAAGGCGACAGAGGTGGCATTTGTTTTTGGTTAAGAAGGTGATTTGGGCTGGGCACGGTGGCCCATGCCTGTAATGCCAGCACTTTGGGAGGCTGAGGCGGGCAGATCACCTGAGGTTAGGAGTTCAAGACCAGCCTTGCCAATATGGCAAAACCCCATCTCTACTAAAAATGCAAAAATTAGCCAGGCATGGTGGTGGGTACCTGTAATCCCAGCTACCCGGGAGGCTGAGGCAGGAGAATTGCTTGAACCCCGGAGGCGGAGGTTGCAGTGAGCTGAGATCGCACCATTGCACGCCAGCCTGGGCAACAGAGTAAGACTCCATTTCAAAAAAAAAAAAAATGTAATTTGACTGTGTATAAAGGCTAGCTGAAAGGATCTTATCTAGAAGTAGAGACAGAAAATCCAAGAGAAGAAGGGATAATAAGAAACATAGGTTCCTGAGGAAAGGGAAAGGGAGGGCACCAGAATCCAGGTGGAGGGTTGGCTTTAGATGAGAGCGACAGCTTCCATGTTGAAACAGAGGAAAAGAGAAGAGGGTAGATGTAGGGGTGTGTGCATGTCTCTGAATGTCTGCATGTGTATGTGTTCACATGCATGTGTGTGCACGCAGGTGTGTGTGCGTGTGTGTGTGTGTGTCAATGGGAGAAGACAAGGGGTGGCATCTTCTTTCTCTGTTAAGTAGAAGGTGGTGTCATCTCTAAGAATAACGGCAGAGGGGTACAGGTTTGAGGAGTGGTGAAGTTTTTTAAGATGCCAATGGATAGTGGTTGATTACTGAGCAGTGTCCAAGGCCCATTCGAAGTGAGGGTCCTGGAGCTATGGGGAAGCCTCTGGCTGTGGTGGGACTGTCTCAGCAGCATTTGGCTTGCCAGGGACAGGCATGGGAGGATGCAGAAGGGGGGGAGTTTGCTTGACCAGTGAGATGAAGACACAGGGAAGAGAACTCATAGCATTGAAAAGACCGTTACTGAGACACTGCACCTCCACGCTGAGCTGTGATAAGGAAGGACATGAGGAAGAAGAGGGTGATGGGCTGGAAGAAAGTAGAGGGCCAGTGGCTGGAGGGGCCTGTGTCGTCAGAGAGCACAAGCGGAGGGATTCATGCAGTTGGTGAGTGGGAAGAGGAGAGGCTGTGGGCAGCTGGCGAGGTGTGGGAGTTAGAGTTTTAGAGCTGGAGTGGTTCTGGCTGTCAGCAGGGTCCACGGTGATGCTGTGGGAGGTGACTGATGACCAATGGGAGAATGAGTGAATCGATTTGTGTGGTCACCTGAGCCATTTTCTTTCTCCAGTTAGCCCAGCAGCCTGTCTGTTTCTCATCCTTTGGTTTACAGCAACTTTGCCCCCAACTCCACGACTTCCTCAGTCTTCTTGTTTTTTTGAGACAGGGTCTCAGCTGGAGTGCAGTGGTGTGAATATGGCTCACTGCAGCCTCGATCTCCTGGGCTCCAGCGATCCTCCCACCTCAGCCTCCCAAGCAGCTGGGGCCACAGGCACACAACACTACGCTTGGTTAATTTTCTAATTTTTTGACGGGGTCTCACTTTGTTGTTCAGGCAGTTCCCGAACTCATGGGCTCAAGCGATCCTCCTGTCTCAGCCTCCTGAAGTGCTGGGATTAGAGGAGTGAACCACCACAGCCAGCCTCTCAGCCTTCTTTCATGTTTTAGCTCAAAACGTCCCTTCTACTGAAAAGCTTTTCCTGAATGCCAAGGGGGTACTTGTGCAAACTAAGCCTCCTCTGATGTGGAGACTCTGCCACCGTCAACACCTGCCACCACGCCTCTTATTCCATGCTCTCCCCATCTGGGTTTCTGTGTGTCCCATCCCCTTATAATTTTTGTTAGTTTTCTTAAGTGGTGACTTGCATCTGCTGGGTGCTCATCAGGCGTCCACTCTGTGCCTTCACATACATTTCCCCATTCTGTCCTCACAGTAATTTTATGAGAAAGTGGCACTGTCATACCCTGTCTCAGATGAAGAAGTTAAGATTGCAGGAGGGTAAGTGACTTGCTCGGAGTGGTATAACCCGGAGTGGTTTTGCTCATCTTTGCATCGCCAACCCCAGAGCAGAAAGGGCGATGGGTGAACCACTCAGTCATTCTGTCTGGTTCTCAACTCCTCACCCTGCCTAAGTTCAGCCGCCTGATACACACTGGATCCTCAGCAGTGGGGTGCACATGGTCCTCACTTCCCCAGAAGCACAGAATCAGGCACAGCAGAGCCCTCTCAGGTGAGCTAGTCCCATTGCCTGGTTCTTGAGACTCCTGTTAAGGACTGAGTGTTTGTGTCCCTCTTAAATTCACTGGAAGCCATAACACCCAATGTGATAGTATTTGGAAACGGAGCTTTGGGGAGATAATTAGGGTTAGATAAAATGGAGAAGTTGTGATGAGATTAGTGACCTTACAAAAAGGGAGAACAGGCCGGGTGCGGTGGCTCAGGCCTGTAATCCCAGCACTTTGGGAGGTCGAGGTGGGTGGATCACGTGAGGTCCGGAGTCGAGACCAGCCTGACCAACATGGAGAAACCCCATCTCTAGTAAAAATACCAAATTAAATGGGCGTGGTGGCACATGCCTGTAATCCCAGCTACTTGGGAGGCTGAGGCAGGAGAATCACTTGAACCCAGGAGGCAGAGGTTGCAGTGAGCTAAGATCACGCCATTGCACTCCAGCCTGGGCAATAAGAGTGAAACTCTGTCTCAAAAAAAATTTTAAAAAGGGAGACCAGACCAGGCGCAGTGGCTCACGCCTGTAATCCCAGCACTTTGGGAGGCCGAGGCAGGTGGATCACTTGAGGTTAGGAATTTGAGACCAGCCTGGCCAACATAGTGAAACCAGGTCTCTAATAAAAATACAAAAATTAGGCTGGGCACGGTGGCTCACGCCTGTAATCCCAGCACTTTGGGAGGCCGAGGCAGGCAGATCAGGAGGTCAGGAGATCGAGACCATCCTGGCTAACACTGTGAAACCCCGTCTCTACTAAAAATACAAAAAAATTAGCTGGGCATGGTGGCAGGTGCCTGTAGTCCCAGCTACTCAGGAGGCTGAGGCAGGAGAATGGCGTGACCCGGGAGGCGGAGCTTGCAGTGAGCCGAGATTACGCCACTGCACTCCAGCCTGGGCGACAGAGCGAGACTCCATCTCAAATAAATAAATAAATAAATAAAAAATAAAAATACAAAAATTAGCCAGGTGTGGTGGTGTGTGACTGTAATCCCAGCTACCTGGGAGACTGAAGCAGAGAACCACCTGAACCCAGGAGGTGGAGGTTGCAATGAGCAGAGATCGTGCCACTGCACTCCAGCCTGGGCGACAGAATGAGATTCTGTCTCTAAATAAATAAATAATAAAAAGGGAGACCAGAGACCTGGTTTTCTATCCCTCCGTGCTCACATACCAAGGAAACATGTGAGGACATCGTGAGAAGGTGGCTTTTGCAAGCAGGAATAGAGCCCTCACCAGAAATGGAATCAGTTGGTACCTTGATCTTGGAATTCCCAATCTTCAGAGCTGTGAGAAATAAATTTCTGTTGTTTAAGTCGGCCAGGCTATGGTATCTTGTCATGGCAGCCCCTAACTAATACAGCCCCTCTTCTGTATTTTCTTTTCTTTTCTTTTCCTTTCTTTTTTTTTTTTTTTTTTTTTTTGAGACAGAGTCTCACTTCGTCAACCAGGCTGGAGTGCAGTGGTGTGATCTCAGCTCACTGAAACCTCTGCCTCCCCAGTTCAAGCGATTCCCCTGCCTCAGTATAATTCCCGAGTAGCTGGAATTACAGGTGTGCACCACCACGCCCAGCTATATATTTTTTTTTATTAGTAGAGACGAGTTTTCACATGTTGGCCAGGCTGGTCTTGAACTCTTGACTTCAAGTGATCCACCCACCTTGGCCTCCCAAAGTGCTGGGATTACAGGCGTGAGCCACCGCGCCCAGCCTGTAACTTCTCAAAGGGGTCATACCTCCTTTGCCCCATGATGGGGAGCTTACAAACTCCCCAAAGCGCCTGTCCACTTTGGAAGAAGAGCTCTGTTAGCAAATTCTTCCTCCTTTGGGGCAGAAACCTGCCCGCTGAAACTTCCACACAACAGTCCCAGCTGTCTTCAAGATTCGCACAGAACAAGACCACGCTGTCTTCCCCGTGCCCCTTCAGGTGTTTTCAGGCAGAGATCACAACCATCTACCCATTTTAGGTTCCACAAGGACAGAGGCTATGTCCGTTTGGTTTATTTCCGAGTCACCGGCACCTTGCACAATAGTTGCCCCAGAGGAGAAGCCTTACACTTGTCTGTTGGTTGAATGAACAAAACTATAATACTTTTCTCTGGGTTAAATATTTCTAGTTCCTTTAACTGTACCTCCAAGACTTTGGTTTTGAGCCATTCTCCGTTATCTCCCATATTTCTATGCTCATTCTTCGGAGATAGAATTTTTACTCCTGTAAAAGAATGAAGTTTTTATTCTTATGGCTTGATGGATTGTCAAACACTCCTCCTACGTCTTCCTTTCTGCTGCTCTGACTTCTTTGTCTTTCCACAGTGACACAGACTCCCTGCTAGAAGACAATGAATGTTGTAAAAAGCAAGAAAAGGGAAAGAAGGCCAGGGGCAGTAGCAGGCGCCTGCAATCCCAGCACTTTGGGAGGCCGAGGAAGATGGATCACCTGAGCTCAGGAGTTTGAGACCAGCCTGGCCAACATGGCAAAACCCCATCTCTACTAAAAATACAAAAAATTAGTCCAGTGTGGTGGCAGGCGTCTGTAATCCCAGCTACTCGGGAGGCTGAGGTGGCAGAATCGCTTGAACCCTGGAGGCAGTGGTTGCAGTGAGCCGAGATCACGCCATTGCACTCCAACCTGGGCGACAAGAGTGAAATTCCATCTCTTAAAAAAAAAAAAGGAAAGAAAAGTTGACACTTTTTGCGTTCACAAATGCTACCCCAAAGATGCACCGTGGTGTTCAGAGGAGGCTAACCAAGGACCGGAGGAGAGGCGAGGTGGTGTGGCTGTTCAGGATCAGAGCACTGGAACCCAGCAGGACCGTGTGCCTATCTCAGTTCCACCATGCCAGAGCCGTGTGACCTGGGGCAGGTAGCAACGTCTCTGAGCCTCAGTCTCCTCACCCCCTCATCCCTCCACCTCACAGGTGAAGAGTAACCCTGAGACACTGCCCTTAGCAATGTGCCTCCCACGAAACACCCTGGAGCATTGATGGTGATGATGAAGGGGTGGAGGGAGGTGGTGGGTCCTACAGTAGAAGGGTGAAGGCATCTCAGCCAGAAGGAGCTGGGTTCAAGTGCTAGCTCACCCCCTGTCTGGCTGGGTCCCCTTAGACGAGTAACTTTACTTCTCCAAGCCTCTCGCTCCTCATCCGGGAAAATAGAGACGATGATACCTTCCTCACAAAGTGGTTGGGAGGATTCACTGAATGGGTGGCATGAAAGTCCCCAGCACGGTGACATCTCCCTCAGCAGATGTTTCTGCTCTGTCCCTTCACATGTGGCATGAGCTCCTGTGTCTCCCTGTCAACGAGTCATTCGGAAGGAAAGGCTGGTTACTTTGAATAGACGCATAGCTCACTACTGAGGAGAAGTCCTCACCAAGGACTGTTGGAAAGAAGACCTGTGTGTATTCATGCTCGAGTCCAGACCCCAATCTGAACCCATTTGAAGTGCCTCCCTCCCTCCTGCCCCTCCTCCCTGTCCTCCTCCTCCTTTTTCTTCTTCACAGTGATGTTGTTCTGGACCCACTGAACTTGCTGCTGGACAGCACTTAGAATGGTGCCCTAATGCCTGGCACATAGTAGATACTTGAATATTTATTAAGTGAATAAATAAATGCTATAGAATAAAACTCAGTCCTTTTTTTAACTGGTGGAGCTAAGTCATTATTTCCTGCATTTGTGAATATTTTAAAATTACAAAATAAATTTATATTGATTCTAGAAAAATAATTAGAAAATACAGTTGATTAAAAAGAAAAAATAACAGTTCCATGCAATCCCATTGTCCAGCCTTAACCACTGGTGTTAATTTGCTCTACAGGTCCTTCCAGGCATTCTTCTATGCAAATACATTTAAATATTAATCAAGCATGTTGTTTGGTAACTGGCTTTATTTTTCTTTTCACTTAGTCATATTCTGAATGTCTCTTTATTCATTGAATATTCTTCTAAATCATTTTTAGATTTTTAATATTTGTATGGTGTCCTATCATATGAATGTCAAATGAGCAAATCTCTAATGTTGGACATTTAGGTTATTTCCAGTTTTCTTCAAATGTTTTTTCTTTTTCTTTTTCTTTTTTGAGACGGAGTCTCGCACTGTCGCCCAGGCTGGTGTGCAGTGGTGTGATCTTGGTTCGCTGCAACCTCCACTTCCCGGGTTCAAGCGATTCTCCTGCCTCAGCCTGCCAAGTAGCTGGGATTACAGGCACGTGCCACCACGCCCGGCTAATTTTCGTATTTTTAGTAGAGACGGGGTTTCACTATGTTGGCCAGGCTGGTCTCGAACTCCTGACCTCGTGATCTGCCCACCTCAGCCTCCCAAAGTGCTGGGATTACAGATGTGAGCCATCACACCTGGCTTCTTTTCTTTTTTTTTTTTTCTTTCTTTTTTTTTTTAAGACAGGGTCTCACTCTGTCACCAAGGCTGAGTGCACTGGTGCAATCTCAGCTCACTGCAACCTCCGCCTCCTGGGCTCAAGCCATCCTCCCGCCTCAGCCTCCCAAGTAGCTGGGACTACAGGTGTAGGCCACCATGCTTGGCTAATTTTTGTATTTTTGATGGTAGAGACAGGGTTTTGCCATGTTGGCCAGGCTGGTCTCAAATTCCTGCGCCCAAGCGATCTGCCTGCCATGGCCTCCCAAATTGCTGTGATTATAGGCATGAGCCACCACACCTGGCCTCTTCAAATGTTTTTATGGTGCTTGCCATCACACTGTTTGAGTGCTTTACCGATGTTAACTCATTTAATCTCTCCTAAAACCTTATGAATTGGGTACTATTACTGTCTCCATTTTATAAATTGGGAAATTTCTTTTTTTTTTTTTGAGATGGAGTCTTGCTCTGCCACCCCGGCTGGAGTGCAGTGGCACCATCTCCGCTCACTGCAAGCTCCGCCTCCCAGGTTCACACCATTCTCCTGCCTCAGCCTCCTGAGTAGCTGGGACTACAGGTGCCCACCACCACGCCTGGCTAATTTTTTGTATTTTGAGTAGAGACGGGGTTTCACCATGTTAGCCAGGATGGTCTCGATCTCCTAACCTTGTGATCCGCCCGCCTCGGCCTCTCAAAGTGCTGGGATTACAGGCGTGAGCCACCGCGCCCAGCAAAATTGGGAAATTTCAACACAGAAGTAGTACGTGACTTGTCAAAGGTCACACAGCTAGTGAGTTAAGTGGTGGGGCCTGATTAACATCCAGGCAGACAAGGATTCCAAGTCTGTGGGCTTAACCCCTACACTCTACTGTTTCTCAATGCTCAAATGAACATACCAGCAGCTAAATCTCTGTACATATTTTTAGTTGTTTCTTTGCTATAAGTGCCTAGATGTGAAATGACTGGACCAATGGGTATGCATATTTTACAGTTTTTAATGCAAGCTGTTCCAAACTGTGTTGCTGGGTTTTGAATGTGTCAATTCTGACTGTCTCCTACCTTCGTTGGTCATAGCTTCCTGGTCTAGCAATCTAGGAATGCGGCAAAATTCTCCAAGCACTCTGAGGGTGTGTCCTCCTGCACCCGGGGCCTGTCTGTTTTCTCCTTGGGGAAGTCTTCATGGTCTCCATGTCAGCAGCTCCCTCCTTTAATGCTCATGTCCCCTGCTATGGCCCTGACTGTGCTGGACTGCAGCAGTATGTGTTGAGCTCTGTGAGTTCCTGGAGGTGGGGCCTTTGACTGAGGCCATTTGTGTACTCATTGCCTAGTGTGGGACTTGGTGTGCCTGGCAGCAGTGTCTGATCACCTCTGTTAAGTATACGAATGAGTGGAGTGCACATGTGGGGACAATTGGTACAGAGCATCTGACATTGGAATGGTTCTCAGCATTCCAGGCCACTGTTTTTTTTTTTTTTTTTTTTTGGAATAAAGTTTCGCTCTTGTTGCCCAGGCTGGAGCGCAATGGCGCGATCTCGGCTCACGGCAACCTCTGCCTCCCGGGTTCAAGTGATTCTCCTGCCTCAGCCTCCTGAGTAGCTGGGATTACAGGCGCCGCCACCATGCCCGGCTAATTTTTGCATATTTAGTAGAGACAGGGTTTCACCATGTTGACCAGGCTGGTCTTGAACTTCTGACCTCAGGTGATCCACCCGCCTCGGCCTCCCAAAGTGCTGGGATTACAGGCGTGAGCCACCATGCCCAGCCACTAGGCCACTGTTTTATCTCTAACACTCCATCTGGTACCTGGCCCATTGTAATATGCACTCAAAAATATAATTTGACGGAGAACACAAATAAGCACTTATTGAATGAAGGAGTGCCTAGAAGCCTACTTTTATTCTTCCTCTAGTACCTATGTTCCATCATTTTTCTTATTTAAAAAAATTGGAAAATATAAAAAAGTATGAAGAAAAAAACAAAATGCATCCAATTCAATCACTCATCAATAACCACAGAAACATTTTGACAGACATTCTCCCTGGCTTTTCTCTGCACATAAAAACAGACGCACATTTTTTTTCTTTTTCATTTTTTCTTTTTAGAGATGGAGTATTGACGGGGCGTGGTAGCTCATGCCTGTAATCCCAGCACTTTGGGAGGCCGAGGCAGGAGAATCGCTTGAACCCGGGAGGCGGAGGTTGCAGTGAGCTGAGATCATGCCACTGCACTCCAGCCTGGGCAACAAGAGTAAAACTCCATCTCAAAAATAATTAAAAAAATAAAAATAAAAATAAAAAGTAGAGATGGAGTCTTGCTGTGTTGCCCAGGCTGGTCTCAAACTCCTGGGCTCAAGCAATCCTCCTGCCTCAGCCTCCCAAAGTGCTGGGATTATAAGGGTAAGCCACTGCATCCAGTCTCAGATGCACATTTTAAAAGCAGAACTGCCATCCTACTGCTAATTCTACTTGGCCTGCTTTTCTCGTTCAAGACAGCAGGAGCTGGATACAGTGGCTCATGCCTGTAATCTCAGCACTTTGGGAGGCCAAGGCAGGAGGATTGTTTAAGACCAGGAGTTCGAGACCAGCCTGGACAACAAAGCAAGACCCCCCATTTCTACAAAAATATTAAGAAATGTACCAGGTGTGGTGGTGCATGCCTGTAGTCCCAGCTACTCAGGAGGCTGAGGCAGGAGGATCACTTGAGCCCAGGTGTTCAAGATTATAGTGAGCTGTGATCATACCACTGCATTCCAGCTTGGACTACAGAGTGAGACCCTGTCTCTAAAACAACAAAAACCTCTTTATGGAGTTTTTGAGATTATGTAAGTTAATATATTTAAAATGCTGGCTAGGCATGGTGGCTCACACCTCTAATCCCAGCACTTTGGGAGGCTGAGGTGGGAGGATTCCTTGAGTCCAGGGGTTCGAAACCAACCCGGGCAACAAAGCAAGACCCTGTCTCTATAAAAAAATAAAAAATTAGCCAGGCGTGGTAGTACGCACCTGTAGTACCAGCCATTCAGGAGGCTGAGGTAGGAAGATTGCTCGAGCCCAGGAGACTGAGGCTGTAATGAACCATGATTATGCCACTGAACTGAAGCTTAGGCAACAGGGTGAGACCCTGTCTCAAAGAAAAAATCCTGAGCACAGAGAATGCCCAAATGTCATACATAATCAACAAACACAAGCTAATGTTATTATTATTAAATGTAAGGAAGGTATTTTAAGCCCCAGTTTACAGATGAAGAATCATATAACAAATAGCTATTTATTATATGATTGTGACTTGTCCATTGACACAAATTTAAGACAGTCTAAACTCTGGCTCCAAAGGAAACTAGAATTTGTTAAGTATCTATAATATAACATGCATTGTATATTGTATATGTATAGGCATTTTACATGTTTTTGGATAATGTCATCTTTGGCATCATTTAGGGTCTGGTAACATGGCACACAGAATATCCTAAATCATAATATTGCATGAATTTTATTATTCTTGTTTAGTGGAAAAAAATTGAGATCCACAGAAGCTAAGAGACTTGCCCACGTTCATACAATTAGCAAACAACAGGGCTGGGACTGGAACCTTGGACCATTGTGGTCACCTGTTTCTCGAGCAAGCCTCAGAGAAGTGAAGTGGCTTGTTAAGGTGTTGCCACAGCTTCTACTCTGCTATCCCACCTCTCCAAACAGTCTTGTGGAATTTTCCAGGATTCTGGGGCTGGAAGCCACCTCTGTGGTCATTAGATGTTTGGCAAAGATGACCAGGACAGCAACATCCTGACTGTCAAAAGGTCACACTGAGTACCCAGAAGGCCAAGTAGGTGAAATGCAAGAATCCCAAGCTGGAGCTCAAAGTCTCTCTCTCTGCCTGTCTTCCCCCCACCCCGCCCCGCTTCCCTCCCTTCCCTTTCCTTCTTCCTTTAGCCCAACAGGAAGGAGTTGTTGCTGTTTGCTTCAGGAAGCAGCTCATACAAAGAGACAGTTCCACACCTTACCACGGCCCCTCCTTTCCCCTCCCTTCCACATAGTGAAAGTAGGAGGAATAATGATTAATCAGGACAGTACTTCCTGAGTGTTTATTATTATGTGCTAAGGACTTTTCATAGGTTGCTCCCCAAGTGAATCTTCACAACAGCCTTTAAGGTTGGCAGCTACTGTTGTTCCTATTCTACAGAAGAGACTGAGGTTCAGAATGGATGAGTAGTTTACTTAAAGTCTTACAGAGAAGGGGAACTAAACTGGACTCCAGTCTGTCTGATTAAAGAGCCCTTGATCTTAATCATTATCACAGACTGCAAAGTAAATGTTAGTACCAGGGACACCGTGGGCAGAGGGACCTGGAATGATATGGCTTCAGGAGGAGTGTAGTTGGAGGGAAGAAAGAGTACGGAAGTCACATCTGAGATGTGGTTCTGGGTTGTGTCTTGTCCCTGGTTTCCTGTATGACTTTGGGCAGATTATTTCACCTCTCTGTGCCTTGAGAGACTTCGTTTGTGCAACAGGGATGAGGCTAAGAGGCCCCACAGCCAACTCTGGGCCATGCGAAGTGTGAGGATGGCAGCAGGAGGAAAATAGGCAGGAGGGTAGGGGCTCTGAGTACTGAGGGAGCTCTCAGGACCCACCTGGGCCCTGCTGCTAGTTCTATGGCCTTAACTCTCTGTTAAGAGCATTTATCTAAAGGGAAGGTCATCTCTACCAAAGTTGCAATAAAAACAACTCTGAGGGAAAAAAGTATATATGAAATATTTATTTTTTCTTTTTCTTTTTCAGATGGGGTCTCACTCTGTCACCTGGGCTGGAGGGCAGTGGTGCAGTCTTGGCTGACTGCAGCCTTGACCTCCTCAGCTCAAGCAATCCTCCCACCTCAACCTCCTGAGTAGCTGGGATTACAGGTGCACATCACCACGCCCAGCTATTTTTTGTATTTTTAGTAGAGACAGGGTTTCACCATGTTGGCCAGGCTGGTCTCAAACTCCCAACCTCAGGTGATCCACCCGCCTTGGCCTCTCAAAGTGCTGGGATTACAGGCAGGAGCCACTGCACCTGGCCTTGAAATATTTCTTTAGGAAAGAAAAAGAGTACTGAAATCCAGCTCAGAAGATCTGGGCCTTAGTCTGGACATAACGATTATGATTACCAAGGGTATAAGTCAAGGCTCAGCCTGACCCCAGCTTGAGTTGGGCTCTGGACCCAGTTCCATTTCTCCTCTGGCCTCAGTCCTGTAATCTGTAAGCTGAAGGTATTTTTTTACAGTCTTTCAACATACTTGCCCTGAACACCTCTGTGATCACTAAGCCCTGTCTCTACCTCAGTTCTTCTCCTCATGCCCCTCTGGGCCTGCCTGGTTCTCCAGGTTTCCAGGTCCAGGCCTCGGTGAGGACACATGGATGGAGGCCCAGGTGGGCAGAGGACGGGAAAGGGGCACAATGCCACCGGACAGACTGCTCCCACCCTGGCCCCTAGGTCCCCCCGGCCCTACTCCAAGTGGCGTGGGGGCCTGGCCTGAGATCAGAGGTCCACCCGCGTCAGCCCGGCCCCTGCTCGCGTCAGGAGGCGCCTTCTCAGTGCAGAACAATGCCGGCTCTTTGAAGGGCTGGGCAGCAGGGGATGGGTGTTTCTCCAAACACAGGGCCTCCTTTGCAAAACAGGCTTTGATTCCCAGGCCCGGAGGCCCCAGGTGCCTGTTGGGCGGCAGGCGGAGGCTGGGGGCTTTGTTTGGCAGGAAGAGGGGCCTCGAAGACTCAGGAACAAAGCCTGGGACAGAGCTGGACAAGGCTACAGCCCAGCCTTGGGCAGGCGGGTCAGGGCTGAGATGCCAGTGGGGGCGCGGCTCCGCATGTATCAGCCCCCACCCCCTCCTCAGTCTGGCCCACTCAGGGTGGCCCTGGACTCCTCTCTCCGTGGATCCTGGCTCTCTCACTTATGCAGCAGGAACTGTTGGATTTCCAGGCTGTCATGATGGTCCACAGGCTCCACAAATCCCTGCTTGGGGATGAAGTGAATAAAACTGGAGTCCAGGACTTTGGATCCAGGCGGCAGGGAGGAAGGAGGCCTGAACGAGAATCCACCAGCCTGTGCTCTGGGCTTAGGTCACTAAGAGGAATGAAGGCTGCCACTTTCTGCCAAATACCATGCTCATTACTTTACACACACGTGTCTCTGATTTAATCCTCATTTTCCCAGGCAACAATGATCTGCAGGGCACCCTAGGTCCTTTCTGGACTCATCTCATATACTCTCCCCTTTACTCACTGCTGTCAGCCACCCCGGCCTCCTCACAGCAAAGACTCAAGTTTGCGGAAAGACTGAGGCAGCCTCAACACTGCAACATAGAAACTCTGCGTGAGTTGTGCACCTGCTGGCTTGCCCTGTCGCCTTCAGACTCAAGGCTGCAACATTGAGTCTTACCTGAATTTCCAGCCTTCAGACCTACCCTACAGGCTTCAGACTTGCCAGCCCTGATGATCACATGAGCCAACTTCACACACACACACACACACACGCACGCACAAACATACACACATACATGCACACAGACATACACACGCACGTACACATAAACACGCACACACACATGCGCACACACATGCACACACACATACAGACACACATGCACACACATACACATGCACACACACACATACATGCACACACGCACACACACATACACACACAGAGCTCCTGCTGATTTCATTTCTCTGGAAAACTTTGATGAATAAAGTCCTCAAGAATACTAGAGTTGAGCTGCATGAAGTTGCTGTTTCTGTCAGTAAAAAGTGGTTGAATATTGGCAATTGCATGTGATCGAACCTAATATTTGCAGAATGAGTAAGTGAAGGAACTGCAAAGCAGTCATGAGGTAGGTGTTATCTTACCAATTAGGAAACCAAGACTCAGAGAGGGGAAGCCACTTGCCGAAAAAGGTGCAGCGAATGCATGGTAGAGCTGAGATTCAAACTTCAGACTGACTTCAAACAAATATAGCAGTGTCTGCCTTTTTACATTAACCAACCATGGGAGTCCCCAAGCAGAGTATATCACATTTGTGGGCCTCAGTTTGAGAACTCAATGAAATAGTAGTCCCAAATCTGACACGTCTAAATGCTTTCCAACTGCAAGCTCTGAGCTGCCAGGAATATGGCTGTGCCAGCCTCAACTCCTTCTTCTAAGGCACATCTTAGAGCTGCTGGTGACTTTCTTGGACCCAGGGTTTCTGCACAGCTAGCTGGTGACACGCCTGGCCTCCATCTCTCAGGGGGTCCTGAAGGGAGGATGACAGTCTGACAGAAGGGCATTGCCGCGCATCTCACCAGAGACTGGAGGCACGTGGGAGGAAGGTGTGAGCCGCACTAGAGTGTGGTAGCGAAGGTGGCGTTGGGGCTGGCAGACTTATCTTTGCCACTCAGTGTCCAGGTTATTTGTCCACTTATTTAACGTATCTGAGTTTCAGGCTCCCCACATGTAAAATGGGATAATAATGCCCTACTCCTGGATTATTTTGAAAACTAAATGAGATAATGTGCACAAAATACTTCAAATCTGGGCTGGGTGCGGTGGCTCATGCCTGTAATCCCAGCACTTTGGGAGGCTGAGGTGGGCAGATCACCTGAGGTCGGGAGTTCAAGACTAGCCTGACCAACATGGAGAAACCCCGTCTCTACTGAAAATACAAAATTAGCCAAGTGTGCTGGTGCATGCCTGTAATCCCAGCTACTCGGGAGGCTGAGTCAGGAGAATTGCTTGAACCCGGGAGGCAGAGGTTTCGGTGAGCCAAGATCGTACCACTGTACTCCAGCCTGGGCAACAAGAGCAAAACTCCGTCTCAAAAAAAAAAAAAAAGTACTTTGAATCTGGAGTGCTCAATAAATGGTAGTAGATAGTATGATTACTTTTAGCAAATAGTAACACCACAAAGTTTTTGGTTATTACAGGCGGCAAAGAAAAGAAGGCAACACTGTTTATCTTGGGGCCCTGATTACATCTCTTGGTCCTGTCCAGGATTCTCTCACCCTTAACACAAACCCTTAGAAGAGGATCTGACTGTAGTCGTAGACAGGCTTTACTGCAGTGAGTTTATAGCATTCTGGGGGATGTTCCTTTGTTTAGATCTGAGCTTTCATTCTGGCCCTAAAGCCTTTGGCTGCTGTTAAAAAAAAATGCCACTATTTCAGTCTGTTGGAAATGACACAACCACAGCCCATAATTATAATACTTTGCATTTTTTATGTAGAGTGGTGTTTATGCTAAAACCATATGGGAGGTTTGCTAGTGACAGGTGCTCTCATTCCAATTTTAAATGGATGGAGATCCAGCCCTAGAGGGGAGACACAGTTTGTCAAAGTTGCGGGTGGCAAATCCAGGCTACACGCTCCCTGCATGCTCCACTCTCCCCCTGTCCTGTGAAAACAGTCTCTCTCTGGACTGTATGATTTCCAAAGTGGGGACGCAAGACAGTCCTCTGATCTTTAGGAAAAACCCCTCTTTGTTTGTTTGTTTGTTTGTTTGTTTTTAAATAACAAAAGTAATTACATCTTATTACTGTTTAATATGGAGATAAACAAACCTAAAATTTAAAAAGAAAATGTACCCATATAGAAGCTGCATAACTCTGATTATTTTTAACCAGTAATGGTATGAGATCAAAGAGGTTTGGAGACCCAGCTCTGGGGGACCATCCTGAACTTCGGCTTTCAGGATGATTTCCTTCCTGCTCTGGGGCTCAGCTCGGGCCGGTCCCTGCGGGGGGCCAATGGGACCAACAGCGTCGTCTTTCAGACGTTGGTGGATCCTCAGCCTCATCAGAATTGTCCACTCTGCCCGGCTCCCAGATTGTCCGGCTCACACTGGCCTAGGAGGTTATCAGTACTGGAGCCTCCAACAGCCTTTCCTGTTACCAAAGTCCAAGTGTCCAAGAAGGCTCCCAAACCTCCTGCCCCTTCCCATCCTGCTGGGTTACAGTCTGTCCTTGGAGAGAGAGTAAACAGAGGAGGTGACAGAGTCAATAAATGTCTCCCGTGTGGCCTTGGCTAGCACATATGCCTTCCTACCAAGAGACACAGGTACATTTGTGCTCGTGGCCCTTCCTATGACACACACGAGAATAAATATTAATAAGACAGGAAATAGTAATAAAAATAAAGAAAAGAACAAAAAGGAAAAGAATGTTTATGGACTCTGAAAGAGGTCTTAAAAAGCTAGTTCTGGGTAATCCAAAGTCCTGCCTCTCAAACCTTGTCATGAGTAGGGGATTTGGGTCAGAGCCAAAGTCATCCAAGAATATGAATTTCTCAGTCACGTACAAATATTTAATGAACATGTGTCATTTAACCCATTAATTAATGAGGGAACTGGTAAGATGTTACAACTGGTTCAAAGGAGAACTTAAAGAACCACATGTATATAGGCTATAAGAATGCTGATGAATTTAGAAATGTTTAGGCCAGGTGCCATTCCTTACGCTTGTAATTCCAGCACTTTGGGAGGCTGAGGCAAGAGGATTGCCTAAGCCCCAGAGTTTGAGACCAGATGGGGCAACATAGTAAGACTCTGTCTCTACAAAATTTTTTTTAAAAATTAGCTAGGCAGTAGCATGCACCTGCAGTCCCAGCTACTTGGGAGGCTGAGGTGGGAGGATCACTTGAGCCTGGGAGGTGAAGGCTGCAGTGAACTGTGATTGCATCATTGCACTCCAGCCTGAGCAACAGAGTGAAACCCTGTCTCAAAAAAAAATTGGAATTTAAAAATTGATCTGTCTTTAGAGTGATACCCAGTGCCGGGCGCAGTTGCTCACGCCTGTAATCCCAGCACTTTGGGAGGCCGAGGCGAGTGGATAATCTGAAGTTGGGAGTTTGAGACCAGCCTGACCAAACATGGAGAAACAAACCCCATCTCTACTAAAAATACAAAATTAGCTGGGTATGGTGACACATGCCTGTAATCCCAGCTACTTGGGGGGCTGAAGCAGGAGAATAGCCTGAACACAGGAGGCAGAGGTTGCGGTGAGGTGAGACTGTGCCATTGCACTCCAGCCTGGGAGACAGAGTGAGACTCCATCTCAAAAAAATAAAAAAAAATAAAAAGAGTGATACCCAGTTGCATTCCCCTGGACACAATTTCCTTGCATTTCTATAGAAAAGAATAATTTGCATTATCAATTTTCCACAACCTAGAGAGTTGCAAAATGTCTCAAGGTTAATAAAATGTGACGATAACCTGGACGAGAACTCCCGACAGGATACCCAGTAATCTTTTACGCCCTCACAAAGTCTTTCTCACAATTTTTCCTGAGACCAGAAATGAGGGTTTGGCCAATACACCCAAAGGTCTTCATGTAAAACTTGACTCTACTTGAATCCAAATGGGAGATGAATCATTGCAGATTTCCATCTTTTTCTCCATGTGAGGATTCAAGAGAGGGCAGCGTGCTCTTGAGCTAGGAGACCAGGTTCAGGTTCCATCTCCCCACTCTGTAGTTGGGGATCCAGGGCCTTACACTTCTCTTTGAGCCCATGACCTCTACCTTATAAAGTGGCACCAATAACAATGAGGCTATGGGGGAAATGCTTCACACCAGGCCCGGCACAGAGTGTGAACTCAGGATACAGGGGTTTTCTTCCCCTTTTCTCGAAACGACCCTCAGGGCTCCCTAATGCTTCTCATCTTTTTTCATAGCAAAGGCTGCCTACTTCAGCTCTCTGCCACTTCCATGCCACTGAGACCTCAGGTGGATGAAGTTTTGTCTATGTAGAGCTCCAAAGACACAGAGCAGGCCTTGTGGGAAAGGTGGCCAAAGTCTTCTTTGGAGAAAAATGGAACCTGGCCCCACAGTGTCACCAAGGAGCAGGTCTCTGGGGCTGTAGGGAGGGGAGGAAATCGTGAACCCAGTGCAGAGCTAAGAAGAGATTTGGAATTAGCCGGGCATGGTGGTGCACACATGTAGTCCTAGCTATTTGGAAGGCTGAGGTGGGAAGATTGTTTGAGCCCAGGAGATCGAGGCTGCAGTGAGTGAGCTATGATAGTGCCACTGCACTCCTGCCTAGGTGACAGAGCAAGGCCCTCTCTCTTAAAATTTGGAAAAAAAGAGAGAAGAAGAAATTT
Source organism: Homo sapiens (assembly GCF_000001405.40). NCBI lineage: Eukaryota > Metazoa > Chordata > Mammalia > Primates > Hominidae > Homo > Homo sapiens. The sequence goes on from NC_000001.11 coordinate 43,041,651, forward strand.
GGTTGAGAGGAAGACTTGGAATAAATCAGGGGTTCGTACCTTTGGAGGAATGGTAAGAGATGTCTGAAAATCTGATAGAAACCCACACCCTCTCCCTGGAAATATGTATTATATAGGCTGGCAGAGGCTGCCCTTGGGCCTCCCCTAGTGGTGCTGGGCTTGGTATGGGGCACCCTCTTTAGCCCCCTCCTTTCAGTGAGTGTCTCCAGTTTCACAGGAACTGGGGGCCAGCTTTGTAGGAGAAATGACGGGTGGCAGATGAAGTGCCTTCTTAGTTCCTTCCCTGTCACCTAAGCGATGGGGCCAGGTGGACTGCTGTGGCTTAGATGGGATTTAGGCCCCTAGAGCCTTGCCTTTCTTATCAGGGTGTGTGTGTACGTAGGGGGCCTGCCCTAAGTCTCCATCACCCCAGTCTCCGATGAGTCCACACATCAGAGGCCAGTATGGGGCAAGGTGGTGGTGGTATAGGACATCCAAAGGAAAGACATCAAGCCTTGACCTTCTCTTTCTCCCCGGCTCATGGGGACCCTAGGGGAAGGTAAAAAATGTGAGCTTTGGAGCCAGTGTGGGATTTGTATTAGCCACGGAACTGGGTCTCTCAGCTCTCCCTTCGAAAAAGAACTTACTGTTCAGCTGTGTATTCATTTGCTAGGGCTGCCATAACAAAGGAACACAAACTGGGTGGCTTAAAATAACAGAAATGTATTGTCTCATAGTTCTGGAGGCCAGGAGTCTGAAATCAAGCTGTCAGCAGGGCCATGCTCCCTCTAAGGTGCTAGGAAGGGTCTGTTCCATGCCTCTCTTAGCTTCTGGTAGCTTCAGGGGAGCCTTGGCTTGTAGATGCCTTGCTCCAATCCTCTGTCTTCGCCTGGTGTTCTTCCTGTGTCTCTGTCTTCACGTGGCCATCTTCTTATAAGGATACCAGTCATATTGGATTAGGGGCCTACCATATTCCATTATAACCTCATTTCAACTAGTTACATCTGTGATGACACTATCTCCAAATAAAGTCACATTCAAGAGGTAATGGGGGTTAGAACTTCAACATATCTTTTTGGAGGAGACAAAAATTTGACCCATAGCAAGCTACAAGGAGTGCAGGTAGCAAACCCTCTCCAGACGCAGCACCCTCAGGTGGCTACACTCTCCCCAGGAAGCTCTCAATCAGTGGCTGAGCACAACAGGGGGATCAGAGTCTAGTCATTTCTGCCCAATGGGGACTCCTCCACCAGGCAGTCTTGGTTCTAGAGCACCCCACTGAGCCTATGGAGGCTTTCTCAGATCTGCATCATGGTCTGAAGGCTTGCCCTCCTCTTCCTCTTCCTGTTCCTCCCCCTTCCTCTTTCACAGGCATCTCCCAATAAATATTTTGCACTCCTAACTCCAGACTGTGTCTCCTTTCTAAAGGATCAAAACTGACACAGGAGGCCAGATGGGCTCATTTACTGGATCACCTGCTGTCCAGCTGTCAGTGAAGACTCCATCCCCAAGGCATGTAGGGTAGGGGTAGTCCCTGGCATAAGGTGGTGGCTCAATTGCTAAAACTTTCATTGGTAATGACTTGGAGAAGGCTTCAACAGAGGGAACAGCCTGGCCACACACTGAGTCAAATGTTTGAAAAGAACGGGGATGGTGTACAGGAAGACAATGACGTTAGCTGGTGTTAAGTTGCATCGATTCTACAGAGAGATAATGAAAAGCTGAATGCATTTAAAAAAACAAAAACTAAGTGTGAAGGTATTAATAATTGGAGTCCTGTCCAGAGTCCAGCTCACAGTGGACCCACTGGGCACATGAGACAACTCAGTAGTCATTTTTTCAGTCTCTGAATGAATAGTTGGGTTGACATAGTTGGCAGATGGAATAATCCCCACATTGGGCCTTTGCCCTGTGGGGCAAGAGCTATCACAGTGGGGAAGGGCAAGTGGAACCCTCTGAAACTGCACCTCTACCACGCCTTCCCCCCCACCATCTATTTTTCACCTGCCCCACTCCCCACCAAGATATTAAATCAAAAACAATATTGCAACCTGGTGTGGGGGAGATAGATAATACAGTAATCCCCCTTTATGCACAGTTTTGCTTTCTGAGGTTTCAGTTACCCACAGTTCACCGCAGTCTGGAGATACTAAATGAAAGATCCCAGAAATAAGCAATTAATAAGTTTTAAACTGTGTGCCTCTCTGAGTAGTGTGATGAAATCTCGTGTTGTCCTGCTCCATCTGGCTCAGGACATGAATCATGCCTTTGTCCAGTGCATCCATGATGCTGTCTATGCTACCCAACCGATACTGTATAGGAAAAAAGCACAGTGGGCTGGGCAAGCTGGCTCATGACTGTAATTCCAGCACTTTGGGAGGCTGAGGCTGGCGGATCACCTGAGGTCAGGAGTTCAAAACCAGCCTGGCCAATATGGTGAAACCCCCGTCTCTACTAAAAACACAAAGATTAGCCAGGAGTGGCGGGCGCCTGTAGTCCCAGCTACTCGGGAGGCTGAGGCACAAGAATTGCTTGAATCTGGGCGGTGGAGGTTGCAGTGAGCTGAGATCATGCCACTCCACTCCAGCCTGGGCAACAGAGCGAGACTTCATCTCAAAATAACAAAGCAAACAAACAAAAAACCCATAGTGTATATAGGGTTTGGTACTATCTGTGGTATCTGTGGTTTCGGGCATCCACAGCGGGTCTTAGACTGCATCCCTCCTGAGTAAGGAGGAACTACTGTAACACTACCCTTAAGGATCTCAAGATGCAGGAGCGAGGGTCCGTCTAGTTTCTGCAGGGGCCACACTGAAAAATTAAGCCCAGATGAGGCTGGGCACTGTGGCTCATCTGTAATCCTAGAACTTTGAGAGGTCTAGATGGGGGAATCACTTGAGGCCAGGAGTTTGAGACCAGCCGGGGCAACAAAGCGAGGCCCTGTCTCTGCAGAAAATAAAACAAAAAAAAAGTTTTTAAAGATTAAAAAAATAAACCAGGTGTATCCTACAGTGTGACTATAGACACTCAAAAGCTTTACCTAATAGTAGCCCCAAATACAGCTGCTGTGCTGGTCTGCTGTCTTTGCTGGAACAGATTAATATTGTTTCAGGTTCATAGTATGCAGCTATTGATTTGGCAAATGTGTTCTTTTCTATCATAACCAGGAAAGAAGATAAAGCAGTTCACATGCACACAGAATGAACAATAATCTACTTTATAGTTTTATCCCAGGGCTGTGTTAATTCTCTTGCTCCTTTTCACAATATAGTCCAAGGAGAATCGTCCTGCAGAACACCTGGCCATCCTGCAGAACATCACACTGCTCCATGACACCCATGACGTCATGCTGACCAGGAGGATAAGCCGAGGTGGACAGCACACTGGAGGCCTTGATAAGACAAGTGCTCCAGGGGGTGGGAGGTAAACCTTGCAAACATTCAAAGCCTGTCATATCTGCAAAGATATGAGGGATCTAGGAGTCAGGGTCATGCTGGCATATCCGACCAAAAGCAAAAGACAAACAGCTGCTGTTTGCTTCTGCCACCATAAAGAAGGAAGCCCAATGCCACTTAGGCCTCTTTGGGTTCTGGAGGCACACATTCCACACCTAGAGACACCACTGCAGTCCTTCCATTGGGTGACATGCAAAGCTCCCAGCTCTGAGTGGGACCTGGAGCAGGAAAGGGCTCTGCAGCAGATCCGGACTGCACGGCAAACAGCCCTGACACTTGGGCCATACACTCCGGCAGAACTTGGTGTTGGAAATGTCAGTGTGGAAACAGATGGGGTATGGAGTTTTGGGCAAGCCCCACATGGAAAATTAAAAGGTAGACCCTGGGGTTTTGGGCTAAGGCCGTGCCACTCACAGGAAAGAATTGTACACCTTTTGAAAAACAGCTCCTGTATGCTACTGAGACATGCTAGAGACAGAATTGCTGACCAGATGTCTGGCTGGAATTGCCCATATATGCTAGGTCCTATTGAACCCACCAAGTCTTAAAGCCTAGCAAGTCCAGCTGCAATTCACCATATGATAGAAACAGTATATCTGGGATCAATCCTTGGTGGGACTTCATGAGCAAGCAGCCCAGACCCCCATGCCACCCATCATGGTTGCATCTGTGCCCCTCTCTCAACTCATACCTATGACTCTATGGGGGATCATGTACTACTACTTGAAAGGGAAGGAAAAAACTTGAGCTTGGTTTGTGGCAAGACGGGGACCATCCTCCAGATGCACTACACACACTGAATCAGAAATCTCATCATGGTTTCATGGAATCAGAAAAATACATGGGTCTGAGAACCAAAGGATGGAAGTAGGCATGATCCCATTTACTCTCATTTCCAGTGACCCATTAGGGACCTTGTACTCTCCATTCCTGCAGCTCTGGGCTCTGCAAAGGTAGAGGTCCTGGTCCCAGAAATGGTGAATTCTTGCTAGAGAACACAGCAAGGCCTCTTTGAACTACAAGTTATGGCTACTGCCAAAGCACTTTAGACTCCTTGTGTCCAGAAATTATAAGGTGAAAAGCGGGTCACCATCTTGGCTGGAGTAATTGGCCCTGAGCTTCAGAAGGAGGCAGCTGCTTTTGCAGAATGGGTGGATACACAATAAAAATCCAAAAAATAAAATGGGAGGACTATGTGTGGAACCAAGATGATCCACTTGGGATCTCTTTGTCCTCCCCTGTCCCACTGTGACTGTGAATGGACAAGTACAGCAACCCCAAGGACGCGATTGCCAGGAATGAGGGTTTGGGTTACATCGTTCGACCTGCCAAGGTGGGGATGAGCACTAGGTGAAGCCCCGAGATGGACTGCAGTGGTGGGGGCTGGGGTTTATCCCACTGACCTCCCTCTTCTAAGTCTCTTCCCCTTGGGAAGAGAGGTCCACTGGGAGCCCGAGGAGTACATGCTGTGGTGCCAGTGGACTGCGGGAGCCACGAGATACACTACTCGGACCTCCCTTCAGTGAAGAACTTGCCACTCAGCTGTGAGTGACCCAGGAAGGTGACAGCCTCCAGCTGCAGTGGCTGCAGGCTGAGGTCATCTCTCTGGGATTCTCCTGGCCACCGAGAAGGACCCGGGTACTCTGAAGACCTGGCCATTTCTGCTGAGTGTGGAACTCTTCTAGTGGGCAGTACTTGCTGGGGAGTTCCCCACTGATTTGGTAGGACCTTGTCAGTTTCGCATCATGGTCTGAAGGCTTCTCTTCCCATCTCCTCCCCTTTGTCTTTCACGAGTCACTGCAATCAACCTTTCATACTCCCAGCTCTTGCTTCCCAGAAGACTCATAGACAAAGAGTTTAAATTCTAGCTCTGCTATTTCCCAGTTATGTGAACCTGAGCGAAGGTCTTCAGCTCTCTGAGTCTCTCTTTCCTCACTGGAAACTGGAAAGGATAATGCCTCCCCACAGTTATTGAGAGGGTTAAATGAGATGCTGCCTGCAAAATGGCTGGCACTTGAGGCCACTCCATGGTAGTCTTGAGCAGGATAGCCAGCTCTGCCAGGCCACTGATTGGACTCCCATACCCATTGGGGCTCCCTTTGCCCAGGTGGAGGTCCCTGGAGAAAGATGGAGCTTCTTGTTCTGTGAGTTTCACTCATAGCTCCAGCTCTGGAGTTACAGGGACTTGGGTTTGAATCCTCATTCTGTTACTTTCTGTCTGTAGTGGTTTTGAGTAAGTGACTTCACGTCCTGTGACTCAGTTTCTTTATCTGTAAAATGAGATGGTCTGAAACTGCTAAGGGTTACTGTGATAATTCAATGAAATAATACATGCAAAGTGCTTACTACAGTGCCTGGCACCTAGGAAGCACTCAATAAATGGTAGCTAGAGTTATTCACTTGTTCACTCAATACATTTCCTAAGCAGCTGCTCTGTATCTGGTTCTCTGCTGTGAACATAAGTCACAAAAAGAAAAACAAAGCTCATTCATCATGCTGGGAAGGAGACATAGTGATCTACACTTCACTGAGGAAAAACCAGAGGCTCAGAGAGGTGAAGTGATTTGCCCAAGACCACAGAGCAATTCCCAAGTGGTGGAGCCGGGACTTGAACCCAGATCCAATTGCCTCTAATACCTTGACCTGCACCAAGGCAGCTGTTTGGAATCATCAGCCCTCAGCAAGTGGTAGGGGAGGATTTGGGGATTCCTAAAACCTTGCTTCTCAGGGGCTTCCTGTTTTCCCATGACATGGACAAACAAAACAGACGACCAGCGGACATCCTGACTGCAACATGACCACCTTTGGGAGTCTGGGGTCACACTAAGTAACCCTGGGCTTTCAGTGTCCTGTTTGATGGATCTGGGAAGTGAGAGGGTCATTCACCAGCCCCTTTGGAAGGCCACTTCTTACCACTGGACACCCCTGGAAGTTGAAATGACACAGGCTTTAGGGCAAACTTTTCTGTGGCCCGTGGGCAGCATGCAGCCCAGGATGGCTTTGAATGTGGCCCAACACAAATTCATAAACTTTCTGAAAACATAAGATTTTTTTGTGATTTTTTTTTTTGTTAGCTCATCAGCTATTGTTAGTGTATTTTATGTGTGGCCCAAGACAATTCTTCTTCTTCCAATGTGGCCCAGGGAAGCCAAAACATTGAATACCTCTGCTTTAGGGTCAGACACATCTGGGTTCAAATCTCAGCTTCTTTACTGATTGGTCATGGAACTTCAGTCTCTGCACTTCCTGAAGCGGCCTCATCTTTATCATCTCTCTGATTCCTGTCTCTTTCTCTTCCTCTTCCCATCCGTACCACATGCCCAGCCAGAATGTTGCAGGGGCAGATTCTCAGCCAGGAACTGCCAATGAGCTATTAAGGAAAAGTCTCCATTTCCAAGACCACTCACCATCCTCCTGGCCTCTCATTCCCTCTCCAGGATATCTGTCTCCTTTTATTCAGGCATTTGGGCACCCGAGTTGAAATTGAACAAACTTTCTTGAGTTCCCTACTTTGTACCAGCTCCTCAGCTAGGTACTTTCCCATAATAACCTCTATGATAACCCAGTGAGGGAGGCCTTATTATTATGCCCATTTGATAGATGAGCAAACTGAGGCTCAGCAGAAGTCAGAAAGTGGAGCTGGGATTGGTCCCTAACCCATGGCCCTTCAAGCCAAGTGCTCTGCCTCCATGCAAGCACAGCTGGGTGCAGTCATTGCCCAGAGCTGTGTGGATGGCATCAGAGAAGCCTGACTCATAACTAGGTAGTTGGGAAGCCGGGGCCACAGTGACTGCAGCCTGCCCTGGCCTGCAGTGTCTGTGTGCTGAATTAGGCAGCTTGAATTGCTCGTGGAGTCAGGGTTGTCTTGGGCAAGCCCTAAAGGCTCCCTGGAGAGTTTGGGATTACCAGAGCCCTTTGGATAATAGCAAAAGTCATGATAATGACATTAACTGTGATTTGTTGAATCCTTACTACATGCCAGGTCTCATTTAATCCTCCCGGCAACCCTGAGAGGAGGAATGGTTGCCAGAATTCCCCATCCAGGTTTGTGTGACTCCAAGGCTCACCTGGCTTCCCTTGATGCAGGTGGGATATGCATCTCCCCCAGTAATGCCTGATAGCTCCACATTGGCTTTCTTCCCAAGAGACCCGGCCTTGGCCCGGTCCTCTGGCCCTGCCCTTGCCCTGGCTCCTCAGAACCCTGCCCCTAAGCCCTCAGTTTTGAGTTGGAGTGTGAAAAGGATAAACACTTCCTGGGTGTGGCTGAGTCCCTCCTCCCTGAAACATTGAGACCTAAAAAAGATGGAAGAGACTTTCTGAACCCTATTTAGACCAAGAGAGGAAAAAAAATAAGGGGCAGGCTTAATGTTTACAGACAATATAACATAACCCAAATGACCGTGTCTTCTCTATCAAGGAGAAAACTCTTCAAACTAGACAAGTGGAACAAGTCTGGCTCACGGGAAGCTGTGGGCCTGCCTGGGCTGGGACCTGGCTGCTCCCAGCTGCTTTTGCTCCATTCAAGGCTGCATCAGGCAGAGATGGGGCCATTCCAGAGGCTCTTCTGGGGAGAAGGGAGGTGCCAGGAGACAAAGCCAGAAACATACTATCTCAATTTAAGCATGGGAAAAATATGGTGCAGCTAGCTTATGACAATCCTAGGCAAAATTCCAGAAGTTCCTTTCCTAAGCAGGGATTATTGGGAGCCAGGATGGGTTCACTTAGGTCAAGGCATGACTAACTCCCCAGATTACTCTTGGAGGAAGGGTAATCAGAGCATGTGTGGGAAAAGGACCACAGACTCAGAATGTAAAAATAGGACTGTGCTGTTATTGCAACTGCTCTGAGGAAGAACGAAGAGAGCTCATCAGCCAGGGTCTGAGATCCACTTCACCCCAGCCCATCACATATCAATGCCATAGGCTTCCCTTTTGAGCAGGTTGACTCAAGGATACTGCCACAATTTGCCTCTTGGGTGGCAATGGAGGAGGGGCTTGGGACATTCAAATGAGGAAGATGAAGAATTCAGAGGCAATGGATACTGATAACATCCATTTCAGAGGGGGTGGTAGTATTTGTCCAATAAAGCATTTAGGATCTTGAAAGAGGTTGCAGTTTGCCTGGGGGAAGAGAATATTGAGAGTCTCTTAGAATGCACGACATGAAGGTCTGCAGGTTAAGGACCTGGTGCCACCAGCATCACAGTCGATTTTGCTGTGGATGAGGCTTTTGAAATGTTTCTCACACATATCTTTGAGGGTAAATGGAGAAATATGGACCAAATCTTAGGGTAGCTCAGCCTTTGCATGGCTGTTTGCACCCCTCTGCCCAGAAGAGAAGGAATGGATTGATTCTGTTGGGTGCGGCTCTGCCTGCGTTATGACCTGGAGCATCAAGCAGTGTGGTCCTTTCACTAACCCATATTGGTCTGCTCTTGGGGCGCCCTGTGAGGAAGGCTGGGTGCACAGCACAGGAATGTCTGTCTACTGTGTGAGAGGAACACTTTGCTGACGTCCCTCCCCGAGTCCTGGGATTGGTCCTGCACTACTGTCCACCTGCCTGCACGGCACGGCCATTTCTACTGGATGCCATGGAATAGAGAGGTTAAAGGTTCAGGTTCTGGAGTCAGGCTGCTCCCTGTTCCAGGCTCAGCTCTACCATTTTTTAGTTGGGTGACCTTGGGACAAGTTACTTAATTTATCTGTGCTTTATATTCTTTATCAGAAAAGGAGGATAATAATGATGGCTAGTTCATAGGGTGAGAACACTGGCTTTCCTTTTTTTGACCTGTGACCCACAGTAAGAAATATATTTTATGTCAGCTCCCAGTACACACATTCCTACATATATGTACATACATGTGTATGTATAACTGAAAAACATTTTTCCAAACAACCCCTAACCTTAACGCAGGTTGACGAACCATGGTCTATTCTATTCTTTTCTTTCATTAAGCAAAATGCTAGTTGAGAGCCATTAAATTGATTTTACTATATACATGGGTCATTGGCCACAGTTTAAAATCTCCAGGTTAGGCCGGGCACGGTGGCTCATGTCTATAATCCCAGCACTTTGGGAAGCCGAGGTGGGAGGATCGCCTGAGGTCAGGAGTTCGAGACCAGCCTGGCCAACATGGTGAAACCCCGTCTCTACTAAAAACACAAAAATTAGCCGGGTATGGTGGTGCATGCCTGTAATCCCAGCTACTCGGGAGGCTGAGGCAGGAGAATCATTTGAACCCAGGAGGTGGAGGCTGCAGTGAGCCGAGATCGTGCCACTGCACTCCAGCCTGGGCGACAGAGCAAGACTCTGTCTGAAAAACAAAAAAGAAAAAAAAGAAAATCACCAGGTTATGGTATAGCTGGAGTAGTGTAGTTTCAAATGCTACAATTTTCTTCCACGTATCACATGTGAAGAGAACCATTTTCAAGCTAGAAAGTGTCCAGAAGAGAATGACCAGAGTATCCCATTCCATTGTTCTTTTTCTTCCTTCCTCTTTCCTCACTCATCCACTCATTCAATGATTATCTCTTCACTCACTTAGTCACATATATCATTGATATAAATTCCTGTTTCACCTAGAAAAGAGACTCCTGGGAAATATATGCTCTGTAAACCATGGGAAAGAGGGGATAAATCTGTTCCTTGCAGGCCTCTGGGCAGAAATGGGACTTTCCGATGGAAGTGACAGGAAGACGCGTGGGGGTCATGGTAGAGGAAGTGTTTTCCAGCCCTGGGTGCCAATGGATGACGGGTTCGGCTGCCCTGTGGGACTTCTCTCTTGGAAGTATGTGATCGGAGGTGGAGAAAGGGGGGTTTCAGTATTGGGTGGAGGGTCGGCTGAGGTTGTTCCTTCACCCTGTGCTCCACCAAGCTCAGGGATCTGCTGCAGCCACCACCAGGGCCACTATGGAGGTGGAGAGGAGACTATGTAGTTGGGTTCTGTGTCCTCACCTTACAACGAAAGCAACTCCATTTCTGTTTTATACAATGGGATTCTCCCTGCAGTTTCTTTTGGAGTGGAGAAAGGCCTGAAAACATTCCACGGCTGCTAAAAAAATTTTTTAATCCCCACACTAGGAGCTAATTAAATCCCTGTGAGTCTCAGAAGCAATCATTTCTAGGATTCTGAGACTCAAATTTTTTTCCTATAAAAACAAGTCCATTAAAATTATAGCATAAGCCTTTGTTTTGCACGCTTAAATCCAGATATAATTGAGAGCAAGAGTTAAAATAATTATAAGTGTGGCAGGAAAATGGATTGAGATGTTATTTTGTGTTGGTGGTTTTTGTCCTTCATTCCAAGTGTTGGGCGGTACCTTTGTGCTCCCTTGCCTTGGGGGTGGTATTGCTGAAGCCAGGCTGAAATGAGAAGTCCCTGGTAGACAACTGGTCTTGCAGGCTTTTGTTGTTTGAAAGCCTGAGTTTTTTGAGGGGATTGGGCTGGGAGAAAGAAAAGGAGGAATGAGATGGAATTGGGTGAGTAGGTCCTGGGAAGAACCAGCAGGATCCCAGAGGCAAGTGGTTGGTTATGTGCTCCCCATTAAGGAGCCTGGATTCCAGGCACCCAGGTACCTTTGATCCTCCAAAGCTGCAGAGATGTCAACCTACTGGGGTATTTGGGGTTTAGAGGGGACCATTATGGTTTGAGGTCTACAGTATTTCTCTAACATTAATGTATTCAGGAATACCTGAGAATCTTGATAAAATGCAGTCTAATTCAGTAGGCCTGGGATGGGGTCCTAAAATTATGCATTTCTAATAAGCTCTGAGGGACTCTGATGTTGCTGCTCCCAAGACCACACTTTGAGTAGCAAGAAGCTAAAAGGGCTGGTTCCGTGTTTTCTGGGCACGACAGAAGCCTTCCAGACTCTTGCATTCTCAAAGCAGGGAGGCCCCTTCCAATAATAACAGAACTGGAATTTCCCATCAGCACAGCATAAAGGGGTGCACTATCAGTTTTAATTTTATTTGAAAGAACTTGCAGACTTGAGTTTGTGATTACAAACACATAGCTGGGGTCCAGGTTGCTCAGGTTAAGTTGTATCTTTATGGGAATTTGAGGGTTATTCACCCTGCCATTCCTTCTGTCTTGCCCCAGGGTTGGATTTAGCAAGCAGCATACATCTGCTCTCCCTTTCCTGGGTTATAAATTCTCTGGGCTTTGTGTACATTGTTTGGGGTTTTCTGAGAAGCTGGGAGTTAGAGGCCTCTTCTCCTGTCCCCCCTTCTCACTCCTGGGCAGTTTAAGTCCCTTGAGGAGCTGCTTATCTTAGTTTCTTTGCCTGGAATTTTATCTGTTCCTTATCTTATCTTTGTCTGAAAGCACAAAATCCACCTTTATGTACCCCATCCCCACCCTCACCTCAACCTAGGATAAGAGAAAAACCAAGGAGTAATGAAAAAACCCAGAGAGCACCCCTGTTTGATGACCTCTCTTTTCAGGAAGGGAAGCAGTGTTAGTGTCAATTCTGCTCGATTACCTCTTCATCTCTACTTCCTTTGCTTGCTTAATGCGCTACCTGGGAGTATAAATTATTTTGTACAGATCCGACAAAGTATAATCCCAGCACTTTGGGAGGCCGAGGTGGGTGGATCATCTGAGGCCAGTAGTTTGAGACTAGCCTGGCCAATGTGGTGAAACCCTGTCTCTACCAAAAATACAAAAAATTAGTCTGGTGTGGTGGTGGGCACCTGTAGTCCCAGCTACTCAGGAAGCTGAGGCAGGAGAATCGCTTGGATCTGGGAGGCAGAGGTTGTGGTGAGTTGAGGATACGCCACTGAATTCTAGTCTGGGCAACAGAGTGAAACTCCGTCTCAAAAAAAAAAAATACGTAAAGGGTTACCATTCCCAGGCTAGCCCTCTGTAGCTACAGCCAACCTCAGGAAACAATTCATTTTCTTTTTTTTGAGACAGTCTTGTTCTGTCACCCAGGCTGGAGTGCAGTGGCATGATCTCAGCTCACCGCAGCCTCCGCCTCCCGGGTTCAAGAAATTCTCCTGCCTCAGCCTCCCGAGTAGCTGGGACTACAGGCACCTGCCACCACACCAGGCTAATTTTTGTATTTTTAGTAGAGATGGGGTTTCACCATATTGGCCAGGCTGGTCTTGATCTCCTGGCCTTGTGATCCACCCACCTCAGCCTCCCAAAGTGCGGGGATTACAGGTGTGAGCCACCACGCCTGACCAGGAAACAATTCTTAAAAGAGGCTTCACCTTCTTTCCACAGAATCCCTAAAAACCCATTTGTAAATGAAGCAATCTGTAAACACCCGTTGCTTGGAATGTAATGGTATCTCATATATGCGGAGCACTTTACACTTTTCAAAGGGATCTGGCATTGATCCAGCATCTACTTGCACTAGGGGTGCTGTCTCGTGTAATCCTCCCAGCAGCCCCCATGAGGAGGTATTACCACCCCTTCTCCATATTTATTTATTTATTTATTTATTTATTTATTTATTTATTGAGACAGAGTTTCACTCTTATTGCCCAGGCTGGAGTACAGTTGCACAATCTTGGCTCACCGCAACCTCCGCCTTCCAGGTTCAAGTGATTCTCCTGCCTCAGCCTCCTGAGTAGCTGGGATTACAGGCATGTGCCACCACACCCGCTAATTTCGTATTTTTAGTAGAGACAGGGTTTCTCCATGTTGGTCAGGCTAGTCTCGAACTCCCGACCTCATGTAATCCACCTGCCTTAGCCTCCCAAAAGGCTGGGATTACAGGCGTGAGCCACCACGCCCGGCCCTTCTCCATTTATTCATCCACAAATATTTAAGCGAATGAGCCTTCCTGACTTAAGCAAAAGTTGTAGAAACAAAGGTAGACGTGCTGACTATACAAAAGGAAAAAAAAAGGAGCTTAAAGGGATAGAAACCTGTACCTATGGCTTCCTTGGCCCATAAGGATGCCCCTCTTAGTATCTAAGGGATAGGAAAAAGTGATCAATGGGAAGCACTGAGATGATGGTAAGAAGGGACTCTGATCTCCTCAGCTAGGCAAAGCCATGGGAGGAATTTCTCTCCTTGGGTCTACAGTGAGTCAGTTCTCTGGGAAGTGGGTTGGGTGAATGCTGGAATTTCCTAAGTGGTGGGAGCCTGAATGTGCCGGGTCTTGTATCTGAAGAGGTGAGAGATTTAGAGCAAGGCTGTGCCTAAGCTTGGAAACTAGGTGACAGGCCTTGTCCAGCAGCACTGGCACCAGGAGTCCCAGAGTCGAGCTCAGCTTTTCCATTGACCACCCATGGGGCTTGGACCAGAACCTTTCTGGTTCTAAGCCTCAGTTTCCCCTTCAGGAAAATGGAGTGGTTGGATGGGATGCTCTGAAGGTCTGAGACTGCTCTGGTCTTCTAGGGTTGACAAGGGAAATGGCTTCCTTGCCTTTGAGGCTGAATCTGATTTCTTTCCTTCTTGTTTTTTTTTTTTTTTTTTTTGAGACGGAGTCTCGCTCTGTTGCCCAGGTTGAAGTGCAGTGGCAAAATCTCCGCTCACTGAAACCTCCGCCTCCCGGGTTCAAGGGATTCTCCTGCCTCAGCCTCCCAAGTCTCTGGGATTACAGGTGCGCACCACCACACCTGACTAATTTTTGTATTTTTAGTAGAGACAGGGTTTCATCATGTTGGCCAGGCTGGTCTCGAACTCCTGACCTCTCGTGATCCACCCGCCTTGGCCTCCCAAAGTGCTGGGATTACAAGTGTAAGCCACCCCGCCCAGCCTGGATCTGTTTTCTTTAGGGGGAGTGGGGTTGGGAGTGGGGTGGGGAGCACACGCAGGTACAGTCACACGCATGGGAGGCTGTCCTGTGCCAGGTGCTGGAGATGCAGCAATGAGCAGCGCTGACCCAGGTCCTGGCCCTTGCTCTTGGGGAGCTCACAGAATGTCAGGAAGGACAGACACTGAACAAGGAATTAAACAGTACTTCACTGAGTTAGGAGAGAGACCACGATGATGAGAAGGAGCCCACATGTGAAGGGCAGAAGGGAGTTCCAGGCAGAGGGAGCAGCCACACACAGGCTATAGGCAGAAACACAACCGCCATGCTTGGGCAACAGAGAAAGCCTGAGTGGCACAGTGGTGAGGGGAGATGGATGGGCAGTGACATGTCGCTCACAGTCTGGCTTAGGTACAGAGTCCTGTTTGGAGACAGGAAACAGGACTCGGTGACCCCCCTCTGTTTCTTTCTCCCTGTGTAGGGAAGACACACACACCCCCTTGGATATAGCCAGGTAGGGGCTGCTGCTCTTCAGCTGAGCTTTGCAGAAGATCATTCAAGTCAGGAAAAAGTCTGTTCTTCTCCCCCCACTCCCAACGGTGGGGGGGACCTTGGGGTCTCGCCCAAGGAAAGGAAGCACTGCTTCCTGGTTTATGTTGAGATGGGAAAGACTTGCCCAAGAACAATGGCGTTTTTGCAAAACACCACTTTGTTCTGGTGAGACCAGGAGGTGGTTTCCTTCGGGACCTAGCCTGGTCCCACTGCCCCAGACCTGCCAACCACAACAGCCACATGGCGTTCTCTCTCGGACCAACCTTTCATCTGAGACACTTGCTCACGCACAGCTCTGACTGGCTTAATTAACCCTTTGGGCCCCACCCTGCCCAGGCAGGATCATCTCAGGGCTCATGGAGATGTCCTTAGAGATCCCAGGACATGCTGGCCAGGGGAACCAAGTCTGATGGGATGGGGGAACCAATCAGACTTGACATTCTGTTTTACCATTCAAAAGGACCTTCTGGAAAAAGCACTCAGACCTATCCTAGGAGTGTCTCAGCTCAAAAAAGTCTTTAGAGCACCAGAGTCAGAAGGTCGTACTTTTCTTGGTGGGGGAAAAATAAGCAAGCTTTTCAAGGCCACACATACAGTTAGTTGTAGGACCAAGTCTAGAATGCATGGCTCTGACTGTCAGCTTTTAAACATGTACATGCAATCCCCTCACAATAAGTCATAGACACGAGGATAAGAAACATCCTTCAAAGGCGTGTTCTAAACACTTGTTTGCAGAGTTCTCTGGGAAACAGTTCAATTCCCTGTCATAAAACAGCATGCAACACATCTTGGAAGAAGCATGGGTTCTTTCCACATGCTGTTCTGCCCTACGGGAAGTTTAAAATTAAGAGAGCAAAGGGAAGAAAATCTACATTGGAGGGGCAGAGAAATCTGCAGTGGCCTGGAATGTCTGGAGGGAGGTGGGAGGGAGAAGGGTGTGTTGGGAGCTGGGCTTACTGATGTCACAGGCAGTAGGGGATGAGTCCCATGACCACTCCCGTGTTTTTCAGGCAGGCATGGCTGTTCCTCTATGAATCACTAAATGAACCAATTTAGCGAAACAATCATGTCTGTTCAAAGGGGGATATTAAGGGAAAGCAAGTGTGCATATCATTGTATGATCAGAACAATAAGTTAGAACTTTCCTTTTTTCTCTCACTGTTGTGACATTCGGCCTGGCATAGAAACGGGTACAGATAAACAGCAACAGTTTCTCATTCTAATGGAGAGCTACGGTCATGGTGACCGTGTTGGGGGTGATGGTGTGTTCATGGTGGTGGGGGTACTGGTGACAAGTATATCGTGGTTATAGTGATGGTGGTGTTGGTTGTGGTTATGGTGACACTGGTGTCGGTTATAACTGTGGTGGTAGTGATACTGATGGTGATGTTTAGTGGTGATGCTGACTGCAGTTATGGTAAGGATGGTGGTGGTGGGTAGTGTGACAATGATGGTGGTGTCTTGCTTACGGTAGTGGTAATGGTGATGGTGGGGGCACAATGATGTCGATATGGGTAACAGTGGTAAAGATAGGGTGACGATGTTGGTGTTGCAAGGAATGGTTATAGTTTTGATGGTAAAATGACAATTATGTCAATGTTTATAGTGGGGTTGGTATAAGGAGGTGTTGTTGGTCAAAATGATTTTAATGATGCTTCGTGTTGGTGATAATGGTGGTATTGGTGTTGGTGTTAGTTACAGTAATGTTTTTAATGGTATTGGTGACACCTGCCTGTCTCAGTAGGTGACATTGATGGAAGTGCTAGTCGCATGGGTGCTAGTGTGATGGTGAACTTGATGGTAGTCTTGCAGTCATGGCTGATGGTAGTGGCAGCAGAGGTGGTGTTCCCAGCGATAATGGCAGTAGTAGGGAGGGTGGTGGGAAGTCGGTGGTGGTAGCGGTGGTAGAGGCCGAGATGATGACCAGGAGGTTGGGGATTACACGGAGAGCGGTACGGGTTCTGGCAATGATACCCTTAGATACCGTGAGTCGACTGCAAGCTCTCTTCTCTGGAGCTGACAGCATGCTGGACGTGGGGAAAAAGGCTCACCACATTCTCCAAAAGCCCTTCTTTCCACCTGCTGCAATCCTGGTGAGGTTTAATTCTCTGTGCAGGCAGAGATGGCTGCTTTCTGGGGGTCTGTGGGGATGGTGCTGAAAAACAGGTCTGTTGCTGGGAAAGTGGACAGAGAGGGAGGCTCAGGATTGCTGAGCTGGAGGGTGCTTTAGGGGCAGGTCAGCAGGAACGAGGCACGTGAGGGTGTGCTGATGGATGGCAGGGGCCGCGCTGGGGCTGGGGCTGGGGCGGCAGGGAGGCAGTGGTGGCCGGCGTGCAGGGGCTCACGTAGCTGGCAGAGCCAGGGCTGTACTTCCTGCTGACTCAGCAGAGCAGGCAGGAACTGATTCTTTTCGACTAATGTGTCTTCTCCCAGGATTAGCTCATACCGCTCTGGCTGGGAAAGGGGGAGAGGCAGCCTCTCCCATCTCCCCAGGCTTAGGGGCCCTTTGGAGGAGAGGGCAGGCAGACTATGGGGCCCCAGCAGGACCAGTAACTGACTCTGTATGTCCTCGATCTCATTCTCAATGGGCTGCCATTTGGCTGGCAGGGAGCCAGCTCCCCAAATATCAAGGGATCTAGCTACCCTACCCCCACCCAAACCCAATCCAAATGGCTGCCCAGTTCTGCTTCACAAAAGGTCTACCCTGCCCAGTTCTGCTTCACAAAAGGTAGCATAGCCTGGGGGTGGAGAGAGTAAACTGGAGTCAGACTGTCTAACCTCCTTCGCCAGGTCTCCCATGTGTTAGCTGTGTGACTGTCTGTATCTTGGTTCATCATTTGTGAGTTAGGGACAATGACTGCTGCCCAGAGGCTGTTGTGGGGATAGATGAGTTAAGCCTACAAAGTGCTTGAATAAGGTCTGGCATGGAGTGGGTATTCAAAAAGTGTTTGCTGTGATTGCTACTACTGAGTGTTCAATAACTTTAAGCAAGACTCTTAAGCTCTCTGAGACTCAGTAGTCTCACCAGTAAAATGACGATAATTTCTTAACATGCATACTTGATATGAGAATTAAAATGGATTAAGTGGATGAAAGCATCCAGTACAAAGTAGCACATCAGTTATTACTATCTTTGTTGTCGTTAGCACAGGGGCCAGCTTCAGCGTCCTTCCTGGAGTGGAAGTGGGGGGTTTGAGTGTCCTATTGGGGTTTGGATCCTTAAGAGTGTGCTATCTTGTGATCGCTGCCTCTCCGCAAGAGAAGTAACTCCTCGTGAGTGGGAAGATTTGAGCAGATCAGCAGTTCAGTTTGTAGCCTCTTGCCCCCCACCCCTAGCCCTGCTCAGTACTCATGCCCTGGGTAGGGATCAAGAAAGAAAGAGAAGGTTCTGGGAGCATCCTCCTATCCTGAAATTTCCGTGGAATCTTTTTTTTTCCATTTCTTCATCCTAGCTCCCTTTCTTTCTCTTTCCTTTCCCTTCCTTGTTCACCACTCATTCATTCATTCATTCGTTTATTCATTCATTCATTCATTCATCTATAGGACATAGAAGTCATGGGGTCTGCCCTGGAGAAGCCTCTAAGTTCCCACTCTTAGGGAGAACATGGCTCAGGCTCCAATCAGGGCTTCATTACGTGATTCTGTGCATGCAACAGAGGGGCGGGGATGGCACATCAAACGAAAATTCAACTTTCTCTGCATTAAGGAAAACTATCAACAATGATGCTGTGTAGGGACTGTAAAACCAACATCTAAACAAAAGAACGACTGTCTAACTAGTTGATTGCCTCAACTGTAAAAGAGATTAAAATGGTACACTTCCACGGATGTGGTTTTTTGTTTCTACTTGTTTGGACTTCAAATGCATAGAGTCGAGCAACTCACACTCCTTCCTCCGTGCTAATGTAATTTTTCTCCCTCTTCCCAGATTCTCATGCTCATTCCTTACTCCTTTACTCACTCTAGGAATCCACTCCAATGTGTTTTAAAATGTGCCCTTAAAATATGTTTGTCTTTATAAAATATGCATTTGGTTAACAATCAGTTGCACAAGTGCTTCTTGTTTATACCTCACCATGATGTAGCACAATTGACTCCTCCACATACCACTGATGCTCACAATGATCCATGTCCAGCACTGGGTACCAGATCAAGCTATGAATTTTACAAGGCCCATGTCCTTGAGTTGCTCACAGGCTAGGGAAATAGACAATTTAGGACAGGGTTGGGACACAAAGGAGTCAGTGATCAATTCTACTGGTGGGGCGGGGGAGGGCTTCCCAAGGGCAGAGCCACCTGAGCAGAGCTTTAAAAGGTGAATAAGGCCGGGCACGGTGGCTCACGCCTGTAATCCCAGCACTTTGGGAGGCTGAGATGGGCGGATCACCTGAGGTCAGGAGTTCGAGACCAGCCTTACCAACATGAAGAAACCCCGTCTGTACTAAAAATACAAAAAAATTAGCCAGGCATGGTGGCACATGCCTGTAATCTCAGCTGCTCGGGAGGCTGAGGCAGGAGAATCGCTTGAACCCAGGAAGGCAGGAGAATCGCTTGAACCCGGGAGGCAGAGGTTGCGGTGTGCCAAGATTGTGCCATTGCACTCCAGCCTGGGCAACAAAAGCAAAACTCAGTCTCCAAAAAAAAAAAAGGGCTGGGGGCGGTGGCTCACATCTGTAATCCCAGCACTTTGGGAGGTCGAGGCGGGCAGATCGCAAGGTCAGGATATCGAGACCATTCTGGCTAACAAGGTGAAACCCCGTCTCTACTAAAAATACAAAAATTAGCTGGTCGTGGTGGCGGGTGCCTGTAGTCCCAGCTACTCGGGAGGCTGAGGCAGGAGAAAGGCGTGAACCCGGGAGGTGGAGCTTGCAGTGAGCCGAGATCGCGTCACTGCACTGCAGACTGGGCAACAGAGCAAGACTCCTTCTCGAAAAGAAAAAAAAAAAAGGTGAATAAGAGCTCACTAGGTGTATAGCAGGGAGGAGGAAATGGGAAGAGGTGCTCCAAGTAGAGGGAGCAGTATATGAAAAGGGTTGGAAGCATGTAGCAGCTTAGCATGTCTAGGAAATTGAATGATTTTGTTGTGGCTGAGGCAAATGGTATGAAAAGGAAGGGCAAGAGAAAGCAGCTGGCATTTATTGAGTGCGCCAGATGCTGTTCTCAGTGATTAAGTACTGAATTTCTTTTAAGCCACACAACAACCCTAGGCATTGTGAAAAGAAATTAAATTTTGGGACCCCAGATGCATTTAGTCGAAGGGAAAAGTCAAGCTGGGAACTGGATCATGCAAACCTGCCTCCCACTTTTAGTTCCTAAGTAAGATGGCTGGCCAGGCACAGTGGCTCAAGCCTGTAATCCCAGCACTTTGGGAGGCCGAGGTGGGCAGATCACCTAAAGTCAGGAGTTCGAGACCAGCCTGGCCAACATGGTGAAACTCTGTCTCTACTAAAAACACAAAAATTAGCCGGGTGTGGCTGCAGGCGCCTGTAATCCCAGCTACCAGATGAAAAGGTACCCATATTTTGCCCACAAGGAAATTCCTAGTGAGCTGTTAAAACTTCACAATGGCAATGCATATTGGTAGCTTATCTTTACAAGGCAGTCACCCCAGCCCACCAGACGTAAATGCATATCTGATTGTTCCCCTACCCCATTGTGTCTGTGTTATCTTATGTAAAATGCAGATTCCTCCCATTTTTCCTCTGCCCCTTTGTTTATGTCATCTTACCTAAAAAAGATGCAGATTCACTTACAGGAAAACTGTGTACTTCTCAATATCCCACCCTTTCCCCTTTAAATTGGGAGCCCTGAAAATCATCTTTGAAGAAAGGCGTAAAGCTGTCTCCCAGGTGTGTCCTTAACTTTGGCTAATCAATCTCCTAAAATGATTGAGACTCGACTCGTTATTTTCCTCAATTGACAGAGTGTACTATTATCATTCCCATTCTACAGGAAAGGAAACAGAGGGCCAGAGAAGTTAGTAACTTGCTTACAGTCACGTAGCTTATAAATGAGGTACCCAAAACTGCATCAGGCTGCCTGGGTTCCTAATCACAATGCTATGACCTCCAAAAGATGACGAAGGTGAGGAGGTCAGAGGTGAGGCTGCAGAAGACCTTAAATGCCAGTTGAGGGGCAAGGAAGAAGGCAACAGGAGGCCCTGAATCAGAGCCTGAGTGCCATTGAGCTGAGTGAGTGTGAGTGACCACAAGTGTGCATGAGGGTGCACATGCTACAAGCGCGGTGTATGGGTGAGTGCGTGGGTGTGCTTGGATGCGTGCATGTGCTTGGATGCATGTGAGTGTGCCGCGGTGCACATGTCTGTGCCACAATGTAGGACACACGTGTCTTTGTGAGACTAGGCGAGTGTGCATGTGTATGAAAAAATCTGCGGTTGTGCACGGGTCTGAGCATGTGTCTTTGTGGGTGTGAGTGTGGGCCTTGGTCTTCCTGCCACCTTGGGGCCCCATGGAAGCTGTCAGAGCCCATCAGCCTGGCCTGGTGTGAGAGGCCTGGTCTTGGCCTCAGATGCTAGATGGGCATACATCAAACGCAGCCTGAGCCTGGGACCAGTGGGGTAGAATAATTTAATGAGAATCCAGAAGGGAGGCTGCAGCTGGTGGGGAGTGGGAAGGGGGGCCCATTTCTGCCCAGTGCAGCTTCCGGGTTCCAGAGCCCAGCATCTGGGGTCTGTGTGTGTTCTGGGAAGGGAAGATGGCTGTGTTGGGTGCCTGGCCATGACCCCCTCCTGCTCCATGCAATGGCAGAACTGCATCTAATCTGGGTATGCCAGGACACCAACTAGTCCTGGTGTTGTGCCTCCTGCCTGGACACCAACCTAGTCCCCAGGTGTCCCATGAGACTTCAGGGGAACCAGGACACAAAGTCCAGCATTTTCATCTCTAAAGCTGTTCTGACATTTCCATGAGATGGAACACATAGAAAATCACTTCTAGACCAACTAGTCCAACCCCCTTGCCTTACAGAACGGAAACCGAGACTCAGAAAGGGGCAGGGAATTGCCTAAGGTCACCCAGCAAAATTGAGTTTGGACCAGGCTTAGAACCAAGAAATTCTCAGTTGGCATCCAGCGACATTTTCACACTTTTAGACCAAGATCAACAACACATATAAACATTAGCAAAATGCAAGGTTGTTTATTTGATGGCCTCTGCCTCTATGGCCTGGCCACTCCTTTCCTCCCAGGCTGCCCACCTCTGCAGAATGGAGGCCGCTTCCCCAGTGCCCACAGCCAGAGGTGCTTTGTGAGGAAGGCCAGGGACAGGGCTGACAGAGCACTCTTTATTCTCCCCTTGGATGGAAGTGTGTGTGTGTGTGTGTGTGTGTGCGCGCATGTAGGGGGGTTGCCCTTTTGTGCTGGCCTTAGGTCAGAGAGAGAAATGTGAGGGGACCCAATTTAGTCAGTTTTTCTATCTAAGATGTGGGTAGAAAAAGGAGGGATTTTGCTCCGGAGTAGGAGAAGGGGTGAAAATGACGTGCCCTGGCCAGGACACAGTTGTGATAGGGCAAATCAAAACTTTGTCCTTGTCCTTAGTATCTTGGGCAACACACACACTGTCCTGTCATGTCCAACAGTCACAGTGTGAAAGATTTTTTCTGGGAGGTTCCCATGACAACTGTCGATTCATGGCAAGAACCTTCCACAGGTCTTAGGCCACCTACAGAGCTGGGCTCGGACTCCTCAGCTCCACCTGCAAGTCTTCTCCAGATTCTAGGATCTAGATTCCGGAGTCCAGAACCTGGGGCGCAATTCAAGGTCTATTGCTGAACCTAGTCCACAATTCAGGTTCTGTTTTTTTTCTGGTTGCCACAGGATTGAAAGATTTTGTTGTTGGTGGTGGTGGTGGTGGTGAGGCAGGGTCTCACTCTATTCTGGAGTGCAGTGGTGTGATCAGATCATAGCTCATTGCAGGCTCAAAGTCCTGGACTCAAGGGATCCTGTCACGTTAGCCTTCTGAATAGCTGAGACCACAAGCACGTGCCACCACACCAGGCTAATTTTTATTTTATATTTTTAGTAGAGATGAGGTCTTGCTATGTTGCCCAGGCTGGTCTTGAACTCCTGGGCTCAAGTGATCCTCCTTCCTTGGCCTCCCACAGTACTGGGATTATAAGTGACAAATACTCTTAATGTAAAAGCTTTCGACAGGGCACGGACTCTCCTGTTAGAAACAAACATCACTACTCCCTATTAACCTATGCCCTCCATTTTTACTCATCTATATTACCTTCCTGGCACCTGAAAGCACTTAAATTTAGGACCCTTGAGCCTGAGCTCCTTGAGGGACCAGGTCCTTGTTACATGCCATCATCTAGCACACAGCAGATTCTTGGTAAATGTTTACTGAGTGCTTGACTCTAATTGGCCTCATCTTCTATACCTTCACCCTACCCTCTACTTCAGTTCACACTTAAGCTGTTCTCTGAAACATTTTTCTCTCTGCCTCAAAAGCTTTTTGGTGAACCCCTACTCACCCCTCAAGAAACTGCTTAAGTGGCCTCACCTCTGGTCCAACTTGTCTGCTTCCTGCCCAGCGTTCATCTATTAGAAGATGTTGACAACTATCCTTCCTCATAGACTAGGTTTTGAGATTAGTTGTATTTGAAATGTGCATAGCGTTCCAGTCACCAAGAAAGACTTAGTTGGCTTAACTGGCCCATCTCAAAGTGTCCTGCAGAAGCCTGAGTTAGCCAGCTCACCAACCTTGGTAAACCCCATTAGCAGCTCTGAGTCTCTGCCCCCAAATCCTGATGCCTCGATCCTCATCTTCACTTGGGTCTAGGAAGAGGCCTCGTGACTCAGGGTCTGGCCCATGGAGGGAGGAGCGTCCCCAAAAGGGCTCCAGGCAGAAGACAAATATTAGTGAACAAGCTGGGACCAGCCCTGCTGCCAGCCTGGCCCAGACACCCTTGGCCCATGACTTACTTGGCACTTGCTGGGGCTACCTGCTGGGCTTGGCCAAGATGATGTGGGACCGGTTGCCTGGGCCTGTGGGGAGCTGCTGGCAGAATACACTCCCCAGGGCTACAGACGTCAAGGGCAGGGCATACCCACGCAATGCTTCACTGGTTCCAGGGCACCCCCTCTTAAAGGCTCAGTGTGTACTCCTACCCCAGGGTCCAGCCTTGACTGTGCAGGGCCCCGATCAGGGTCAGCTTATCTCTTCTGCATCAAGAGGGTGGGTACATGTGAGAGTGGGAGTGAGGGAACATGGGTTATGTGTTGCGTGTGTGAATAGATCTGTGAGCATGAGGATTGTGTGAGAACGAGTGTATGTGCATGTGGATGGCGTGTGACTCTATGTCCATGTATATATGTATGTGTGTGAAGGGTAAATGTCTGTGGGTATGCTCAGGTGTGTATGTGTATGTTAATATGTATGCTCATGGGTTTGTGCATGAGACTCTATGAGTAAACTATGTGGTTTGTGGATGTGTATACATGTGACTCCATGTGACAACAGAGACGTGAATGTCATCTTGGTTCTGCCGTTTCATAACTGTTGAAAACTTCAACAAATCCCTTCCCCTTTCTTTTTTCATAAAATAGAATGAACAGGACAAGGCAAGATGACTTTTTTTTTTTTTTTTGAGATGGAGTCTCGTTCTTATTGCCCAGGCTGGAGTGCAGTGGCGCTATCTCGGCTCACTGCAACCTCCACCTCCTGGGTTCAAGTTATTCTTCTGCCTCAGCCTCCTGAGTAGCTGGGATTACAGGCACCTGCCACCATGCCCAGCTAATTTTGTACTTTTTAGTACTGGGATTACAGGTGTGAGCCACCGCGCCCAGCCAAGATGATCTTTTAAGTCCCCTTCCAGCTTTGATATGCAACAACTGGTTTAGGGGTTGTGTACAAGTGTGTGAAGGCTCTGCGTGCACCTGTGCGTGTGTGTGTGTGAGAGCAGCAGAGTGGTATTGTGCAAGGGGCATGGCTCGGAATTCTGATTCCATATTTATCAGCTGTATGGTCTCAGATTAGGCCCTTCCCCTTTCTAAGCCTCAGTTTCCTCCTCTGCCGATAGGGCTAATGATTCCTATAAGGCTGCTTTGAGGGCTAAGAAATATTGTTTGTAAAGCGCCTAGCCCAGAATCTGGCTCAGCTCCCTCTCTGAGATGTGTGTGTGTGTGTGTGTGTGTGTGTGTGTGCACGCATATGTGTGTTCCCCACATGCACACATGTGGGTACTCATGTGCACATGCTCCACTGTGCCGGTTGGTCCAGAGTACAGGGTAAGTGCTCTAGATCACTCCTGCCTTCCGCAGTTTCTGACTTCTGTCTGCTGGGAACACAGCCACCCAGGAGAGACTGCCTTGGGTAGACAGTCTCTCAACTACCTGTCTGGACCCACGTGGTCCTGAGGCCTCCCTGCTGCTCCAGACTGGCCGTCACATGGGTGCAGTGGCCTGGAAAGCAGGATTGGGGTGGGCAGGAGACAGGCTCCCAAATCCGATTAGGGCCCACCCGCCATCCGGTGTGTTAGAGACTAAAGAGATTCTTCTTCTTAAAGGGTCAACTGCAAGTCTGGGATGGTGGCTGAGCTGATCTTGGGACCCCAGGCCCTTCTAGAACGAAGTCTCAGCGTGGGAGCCAGGAGCAGACAGGGTCTCGACCTCAGAGAGCTTCCAGCCTGATGGAGAGAGCCGGAAGAGTCAGGCTGGCTCTGTGGCTGCCCGTGGTCTTGGGGCAGGAGGGCTCCAACTATGGGCCTGGAAAAAGGAGGGGCAGAGGCTTGAGGGACTGGTAGAGACTGGGGAGAGAAGAAAGAGGCAGGGTGTTCTAGGCAGGAAGATCAGTATGGGCAAAGTGGGAAGGCTGGACTGAGTAACGTACATATGTGTGCACGAGTCTGTGTATACTAGCGAGAGCATGCCCTAGGGGCCTTGGAGAATATAAAATCCAACTTTTCATTTTATTGGTGAGGAAGCTGAGGCTAGAGAAGGGAAGGGACATGTCTCTGGTCAGAGTGAGGTCCTGACTGACTCCAGCTCCAGTCCAGGTTCTGCCTCCAATTCCTGGGTTCTAAAGACGGAGGTGTCAAGCTGAGCTGCCAAGTCCCTCCTTCTCCGGCTTTTTGCTGGTCCCACAGTGGTCTTGGTGATGCAGAGCAGGGGCTTAACAGTGATGTCTGCCTTCTGGCCAATGGGAGGGTCTGGGGCTGGGCACTCTATCCCTGTCCAGGAGTCCCAAACAAACCCGGAGTGGCTGCTTACACCTCGGCCTTATCCACAAGGCATGTCCCAAGCCCAGACTCTGGACACCCAGAGAAGAACCCAGCACTGAACACCAGGCCGAATGGGCTCCAACACCCACGCTAGAGAAAGCCCCAACCACCTGACCCAGAGAGAACTTACAACTGGGCTCTGAACACAGAGAAAAGGTCCCAGCACCTGACCCAGACGCATCTACACAGGCTGAGTTTCCATTACAAACTCAGTACTGGATCACTACAACGCCATCCAGAAACTCCCGTAAAGAACCGAACATCCAAATGCGAGCACCCAGAGAGGGTCCCAGCACCCAAACCCTGAACACTAAGAGGAGATCCCAACACCCGAACCGGGTCCATTTGGATCTGCTTCCAACCCAGACCCAGAACATCCCGATTAGATGCCTACAATTGACTCAGATCTGGAGCCCACACCGGGAATGGACTCACCCAGTCCTCCCTCCTCCCCATCCAGCCTCGGTGAGGCTCATCCTGAGAGGTCTTCCAAGTTCGAAGACTTTTTCTGCCGATATGTGTGACCATCGATCGGGATGACTGCGACTGGGGAAGGGAGCAGGAGGCCAGGCCTGTTCCCTTTGGGGGAAAGGGGAGGGGATCCAGTTTGCAGGGCTAGGGTGGGAGCGGGCAGGCGGGGTGTGCGCCCCGGCCGCTTCCAGTCGGCGCGGGAGCTGGGACGGAAGCTGTGCGCCCTCGGAGCCCCTGCAGTCCCCTCACCGGGCGCTCCCAAACAGCCCGCGGGGCGCTGGGCGCGGGGCCAGGAAATCCGGCGCCGGCCCTTGAAGCGCACCCGGGCCGGGAGGGGGCGGCGGGGGCGGCGGGGGCGGGCTGGGCGCTGGCACCACGACCGCCCGCTGAGCAACGTGACTGCGCGGGCTCGGGTCCCCACCAGGACAAGGCGGCCTCTGTGCCGACCCAGCTGATTCCTCTCGGGCTGCAAATCCCTTCCGGCTGACAGCCCTGCCGGCTGGGGCCAGGCAAGGGAACGGGAAGCGGGGTTGGGGGCGAGGTGGGCGCTGAGGATTGGAGCCCATTGGCGGGAGGCCCCCAGGAAGGCCGTCTGCTCCGTACATCCAGGGTAGCAAAGGCTACCGTTCCCGGACAGAGAAGCCGAGGCTAGGAGAGGTCCAATTACTAGCCCAAGTCGCACAACTTGTTTCTTGGTTAAAGCCAGAGTTCTAAATGACGCCCCATGATAAACTCTGTATTTGTTGTTGAGAGTTAGGTGGCGTTATTAGTCTCAGTTTATAAATGAAGGAATGTGAGGCTCAGAGTTGAAGCCGCCAGCCCAACGTCCTAAGACAAGAAGGGAGTGAGGCTGGGACTGGAGCCCAGGACTGCCTGCTCCAAAACATGGGGGCCAGGCAGTCCCAGCAGACCCCTGACCCCAGGTAATCACTGACAACAAGCCGGAGGCTCTGCCATGGGCCCGTCCCAGGGTCCCCCTGCTCATGGCCTTCTGTCTGGTTGGTTCAGTGTGGTGGACCCGAGGAATGAGTTCCGTTAATCTCCTGGAGGACAGATGTGGGGCTGAAGGAGGGAGATGGGGTGAGGGTGGAGGCGCCAGGTGGCTGGAGAGGGGACTGGAGGGCAATGCATCTGGGAAATGACTTTCCAGAGGTCCCTCTGCCCTCCCCCTGCAGCTGGGGACGGAGCTGGAACCCCAGAGGCCATGAGGGTGGGCTGGGGAACCATCCAGGATCCAGCCTCACCCTGGCCTCCCAGGAACAGGATGGGGATTGTCCCGTGAATTCTATGGAATTAAAAAATGGCACCTTCTCAGCGGGAAGGGAGCTCGGCTGGTTCCCGGGACTGTCTGGCTTCTGTCCTGACTCCTACAACTGCGGCGGCTTGGGACTTTTTCCATTCCTTGACCAAGATTTGACCTAGACAGGGAGTGTGGGGGCTCAGGGGAGGAGGGAGGATGGCAGGCGCATGGGGGCGACTGCTGAGTGGACACGTGACCTCCCGCTATGCATGTGCCTGTGTGTCTGCACAGAATGAATATCTCTGTGATGTTCTTATGCACATGTGCCTCTGAGAACGGATCGTGGTGGCTCTGGCGGGGTGGGCGTATTGTATCTGTGGGTGCTGTTTGTGCCTGGGCACCTTGACCCTGCCAGGATCTGCGTTATCTCTCCGAGTCTGTGTGTTTGTGGCTGAACCTGTATCTATGAGTCTTTGTGTGTGTCTGGGTTTCCGCCCCCAACAGAGCCTGAATGCCATTTTGCTGCCTGAATGTGCAGAGGAATGTAGGGGGCCAAGGGAGAGGGGAGCACATGTCCTGGGCTGTGGGCCTGCTGGTTATGGAAAACTACTGAGGCCTCCTGGAGCTGGGCAGGCCAGGCCCGGCCCAGAGCCAGGCTCTGCAGCTTTTGCCCTTCCAGGCTCCTCCCACCCCTTCTCTGCAGGGCTGGGGACCTGCTGAGATGGGTTCTTGGTGGAGCAGAGAGCATGGCCTCCCTCCCACCACTCCCCAGATGGTTTGCCAGGCCTGGGGGAAAAGTAAGAGGGCGAGATTAGTTTCCTCTGAAGTCCTCCCAGCCCCAACATTCTCTCCATTCTGTGAATGTTAAAGGGATTTTAAAAAGGCAACTTCACCTCTATTTTGGGGGATGGTGAAAGCAGTAGGGTCTCAGACTGTTAGAGCAAGAAGGCTCCTAAAGATTATCTAGTCCCACCCCCTCCGTCTTACAGATGAGGGCACAGGCCCAGAGTGAGGGATCTGGATCCCCCAATCACCTTCTGGAAGGGCAAGGACCATGTTATCAGGTCCGCTGTCTCCCCATCACCACAGGCCTCTCCTCCATCATGCTGCATGACCTACCCTGGGTAGAGGAAGAGGAATTTGAGAAGGCCTTGGAGGGAGCATTTTGACATATGGAGGTGGGGTTGAGACTCTGGGTGGCAAGAAGACATGGGTTAAGGTGTGGAAGTGGGCAGCTGAGGAGTGCGGTCAGAATGGAGAGTGGGACAATTGGACACACTGGGTCCTAGGACTGAAATGGCGTGTCTGAGCTATACATGAGGGTCCCCGCAGACCAGGTGGAAGCATGTGGACTTTATCCTGTAGGTGATTCTGGTAAGAGGTAAAATTGCCATGTAGCTGAGTGGTTTAGGGCACATGATCTGCAGTCGAATCAGATTATCTTGTATTCCAATCCCAGCTCTAAGACTTTGGTAACTGTATAACCACACATCCCTGAGCAGATTAAACGCTCCATACCTCACTTTTCTCATCATTGGAATGGAGGTAATAGGCCATGCATGGTGGCTTGCATCTATAATCCCAGCACTTTGGGAGGCCGAGACAGGACAATAGCTTGAGTCCAGGAGTTTGAGACCAGCCTGGACAATGTAGTGAGGCCTTGTCTCTATTAAGAAAAAAAAAAAAAGAAATGGAGATAATGATAGTATTTCCCTTCCATGTTTGTCTTGAGGAATAAAGGAGAATACAGGCAAAGCCCTCAATGCCTGACACTGGTCAGTGCTCAGTAATAGCTGTGATGCTCCTGGTGGTGAGGCCTGTATTTAAGGCTAGCCCAGAGGGACAGAGAGAGGACAGGGACACCAGTGGGGAGTCCACGAGAATCATGTGGATGAGATGCCACGCTGAGGTCCATGACGCTGTCCCCTGGGTTAACTGGCTGGAGTCCTCAGCAGGGCTGCAGGAAGGTGGGCAGAACCCCCTCCACTGAGTGGCCTTGAGTTTGTTCCTGGGTGACCAGCACCTGAAAAACCATTTTCAGAGGAGGATTGGTGGGATGGGGAGGAGACTGGGGAGAGATGGGGCTCAGCTTCTGACAGCCTGAGGGTAGTGGGGTGGGGCCCGGGAGAGATTTGGGAAGCTCAGGTCACTCATTGCTCGTGGTGCTGGAAGTTGCTGGTTTGGGTGAGGTCATGCACCAGCCTAAGAGAGAGGAAAGGTGCCCTGCAACCCAGGGAACCCCTTTTGAGCCAGACCCTTGGGAGAAGCAGCAGCCACAGGGGCTAAGGAAACCAAGGTAAGCAGTGGTCAGAGAAGGTGAGGGAAGAATGTGCTTCAAGGAGGGAGCAGTCAAGACAGCCCCGTCTGGGGAAACAGCCAGGTGAGGAGGTAGAGGTGGAGGAAAAGGCAGCACAGAGGCCATGGGCTTTGGCATTGAAGAGGCCACCTCTGTAGAATCTGCTTTGCAGAAGAGGGAACAAAACCCAAGCTGCGGCTAGATGAGGGATTAATTAATGGGATGGGGAAGTGGAAACAGAGGCAGGTGTCCTGTGACTGCTCAGCAGCTTGGCTGAGGAGAAGGGGGAACGATTTGTGGCAGCCAGACAGGGGAGGTTCGGAGCCTTCTGGGGATGGGATGACAGGGGTGATATTCTCATATTTCCAGTGGAGAAACTGAGGCTCAGAGGGTTAAGAAGCTTGTGCAAAGTCACGATAAATTATTGGGGGAAGGCAGCCCAAGATCTCTGACTCTTAATGTAGTAATTTTCTAAATGGACAATTGAAATAGTGTAATACACACACACACACACACACACGGATATTAGTTCTGATCATAGAAGTAAAACATGTGCATGGGAGAAACCTAGAAACATGTGCAAAAATGTAAGAGAAAAACACAAAAATCACCTGTAATTCTACCACACAGAGATAAATGTTTTTACCATTGTGTGTCATGACTTTCTACTTTTTTCCTCTGCAAGTATACGTAAATACATACTGGGATCATGTTGCACAAGGTGTTTTGTAAATCCCTTGTTTCATTTAGTAACATAGCATAAATGCTTTTCCATAAGAATAAATATTCCTTGAGAATTTTTTTTTCTCTTTTAGCTCACAGTCTAGGCAGGAAGATAAGACTTACAGATGGGATTCTACAGTAAGCAGTCAAGCAAAATTCATGAGGTGGTGGCGAAGTGGCTGCATCCCTGGACTGGGAGCACAGTGAGCTGGCTCTTTGGCTTCTGACTTGTCCACTGATTGGTTATGTGGCCTTCAGCACACATAACGTATTTGGGCCTCAGAATCCCAGATATCTCCAAAGGGTTATCAATGAGTCTCTCAAGGCAAGCTGTCATGATGACAAAAGTGTTGAGGGAGAGTCTTAGAAAATGAAACCATGCCGGGCACGGTGGCTCACACCTGTAATCTTAGTATTCTGGGAGGCTGAGGTGGGTGGATCACCTTAGGTCAGGAGTTCAAGACCAGCCTGGCCAACACGATGAAACCCCATCTCTAAAATACAAAAATGAGCTGGGCATGGTGGCACGTGTCTGTAGTCCCAGCTACTCGGGAGTCTGAGGCAAAATAATCACTTGAACCCAGGAGGCGGAGGCTGCAGTGAGCTGAGATCACACCACGGCACTTCAGCCTGGGCAACAGAGCGAAACTCCATCTCAAAATAAAACCCAACAACAACAAAAAGGAAATGAAACCACATTATCATCATGATTCCGCAGGTCAATTTCTTTATCTGAAACTTGGGAAGCGTGTTTACCTACCTTGCCTGCCAGGATTGGTGATAATCAAATTAGATTAATTATTATTTTTTTTGAGACGGAGTCTCGCTCTGTCACCCAGGCTGGAGTGCAGTGACATGATCTCAGCTCACTGCAGTCTCTGCCTCCTGGGTTCCAGCAATTCTTCTGCCTCAGCCTCCCAGGTAGCTGGGATTACAAGCATGTACCATTACGCCTGGCTAATTTTTGTATTTTTCATAGAGACAGGGTTTCACCATGTAGGCCAAGCTGGTCTTGAACTCCTGACCTCAGGTGATCCGCCCACATTGGGCTCCCAAAATGCTAGGATTACAGGCTTGGGCCACCATGCCCGGCCTAGATTAATTATGATGTCTAAAAACAACTAATATTTGGACAATGTTTTGCTGTTTACCCACATTATCTCACTTAATCATTCCAACAATCCTATGGGGTAGGTACTGTTTTTGTATTCTATGTTTCCGGATAAGGAAACCATGGCTTGGAGAGATGGTGTCACTTGCTCAAGGTCAAAGGTAGTGAGTGGTAGAGTTGGGATTCAAACGTAGCTCTCCTTGTTACTAAAGCCATGAATCTTTGCACTGTGCCATTGTGATGTGTGATGCAGGCCTGCAGAGCAGTAGAGGGACATGGAAAAGAGGAAAAGAGAAAAAAAAGAGTAGAAAGTCAAGCTGCTTCATCCTTGGTTTAGCCGTTGTCGTCCCAGGTACCAACATCTGTGGGGAGTTGCCGCCCCCTGGTGTTCTATATGTGATATGTCCTGGAAGGGAGGAGAGCTAGCAATCTGCTTGCTCCACAGTAAAAGTGGGAGGAAGGAGCTCAGAATACCCCAGCTTGTCCTTTTAGAGTCGGGACGGGGGGTGGTGGTGGGTGCATATTTCACCCAACAGTTCTGGGTAGAAGCTTGGTATATTTCAGCCCCTACTTGCTCCTTATCTGGGTGCCCTAGTGCAGGGTTAGTGGCCACTTTGACAATATTCTATTTCTGACTCAAGTGCTAGTTAGAAGGGTGTTACATCATAATTATTCTTTAAACTCTCCATTAATGTTTCATATGCTCTTCTGTATCTATGATACAACTCAATAGAAAAAATAGGATTTTTGGCAATTCTTAGGGAATAATTTTTACTCTGGGCCGAAAAAATTTGTCATTGGCATAGCATCAAATGGCAGAGTGGTACAGCCAACACCTGAAGATGTGTACTTTAAAGGGCTTTTTCACCTGTTACCTCATTTTACAGTACCATAGCCTTCCAAGGAAGGTATTTATTTTCATTTTACTTATGAGAAAATAGGCTCAAGATTCCCCCGACCCCGCCATCCACCTGTCTGAAACCAGGAAACTTTCCAGAATCCCACACTGCCCCATTGTGGCAGCCCTTATGGCTCACTCAGTAAATAGGCCATAGTGGCATGCCCAAATGAGATCCATGTTGCCTCCAAAATCTAATGTGATGCTTCTTTCTTTGTGATGGGAGATGCCAGATGCAACAACTATCCTTAATCTTACAAGGGATATTTTCATGTTCACCTTATAAACGATATTTTGATGTGCTAGAGAGCTCTGGAAGCAAGAAATTTCACTAAGGTGGTAGATTCCTTAGTTTTTGTTTGGGATTTGTTCCATACCATCTGGTATATATGTGTCTTACCAGCGTGTCTAGGGTATCAAGTAATACTCACCTAGTCCAATCAATATGATTTTATCGTGTAGTAGGCCAGCATGATCTCCTATGAAATGGGGAAATTATTAGGTCCTAGCAGGCTAGAGTTTGATAGAGGGCTGGACAGTTGATATAGCTTTGAGTGAAGAAAGTGAAGTTGTATTGTTAACTCCACCAGGTAAATGCATTCTGCTTCTAGAGGTCCCTACTGACTGACATTCCTAGCTCTCTGTCTTTGGATATCTTGTTCTATAGTGTACCAAGGATGTTTTGGCCTTTCTCCTTAATGTAATATAGGCCACCATTAAGTCCAAGTTTCAGTTAGCCAGCCCAGTAAGCTGTTATAGCCACTATCAGTTTCTTGAGCTAACATATCTGTATCAATGAATTCAGTGCAATCAAAAATTACATTTTTCTCTCTCTCTGGTATAACACTCTTGTAATCCACTTCCCTAAATATTTCCCAGGCTTTTACTAGTATAGCCTTGCAAAATGTATACTGGCAAAACCTTGCAGTTCTTTTGGTGTTTTTGATATCTATTCTTCTTTTTTTTTTTTTTTTTTTTTTTTGAGATAGAATCTTGCTCTGTCACCCGGGCTGGAGTGCAGTGGCGCGATCTTGGCTCACTACAACCTCCATCTCCTGGGTTCAAGCAATTCTCCTGCCTCAACCTCCCGAGTAGCTGGGATTACAGGCACCCACCAGCTAATTTTGTATTTTTAGTAGAGATGGGGTTTCGCCATGTTGGCCAAGCTGGTCTCGAACTCCTGACCTCAGGTGATCCACCCGCCTCGGCCTCCTGAAGTGCTGGGATTACAGGCATGAGCCACTGCGCCTGGCCCCCTATTCTTTGTTAATTTGTATAAATTTAAGGTTGTACAAGTGTAGTTTTGTTACATGGATATTTTGAGTAGGCAAAATCTGGGCTTTTAGTGTATCCATCACCTGAATAGTGTACATTGTACCCATTAAGTAATTTCTCATCCCCCACCCTCCTCCCACTCCTCCACCCAATGTCTATCATTCCACACTCTATGCCCATGTGTACACATTATTTAGCTCCCACTTGTAAGTGAGAACATGTGTTATTTGACTGTTTCGGAGTTGTTTCACTTAGGATAATGGCCTCTAGTTCCATCCGTTTTGCTGTAAAAGACATGATTTCATTCTTTTTTTTTTTTTTTTTAATTTGAGACAGAGTCTCGCTCTGTCGCCCAGGCTGGAGTGCAGTGGTGGGATCTCGGCTCACTGCAAGCTCCGCCTCCCGGGTTCACGCCATTCTCCTGCCTCAGCCTCCGGAGTAGCTGGGACTACAGGTGCCCACCACAACGCCAGGCTAACTTTTTGTATTTTTAGTAGAGATGGGGTTTCACCATGTTAGCCAGGATGGTCTCGATCTCCTGATCTTGTAATCCGCCCGCCTCGGCCTCCCAAAGTGCTGGGATTACAGGTGTGAGCCACCGTGCCTGGCCAATTTCATTCTTTTTATGGCTGCATAGTATTCCATTGTGTATATATACCACATTTTCTTTATTCAGTCATCCATTTGGTTCCTATTCTTGAGTCACACTTTGTAGTCCGGTAGTCCTTCTTTCTCTTTGGATCTACTGTGATTTGAGTATTATTATGTGCCTGGAAGGAATGATGGATCATGCATATGGATTTTGAAAAGAATCAGTATGCCTCTTCAAGGTGATTACCTCTAGAAAGATAACTATAGAATCTTCTGGAAAGGGGCAGCTAACACCTTCAGATGAGAGGAAGGGCTGGTTTTCATGGCAAAAGAGAACTAGTATAATTTGGGGGCTCAAGGGGGTTTAAATCTACCGAAATGCCCCTATTACAATTCTCAGAATCTGTCTTTTTCTATCAACAATATAACTTTATATTTAAAAAGCAAGGCTGTGAATTTAATTTATATGTAATTTAGTCAACCACAGGAACAGATTCTGGTTTTCATAAATCTAGACTTTGCACTACAAAAAATAAGGGATTCCCTCAAGTTGGTCATATTTTCTGGCTTTCTACCTATGTAGCCAGCTGAGAATTTAAAGCTCTGACTTTGCCATATTATTTCTCCAACATGCTCAGAAGAAGCCAGCCCGTCCTATAGTCTTTGTATTCCTTATTTCTATCATAATGTTCTTTTTTAAATCTATTTTTTATTCCTCCTTTCTTTGCCAACCAAGAAGCAGCACTGGAATTTTTATGATAATGTTCTATTACTATAGCTACTTAGTAATAAGTAGCTTATTAAGGTAATTTTACACAGTATTTAAAATAATATATGCAACCCATCATGTGAGGTCAGGTGTGAAATTCTCCTCTTGTGGCGTCATGTTAGAGCTCAAAAAGTTCTAGGCGTTAGACAATTGTGGATTAAGCTACTAATTACTAGCCTTGTCATTGATAGGTCCTTGATTATAACCATTTGTAGGTAATAATTTAAGTAACTGCATTAATGTTGCATCCCATGGACTAGCAGTATCCCCTTTTCCACATGGATATGACAGCCACATATCATAAGAGGACATGAACAGATCTGAGTGATGCCAGGGGTGGGTTGTGTCAAACCCAGTTTAGGTGCCTCCTTAGATTTGCTCATGTCGCCTGCTCCAGGATCCCCCACCTTTTGTTCAATGGAGAGCCCCGTCCCCCGCCCCTCCCCCACCCACCATGCCTCATCTCCTAACACCACCAGGGTGTGTATCAGGGTGTGGCTTTCAGTACAAACTGTTGGCAAGCTGTTCTGCATGAGCACGTAGCTACCTGGGCCTTCTTGTGAAGTTCGGTGACGCACCATCTTGTATTTGCTTTCTTTTCTCCCTGCTTGACTTCCCTTTTCCCCTCACTCTTATTGTCCTTGGATTGTACTTTCCAAGAAAGATTTAGCATGTAAACTTTGCCTCAGGTTCTCTTTTTTAAGGGACCTGGGCTAAGACAGGAGAACTCCAGAAGTGCAGTGACTGAGCCAAAAGTGGGTATTTTTTGGTTTGTTTTCTGTTTTTGTTTGTTGTTGTTGTTGAAAGCAAGAGAAATAGCTTAAGATAAAAAGGAGATAATTCTTTTAAGGGAATGTAATTCAAAGAATCAAAGAAAAGACTGAACAAGTCCATAGACAAGATGGGAAGCAGGGAAAATCTGCTGATCTATGTAACAGAACCAATGGATGGTGTTAGTGGTACAGGTTGAACACCCCTATTCAGAAAATCCAAAATCTAAAATGCTCCAAAGCCTAAAACTTTTTGAACTCCTACAAGTAGAAATTTCACACCTGACCTCATGTGATGGGTTGCATATGTTATTTAAAATATTTTATAAAATTACATTCAGGCTATGTGTATAAGGTATACACAAAACATAAATGAATTGCATGTTTAGACTTGGGTCCTATTCCAGAGATATCTCATTGTATATATAGAAATATCCCAAAATCTGCCAAAAATCCAAATCCAAAATCTGAAACACTTCTGGTCTCAAGCATATCAGATAAGGAATATTCAACCTGTAGTTTTAAAAGATGTCCACAAATCTTTCTATATTCCTGCCTTCAAGAGTTGGAATCTAATTCCCCTATAGGTGAGTGTGAACTATACCTAGTGACTGATTTCTACTGAATAAAACGTGTTAGAAATGGTAGTGTGTGACTTCTGAGGCTAGGCCATAGAAAGAATTGTGGCTTTCACCTTACTCTGTCTTTGATCACCTGTTGCTGCCATGCCATGAAGACAGTAAAACAGCCCTGAGGTGGGAGGTGGGGGCTACAGGGTGAGGAACTGAGTCTTCCTGCCACCAGCCACATGAGTGGACCATCTCAGAGTCTATCCTCTTGTTTCAGTCAAGCTGGGACTGCAGATGACTTCAGCTTGGCTGACATCTTTAATACAATCTCACAAGAGACCCCGGGCCAGAACTATCAGCTAAGAACCTACAGAAACTGTGAGATAATAAATACTTGTTATTTTAAGCCACTGAGTTTTGGTGTAATCTGTTGTGAAGCAGCAAATAACTAATACAGTATTGTTAAGGTATCCTCAGTGATTATGGATCTTTGTGTCACCATTATCATCCCCATCTGCAAATAGGGATAATAATAGTACCTTACTTATACAGTTGTTTATAAGGATATAAAACACTCAAGATAGTGCCTAGAACAGAGTGAGGATATCTACTGACTAGTAGATATTAGCCGTAGTGATAGTACTGCAGCTGCTACTACTACTAACATCTATTGACTTCTCGCTCTGTAATCTCAAGATTCAAATTCTCAGGAAAGAGAATATGATTAACTTCTCTTGGGTTATATGCTCTTCTCTTTGGTAAGGGAGAACAGGGCACTTTGATAAGAAATCCCACCAAGTCTATATTTCCTCAAAGGAAATTAAGATGTTATTGCGAGATTAAGGGACAATGTTTGCAAGGCAGGCAAAAACAATACCCTCTACACAGATCGTGTGTGTACATATATATATATATATATATATATATATATATATATATATATATATTTTTTTTTTTTTTTTTTTTTTTTTTTTTTTTGAGACGGAGTCTCGCTGTCACCCAGGCTGGAATGCAGTGTATATATTTTTAAGGCTTTTTGAATATAAACCCAAATTGCTTTCCCAAAATATATCAAATATATCAATCTGTGCTCCTACCAATAGCACAAGAGTAGCCTTCTCACTTCATCTTTGCCAACATTGCTACTATCCTGAAGAAGGCAGAAAGAGCCAGATTAATGGATGGAAAATAACATCTTATTGTTTAAATCTGTGTATTAGTCCATTCTCGCACTGCTATAAAGAAAAGCCAGCTGGGCACAGTGGCTCATGCCTGTAATCCCAGCACTTTGGGAGGCTGAGGCAGATGGATCACCTGAGGTCAAGAGTTTGAGACCAGCCTGGCCAACATGGTGAAACCCATCTCTACTAAAAATACAAAAATTAGCCAGGCGTGGTGGCACATGCCCATAATCCCAGCTACTTGGGAGGCTGAGGCAGGAAAATTGCTTGAACCCAGGAGGCAGAGGTTGAACCCAGGAGGCAGAGGTTGAACCCAGGAGGCAGAGGTTGCAGTGAGCGGCGATCACGCCAGTGCACTCCAGCCTGGGCGACAGAGTGAAACTCTGTCTCAAAAAAAAAAAAAAAAAAGAAATGCCTGATCATGTTGTTGGCCCCCCTGCCAAAAAAAGAGAAATGCCTGAGACTGGGTAATTTATAAAGAAATGAGATTTAGGCCAGGCACAGTGGCTCACGCCTGTAATCCCAGCACTTTGGGAGGCCGAGGTGGGTGGATTACCTGAGGTCAGGAGTTCAAGATTAGCCTGACCAGCATGGCAAAACCCTGTCTCTACTGAAAATACAAAATTAGCCGGGCGTGGTGGTGGGCGCCTATAATCCCAGCTACTTGGGAGGCTGAAGTAAGAGAATCGCTTGAACCCGGGGAGGTGGAGGTTGCAGTGAGCTGAGATCATGCCACTGCACTCCAGTATGGGCAACGAGAGAGAAACTCCATCTCAGAAAATGAATAAATAAGGTTGAATTGGCTCATAATTCTGCAGGCTGTACAGGAAGCATAGTGCCTTCTGTTTCTGGGGAGACCTCAGGGAACTTACTATACAATCATGGCAGAA
Source organism: Homo sapiens (assembly GCF_000001405.40). Lineage (NCBI taxonomy): Eukaryota > Metazoa > Chordata > Mammalia > Primates > Hominidae > Homo > Homo sapiens. Next base: position 43,080,377 of record NC_000001.11, read on the forward strand.
GGTGAAGGGGAAGCAGGTATGTCTTACATGGCTGGAGCAGGAGGAAGAGAGAGAAGGGGCAGATGCCACAGGCTTTTAAACAACCAGATCTCATGAGAACTCTATCAAGAGAATAGCACTTTGGGGATGGTGATAACTATTCATGAGAAACCACCTCCATGCTCCAATCACCTCCCACCAGGCCCCACCTCCAACACTAAGGATTACAATCCGACATGAGATTTGGGAGGGGCCACAAATCCAAACCATATCAGTCTGCAATTCTTTACTTGTGAGGTTGGACATGTTTCCATGTTTTTATTGGCCATCTGTATATCTCATATCGTGAATTATGGGAATTGAGACTCTCAAGATAGAGAAGCTGAATAGTACCGGAGACAGTGGTGAGCAATGAATCCTACAAAGCACACAATTGAAATCCTATGAATGATGAGGACATGCCTGAGAATCTTTGGTATTAAATGTGAAGAATTCTCGAAACAGAAGAGACATATAACTAGGCAAAACCTATTAACAGACTGTATTCTTGGAAATTATCCTGCTACTTTGTGATTTTACTATTAGATAAAAATTGGTATAAAATATTTATAGCCAGATACAAGAATGAATGTGACTGGACAAAACCTGAAATAGAAGCAAATTGTCTCTGTATGAAAGTATGATATCTGGAAATGTTGGTATGAACAACTTGACCCCTAAAAGTTAACTGATCTTAGATTACCAGTGTCAATATTTAGTATAAAAGGCTATGTATGCAATAAAACTTTGGAATTCTCCTACTGAAGGTAGACATTCCTCTAGTTATTAGAAATAAATCCAGGTGTCTGAAAATCTAAGTATTCTGGGTTTTGTTGTCTTTGTTTTGCTACAACTTGGACTAAAAGCTTTGTCTTTTAACTTCATAATGTTAGACTTACAGAAAAGTTGCAACAAAGCTACAATAATACAAAAACCCAATGAGCACTTCACATATTTCTCTGTGTGTGTGTGTATACTTTTTCTGAATTTTCAAGAGTAAGTTGCAGAAATGATGCTCCTTTACTCCTAAATATTTCAGTGTATATGTAGGCCCCAAACAAGAACATTATCTTAATAACCTCAATATAATGATCAAAACCAGGAAATTAACATCAATACCTACTATTTTGTAATCTACAGACCTTGTTGAGATATCTCCAGATTTTCTAACAGAGTTCTTTATAGCAAAAGAAGATTTTTATTCAAGGATTGATTCCAGTTGCCATGTCTTTTTTTTTTTTTTTTTGAGATGGAGTCTCGTTCTGTCGCCCAGGCTGGAGTGCAATGGCATGATCTCGGCTTACTGCAACCTCCGCCTCCCAGGTTCATGCCATTTTCCTGCCTCAGCCTGCCAAGTAGCTGGGACCACAGGTGCCTGCCACCATGCCAAACTAATTTTTTGTATTTTTAGTAGAGATGGGGTTTCACTGTGTTAGCCAGGATGGTCTCAATCTCTTGACCTTGTTATCAGCCCACCTTGGCCTCCCAAAGTGCTGGGATTACAGGTGTGAGCCACCGTGCCTGGCCTAGTCTTTTTTTTTTTTTTGAGACGGAGTCTTGCTCTGTCACCCAGGCTGGAGTGCATTGGCACAATCTCCACTCACTGCAACCTCTGCCTCCTGGGTTCAAGCAATTCTCCTGCCTCAGCCTCCTGAGTAGCTGGGATTACAGGCTTACACCACTAGCCTGGCTACTTTTTGTATTTTTAGTAGAGACGGTGTTTCACCATGTTGGCCAGGCTGGTCTTGAACTCCTGACCTCATGGTCCACCCAACTTGGCCTCTCAAAGTGCTGAGATTACAGGTGTGAGCCACCGTGCCCAGCTCTTTAGTTTGTTTTTGTTTTTTGTTTTTGTTTTATAGAGGGAGTCTTGCTCTGTCACCAGGTTGGAGTGCAGTGGCACCATCTCAGCTCACTGCAACCTCTGACTTCCGTGTTCAAGCGATTCTCCTGCCCTAGCCTCCCGAGTAACTGGGATTACAGGCACGCACCACCACCCCAGCTGATTTTTGTATTTTTAGTAGAGACAGGGGTTTCAGCATGTTGGCCAGGATAGTCTTGAACTCCTGACCTCATGATCCACAAAGTGCTGGGATTACAGGAGTGAGCCACTGTGCCTGGCAGGATCTTTTCTTCTTTCTTTTCTTTTTTTTCCATAAAACATTTGATGTGTTTGAAGGCACTAGTATATCAACTTCCTATTGCCACTGTAACAAATTACTACAAAGTTAGTGGCTTAAAATGACACTAATTATTTTACAAGTCTGGAGGTGTAAAGTCTGAAGCGGGTCTCACTGGGCTCAAATCAAGTGCTGGCAGGGCTATACTCCTTCTGAAGGCTCTAGAGGATAATCCATTCCTATCTTCTAGAGGCCACCTCCTTTCCTTGGCTCAAGGCTTCATTCTTCCATTTTCAAAGCCAGCAACGTTATGCTGCCATCCATCTTGTTCTCTCTCTTTTGTCTCCGTCTTCCACTTATAAGGACTCTTGTGATTACATTAGGCGCTCCCTCTGGATAATCCAGGATTATCCCCATCTCACAATCAGCTGACTGGCAACTCCCATTCCATCTGCAATCCTATTGCCCGTTTGCCGTGTAATCTAACATATTCATGGGTTCTGAAGATCAGGACGTGGACATCTGCTCACCACAATGAGCCACTTTATTTTTAGAATGTTGTTTAATTTTGGCTTGTCTGATGCTTCCTAGTGATTAGATTCAGGTTATGCACTTTTGGAAGAAATATCACAGATTTTTTTAGTCAATTGATCTTATATCTGGACACTTTGCTTAACTCTTGTATGGGTTTTAGTTTCTTGATTATTTTGGATTTTCTGTGTATTCTCATATCATCTGTGAATAGTAATAATATATTTTTCCTTCCCATTTTTACACTTACTATTTTTCTCATTGTTTTGACCAGGACTTCTAGCATCATGTTAAACACTTAACTGGGATACCAGGCATGTTTTTCCTTGTTCTTGATCTTACTGGAATGGATCTAAAATTCTATGCTAAGTCTGTATAATGTGCTATAGGGTTTTATCAAATTAAGAAAAATCCCTTCTATTCTAACTTTGTGAAATATTTTTTCATTAAAAGAAGTTGAACTTTGTAGGAGTTGTCCCTTGCCCTTTGAAGCACATGTGTCTTACCAAGGCATTCAGAGTTCTGGCCACATTTTACTCACTAGGTCCAACTAACATGACATCATCAAAGTGGTCTGTGGGGTGGTCAAACAGTTCAAGATTCTTTGGATTCTATTATAACAGGGAGAAGAAGAATTTACATAGCCCTGGAGAAATGTGAATTTTGTGAATGTAAACATGAAACCTGTGAATGCATAATGCTGTCCGTCCTATGTAAATGCAAACTCCTATGGATCCTCCTAAACAAAACAAAATATCCAAACACCTTTAGTCCTTCCTTACCAAAAAGCTCATCTTTCATACCTCATAACTTTACTTACCAAAAACATGTCTTACTTTCCTCACATATGGAGTTATTCTCCTTTTCCTTTTTAATTTTAATTGCCATATATTGATTAGTATTTTTACAAACTCTTAGAAACCTTAATTTTCAATAAAAACTAGCAAGCATTGTAAACTGTCCTATCATTTTATAATTTCTAGAAACAGGTGCTTCCTCATAGAACAATTTTTTCATGTTTGCTAACAGACCCAAATATATTTAGTCTTTTTATAAAATTTTAAAAGCCAAAAATAAAATTAAACTTGTGTTCAGTAATTTATGTTTTAGTATTTTATGTTAATTGGAAATAACATAGTTATTCAATGAATAGCTATCATTTAATTTAACCTAGCAAAACTCTAAGGGTACAGTTACTAAAGAGATTTAGAAAACTTTTTTTTTTTTTTTGAGACGGCGTCTTGCTTTGTCGCCTAGGCTGGAATGCAGTGACGCGATCTGGGCTCACTGCAAGCTCCACCTCCGGGGTTCATGCCATTCTCCTGCCTCAGCCTCCTGAGTAGCTAGGACCACAGGCGCCCGCCACCACGCCCAGCTAATTTTTTTTTTTTTTGTATTTTTAGTAGAGACGGGGTTTCACTGTGTTAGCCAGGATGGTCTCGATCTCCTGACCTCGTGATCCGCCCTCCTCGGCCTCCCAAAGTGCTGCGATTGCAGGCATGAACCACTGCGCCCAGCCTTAGGAAACAGTTTTTAAGCAGACATATTATAAAACATAATTGTTGTTAAAAAGTTCATTTATAAACTTTATCCAAGTTATAGCTATTTAGATCACTTTTTTTTTAACAATTATGCCTAGAATACTCATGAAAATTAAATGAGACATTAGAGACAAAGTTAGCCATCTTTTTAGGTTATTTCCCCATTAACCATTTATACATCATGAGCATATCAGGCAGTCATTGCTGAAGCAGGAACCCTAAAGTAAAATACATGGGTATTTCATTGATAACCCAGAAGACACAGCTGTTTTCATTAAACCAAATGATATTAAGCTTGTCTTATTTGCCAAAGACTCATCTACGTCACGTGAACTTGACAAGCATGTTGGGTTAGTTCCCATATTTCTAGCAGTTTTAGGTATTGCTCATTTATTTCTAAGCCAATTCAAATAATGCTTTTTACAAATATTAGTAGAAAAGACCTTTAAGATATTTCATTTGCTCAATTTTTAAATAGCCAAAAATCATGCCCACGAGAAAGAAAGTAGACAGATGGGGCACAGCATACAGTTAGCAGGGGTCCAAGAAGAGGGGCTTAGTTGACTGAGAAGTTTTCATGGGAGAAGCAGGATCCAATAGAGACAATAGAAAGCTCCCCCCTCTCCCCACCCCCACCAAAATTACAAGCTTCCAATTAAGCTGACTTATGTTGATAGAGCTCTTTAAAAGTCCTTTAAAAATATCTTATAATCAGGTTTCAGCTGGGACAAACAGCAAATATTCCTGGCAATATTAAATTCCTTTTTTTTCCCCGTGAGTATATGGTTCCATTTCAGCTTAGGAGAGAAGGCCAAACAAACAAAAAAGACCTTCCTATCATGCTGCAAATATACAAATAATTCAAACTAATTTTTGCAAGTGTTTCTTTCCTAAGCTAAATAAATTTACTGAAAAAAGAATTTATGGCAGGTTTAAAGGATTTGAACTGTCAGGCCTCTGAGCCCAAGCCAAGCCATCGCATCCCCTGTGACTTGCACGTATACGCCCAGGTGGCCTGAAGTAACTGAAGAATCACGAAAGAAGTGAAAATGCCCGGCCCTGCCTTAACTGATGACATTGTCTTGTGAAATTCCTTCTCCTGGCTCATCCTGGCTCAAAAGCTCCCCCACTGAGTACCTTGTGACCCCCACTCCTGCCCGCCAGAAAACAACTCCCCTTTTTCCTTTACCTACCTAAATCCTATAAAACGACCCCACCCCATCTCCCTTCACTGACTCTCTTTTCAGACTCAGCCTGCCTGCACCCAGGTGAAATAAACAGCCATGTTGCTCACACAAAGCCTCTTTGGTGGTCTCTTCACACAGACGCGCATGAAATTTGGTGCCGTGACTCGGATCGGGGGACCTCCCTTAGGAGATCAATCCCCTGTCCTCCTGTTCTTTGCTCTGTGAGAAAGATCCACCTACAACCTCAGGTCCTCAGACCAACCAGCCCAAGAAACATCTCACCAATTTCAAATCCGGTAAGTGGCCTCTTTTTACTCTCTTCTCCAACCTCCCTCACTATCCCTCAACCTCTTTCTCCTTTCAATCTTGGCGCCACACTTCAATCTCTCCCTTCTTTTAATTTCAATTCCTTTCATTTTCTGGTAGAGACAAAGGAGACACGTTTTATCCGTGGACCCAAAACTCCAGCGCCGGTCGCGGACTGGGAAGGCAGCCTTCCCCTGGTGTTTAATCATTGCAGGGACACCTCTCTGATTATTCATCCATGCTTCAGAGGTGTCAGACCACGCAGGGATGCCTGCCTTGGTCCTTCACCCTTAGCGGCAAGTCCCACTTTTCTGGGGGAGGGGCAAGTACCCCAACCCCTTCTGTGTCTCTACCCCTTCTCGGCCTTTCTGGGAGGCAAGAAACCCCCAACCCCTTCTCCTTTACCCTTAGTGGCAAGTCCCACTTTTCTAAGGGAGGGGCAAGTACCCCAACCTCGTATCTCTGCACCCCAATCCCTTATTTCCACACCCCAACCTCTTATCTCTGCACCCTGATCCTTTATTTCCGTGCCCCGACCTCTTATCTCTGCACCCCAACCCCTTATTTCTGCGCCCCGACCCCTTTCCCCCTTTTCTGGAGGGTAAGAACCCCTGAACCACTTCCCTCCGTGTCTCTACTCTCCCTTTTCTTTAAACTTGCCTATAGGCAACCTTCCACCCTCCATTCCTCCTTCTTCTCCCTTAGCCTGTGTTCTTAAGAACATAAAACCTCTTCAACTCTCGCCTGACCTAAAACCTAAATGCCTTATTTTCTTCTACAATGCCACTTGACCCCAATACAAACTCGACAGCGGTTCCAAATAGCCAGAAAATGGCACTTTCAATTTTTTCCATCCTACAAGATCTAAATAATTCTTGTCATAAAATAGGCAAACGGTCTGAGGTGCCTGATGTCCAGGCATTCTTTTATACATTGTTCCCTCCCTAGTCTCTGTTCCCAATGTGACTCGTCCCAGATCCTCCTTCTTTCCCTCCCGCCTGTCCCCTCAGTCCCAACCCCAAGCGTCGCTAAGTCTTTCTAATCTTCCTTTTCTACAGACCCATCTGACCTCTCCCCTCCTTGCCAGGCCGAGCCAGGTCCCAATTCTTCCTCAGCCTCTGCTCCCCACCCTATAATCCTTTTATCACCTCCCCTCCTCACACCTGGTCCAGCTTACAGTTTCGTTCTGCGACTAGCCTTCCCCCACCTGCCCAGCAATTTCCTCTTAAAAAGGTGGCTGAAGCTAAAGGCATAGTCAAGGTTAATGCTCCTTTTTCTTTATCAGACCTCTCCCAAATCAGTGAGCATTTAGGCTCTTTCATCAAATATGAAAAACCCAGCCCAGTTCGTGGCTCATTCGGCAGCAACCCTGAGACGCTTTACAGCCCTAGACCCTAAAAAGTCAAAAGGCTGTCTTATTCTCAATATACATTTTATTACCCAATCTGCCCCCGACATTAAATAAAACTCCAAAAATTAAATTCCGGCCCTCAAACCCCACAACAGGACTTAATTAACCTCACCTTCAAGGTGTACAATAACAGAGTAGAGGCAGCCAAGTAGCAACATATTTCTGAGTTGCAATTCTTTGCCTCCACAGTGAGACAAACCCCAGCCACATCTCTAGCACACAAGAACTCCAAACGCCTGAACCGCAGCTGCCAAGGGTTCCTCCAGAATCTCCTCTCCCAGGAGCTTGCTACAAGTGCCGGAAATCTGGCCACTAGGCCAGGGAATGCCCACAGCCTGGGATTCCTCCTAAGCCGTGTCCCATCTGTGCAGGACCCCACTGGAAATCGGACTGTTCAACTCACCTGGCAGCCACTCCCAGAGCCCCTGGAACTCTGGCCCAAGGCTCTCTGACTGACTCCTTCCCAGATCTTCTTGGCTTAGCATCTGAAGACTGACACTGCCCGATTGCCTCAGAAGCCCACAGGACCATCACAGACACTCTAGGTAACTCTCACAGTAGAGAGTAAATCCGCCCACTTCTTAATCAATATGGAGGCTACTCACTCCACATTACCTTCTTTTCAAGGGCCTGTTTCCCTTGCTTCCATAACTGTTGTGAGTATTGACGGCCAGGCTTCTAAACCTCTTAAAACTCCCCAACTCTGGTGCCAACTTAGACAATACTCTTTTAAGCACTCCTTTTTAGTTATCCCCACCTGCCTAGTTCCCTTATTAGACCGAGACACTTTAACTAAATTATCTGCTTCCCTGACTATTCCTGGGCTACAGCCACACCTCATTGCCGCCTTTTCCCTCAGTTCAAAGCCTCTTTCACATCCTCCCCTTGTATCTCCCCACCTTAACCCACAAGTATGACACCTCTACTCCCTCCTTAGCGACCGATCATGCACCCCTTAACCATCCCATTAAAACCTAATCGCTCTTACCCCGCTCAATGCCAATATCCCATCCCACAGCATGCTTTGAAAGGATTAAAGCCTGTTATCACTCGCCTGTTACAGCATGGCCTTTTAAAGCCTATAAACTCTCCTTACCATTCCCCCATTTTACCTGTCCTAAAACCAGACAAGGCTTACAGGTTTGTTCAGGATCTGTGCCTTATCAACCAAATTGTTTTGCCTATCCACCCCGTGGTGCCAAACCCATATACTCTCCTATCCTCAATACCTCCCTCTACAACCCCTTATTCTGTTCTGGATCTCAAACATGCTTTCTTTACTATTCATTTGCACCCTTCATCCCAGCCTCTCTTCACTTTTACTTAGACTGACCCTGACACCCATTAGGCTCAACAAATTACCTGGGCTATACTGCCGCAAGGCTTCACAGACAGCCCCCATTACTTCAGTCAAGCCCAAATTTCATCCTCATCTGTTACCTATCTTGGCATAATTCTCATAAAAACACCTGTGCTCTCCCTGCTGGTCATGTCCAATTAATCTCCCAAACCTCAATTCCTTACAAAACAACAACTCCTTTCCTTCCTAGGCATGGTTAGTGCAGTCAGAATTCTTACACAAGAGCCAGGACCGCACCCTGTAGCCTTTTTGTCCAAATAACTTGACCCTACTGTTTTAGGCTGGCCATCATGTCTCCATGAAGCGGCTGCTGCTGCCCTAATACTTTTAGAGGCCCTCAAAATCACAAACTATGCTCAACTCACTCTCTACAGCTCTCATAATTTCCAAAATCTATTTTCTTCCTCACACCTGACACATATACTTTCTGCTCCCCGGCTCCTTCAGCTGTACTCACTCTTTGTTAAGTCTCCCACAATTACCATTGTTCCTGGCCCGGACTTCAATCCAGCCTCCCACATTATTCCTGATACCACACCTGACCCCCATAACTGTATCTCTCTGATCCACCTGACATTCACCCCATTTCCCCATATTTCCTTCTTTCCTGTTCCTCACCCTGATCATGCTTGATTTATTGATGGCAGTTCCACCAGGCCTAATCACCACACACCAGCAAAGGCAGGCTATGCTATAGTACAAGCGACTAGCCCGCCTCTTAGAACCTCACATTTCCTTTCCATCCTGGAAATCTATCCTCAAGGAAATCACTTCTCAGTGTTCCATTTGCTATTCTACTACCCCTCAGGGATTATTCAGGCCTCCTCCCTTTCCTACACATCAAGCTCGAGTCCTGCCCAAGACTGGCAAATTGAGTCAGAAAACTAAAATACCTCCTAGTCTAGGTAGACACTTTCACTGGATATGTAGAGGCCTTTCCTACAGGGTCTGAGAAGGCCACCGCAGTCATTTCTTCTGTCAGACATAATTCCTCGGTTTGGCCTTCCCAGCTCTATGCAGTCCGATAGCAGACCGGCCTTTACTAGTCAAATCACCCAAGCAGTTTCTCATGCTCTTGGTATTCGGTAGAACCTTCATATCCCTTACAGTCCTCAGTCTTCAGGAAAAGTAGAACAGACTAATAGTCTTTTAAAAACACACCTCACCAAGCTCAGCCACCAACTTAAAAAGGACTAGACAATACTTTCACCACTTTCCCTTCTCAGAATTCAGGCCTGTCCTCAGAATGCTACAGGCTACAGCCCATTTGAGCTCCTGTATAGACGCTCCTTTTTATTAGGCCCCAGTCTCATTCCAGACACCAGACCAACTTAGGCTGTGCCCCCAAAAAACTTGTCATCCCTACTATCTTCTATCTAGTCATATGCCTATTCACCATTCTCAACTACTCATACATGCCCTGCTCTTGTTTACACTGCTGGTTTACACTGTTTCTCCAAGCCATCACAGCTGATATCTCCTGGTGCTATCCCCAAACTGCCACTCTTAACTCTTGAAGTAAATAAATCATCTTTGCTGGCAGGACTATGCTGAATCTCCTCAGGCACTCTCTAATCAGATGTCCTAGGTCCTCCCAATTCTTAGACCTTTTATAACTGTTTTCCTCCTTCTCTTATTCCATTTAGTTTTTCAATTCATACAAAACCGTATCCAGCCCATCACCAATAATTCTACACGACAAATGTTTCTTCTAACAACCCCACAATATCACCCCTTACCACAAAATCTTCCTTCAGCTTAATCTCTCCCACTCTAGGTTCCCACACCGCCCCAATCCCGCTTGAAGCAGCCCTGAGAAACATCGCCCATTCTCTCTCCATACCACCCCCCAAAAATTTTCGCCATCCCAACACTTCAACACTATTTTGTTTTATTTTTCTTATTAATATAAGAAGGCAGGAATGTCAGGCCTCTGAGCCCAAGCCAAGCCATCGCATCCCCTGTGACTTGCACGTATACGCTCAGATGGCCTGAAGTAACTGAAGAATCACAAAAGAAGTGAAAATGCCCGGCCCTGCCTTAACTGATGACATTGTCTTGTGAAATTCCTTCTCCTGGCTCATTCTGGCTCAAAAGCTCCCCCACTGAGTACCTTGTGACCCCCACTCCTGCCCGCTAGAGAACAACTCCCCTTTTTCCTTTACCTACCCAAATCCTATAAAACAGCCCCACCCCATCTCCCTTTGCTGACTCTCTTTTCGGACTCAGCCCGCCTGCACCCAGGTGAAATAGCCATGTTGCTTACACAAAGCCTGTTTGGTGGCCTCTCCACATGGACGTGCATGAAATGAACTTTGTTCTGATTTTAGATTTTTAATCTGGTTAAGGGAGTCTCTAACACTAGCTGTTATACTGTTTTGTGTCTTAAAAAAATAAGTTAGTTACTCAAGCTCTTTGTCTTCTGCGAAGAGTCTTTTAAAAGAGGCAATAAAAATGTTTGAAATCATTTTAGGAGCTTCTGCACCTCAGCAGGTATCCCTGGTGGGGCTAATTTGGGAGCCTTCATTTTTAAATGCCCTTCTTAAAGTGCAGTGTTGTTCATATGGAATGTTCTACATAATGGTCATTGTAATTTTAAATTTTCTTTGGCATAATTTGCCCATCGGTTTAAAAATATGCAAGATAATGGGCCATAATGTTTGAATATGTGGCCGGCTAAAGTCTCTGAAGGAGCACTATCTTTGCATACCTTAGAATCTGGGATCCCATTCTGTTTCTTATTAATCTCTCAAGAGCGAAAGGAAAAACTCTACAAATACACTAGCTGCAAACAGGGTGCAACCTACATTTCTGTCTTGCCATGTATTAGCTGCAAATGGAACACAAACAACATTTCTGTTTGGTTATTCTTGGGGTGCTTCTAACCTTTTGGTCTGGTGCCTGCACATGCAGCTCCAATACCTGTGTGCCTCCAATAGACAGCAAGTCAAAATAGTGTTGACTCATGCCTGTTAAAATGTTATTTTGCTCTTGGAAGATGTTCAGAAACAAGAAAAATCTAGCTAACCTAAATTTTAAATTAGGTGTGCAGAAACCGAAAGAGTACTCACCAGATGGATGATGTCCCTGAGGCCTTTATAAAACCAGATCCTGAATAAAGTCAGAGCTCAACCAAAAGGAGTGAGTCCAAAATATATGAGGCGACTGACAGAAACAAAGAGGTGATTCATGAAAATGAAGAGCACAGCAGCTCAGGTGGGTACTGTACTCTATTCCTGGGGCCACCAGTCTCTCCAAGGTGAGCTTGCTTCCCTGTCACTTCTGACACCAGATTGTCAACTATAATGAGTGACAAAGAGACCAACTCTGCAAAGCAAAGAGTTTATTTGGGAATAGCAAAGGGATTGCAATCTGGGATATACATACTATGGCAACCATATGCATATCTGGAGAGGCTGGGGCAAAAGGAAACTTTTTTTTTTTTTTTTGAGATGGAGTCTCACTCTGTCTCCCAGGCTGGAGAGCAGTGGCATGATCTCGGCTGACTGCAACATTGCCTCCCGGGTTCAAGCGATTCTGCTGTCTCAGTCTCCCAAGTAGCTGGGACTACAGGTGCGCGCCACCACGCCCATCTAATTTTTGCATTTTTAGTAGAGACAGGGTTTCACCCTATTGGCCAGGCTGGTCTTGAGCTCCTGACCTCAAGTGATCTGCCCGCCTCAGCCACCCAAAGTGCTGGGATTACAGGCGTGAGCCACCATGCCCCTCCAGGAAACTTTTAAAGACAAAAAAAGAAGTCCACATAAGGTATTTTGAAACAAAGACCATAGGTTACAGGGGCTTGTTGCAGGAGCTGGCATCAATTCATTGGTGGAGACACTTGTTGCTAGATAAATGTCCTTGTGCCAGTGGTTACCTGGAATACAGCAGTCTTGAGGAAGTTCTTGTGATAAGTCCTGTTACTGGTCTATGTGCAGGAATTTCTTGTGGTAAGTCTTGTTATGAGGATGTATGCATAAGGGCTTCTTTTTCATGGCCTCCCCTGACTCCATTTTGTTAGAATTTGACATAAATGACTCCCTTTTGGTACTGGCAACTTTCACAGCTTCTTTTAAGAAATGCTGTATCTCAGTGCTAACAATGGTACAGAGAGAAATATTGTAAATGGACACCTCTGAATTTAAATGCAGCTCAGAAGAGTCAGACTATAAAGAGGCATTTTAGGACTACTTTTACATATGTATTTCACTGGGTAATGCACTCACAAATTTATTTCCTCTTCATGCAGGCACAGAAGTGATATATAATAACAATTTAAGAAAGCCCTTTTAATACCTATTTAATGGAAATTCAATGTGATAAAAAGCATGTTATAGTTTTATTGGTAGAGTTTTTTCTTAGTGGTACATAAAATAATGATGTTCTTAAAAACGGACATCTTAGATTTAATTACACGCAGCAGTACATACAGGACACTTAAAATGATATATGCTACATAGTGTATGCAAAAAATTGTAGCTGTTATTACTACTGTATCATTTTAGTTGTGTTTCTGGAGGAGGGGGAAGAGAACTCCCACTTTTTGTGTTAGTCAAGTATGGGAAAAACAGGGTCGGGGAAGACCTCTTAAAACCATTGCAGCTTTGTAATCACAGCAACGATAAGTGCAAAAATGATCCTAATGAAAAAAACTCACAAACTTTAAAAAAGGTTAAACTCCTAATGAGAAATAACTGTGAATTTAGGACTTTAGCTTAAAAGATGAAGGTAGCTTGATGAAGAGGATGTAAAGAAGGGATATAAGTGCTGATTTATGGAGATAAGTATAAAATACACAAATACCAGGGGAAACTTTACATCAGTTACTTCCATGACAGAGCTGTGGCCAAAAGGAAGACTGTGGAGCAAATGAGTATGATATACACGATGGATCAGAGTCTCCTTAGCTTGCTGCAGTCAGTCACATTAGTGTGCTCAAATTCAAATGTTGTTAGTTGGTGGTGGAAGGCATTAATATTCCGGAAAAATTACATATGAACCAGTGTAATGACTACCTAATAATGGCTTCATTCCCCTATATGCTAGTCACATGGAGCTAATCTGACTTACAGATGCTTGACTTAGAGCAGAACAGACTGAACATTCAACATTCTTAAATAAAAGAATTTTCTTTTTTCTTTCTTTTTTTTTTTTTTTTTTTAAGATGGAGTTTCACTCTTATCACCCAGGCTGGAGTGCAATGGCACAATCTCGGCTCACTGCAACCTCTGCCTTCTGGGTTCAAGTGATTCTCCTGCCTCAGCCTCTCGAGTAGCTGGGATTACAGGCATGTGCCACCACGGCCGGCTAATTTTGTATTTTTAGTAGAAACGGGGTTTCTCCATGTTGGTCAGGCTGGTCTTGAACTCCTGACCTCAGGTGATCTGCTTGCCTTGGCCTTCCAAAGTGCTGGGATTACAAGCGTGAGCCACCGCGCCCGGCCCAAGAAAAGAATTTTCAACACAGAATTTCATATCCAGCCAAACTAAGCTTCATAAGTGAAGGAGAAATAAAATCCCTTACAGACAAGCAAATACTGAGGGATTTTTCTCACCACCAGGCCTGCCTTACAAGAGCTCCTGAAGGAAGCACTAAACATGGAAAGGAAAAACTGGTACCATCCACTGCAAAAACATACCAAAATGTAAAGACCATTGAAACTATGAAGAAACGGCATCAACTAATGGACAAAATAACCAGCTAGCTTCATAATGACAGGATCAAATTCACACATAACAATATTAACCTTAAATGTAAATGGGCTAAATGCCCCAGTTAAAAGACACAGACTGGCAAATTGGATAAAGACTTAAGACCTGTCGGTGTGCTGTATTCAGGAGACCCATCTCACGTGCAAGGACACACATAGGCTCAAAATAAAGGCATGGAGGAAGATTTACCAAGCAAATGGAAAGCAAAAAAAGCAGGGGTTGCAATCCTAGTCTCTGATAAAACAGACTTTAAACCAACAAAGATCAAAAAAACAAAGAAGGGCATTACATAATGGTAAAGGGATCAATGCAACAAGAAGATCTAACTATCCTAAATATATATGCACCCAATACAGGAGTACCTAGATTCATAAAGCAAGTTCTTAGAGACCTACAAAGAGACTTAGACTCCCACACAATAATAGTGGGAGACTTTAACACCCCACTGTCAATATTAGACAGATCAACAAGACAGAAAATTAACAAGGATATTCAGGACTTGAACTCAGCTCTGGACCAAGAGGACCTAATAGACATCTACAGAACTCTCCACCCAAAATCAACAGAATATACATTGTTCTCCAGCACCACATAGCATCTATTCTAAAATTGACCACATAATGGGAAGTAAAACACTCCTCAGCAAATGCAAAAGAATGGAAATCATAACCAACAATCTCTCAGACCACAGTGTAATCAAATTAGAACTCAGTATTAAGAAACTTACTCAAAACCACACAACTATGTGGAAACTGAACAATCTGCTCCTGAATGACTACTGGCTAAATAACAAAATTAAGACAGATATAAATAAGTTCTTTGAAACCAGTGAGAACAAAGACACAACGTACCAGAATCTCTGGGACACAGCTAAATCAGTGTTTAGTGGGAAACTTATAGCACTATATGCCCACAGGAGAAAGCAGGAAAGATCTAAAATTGGCACCCTAACATCACAATTAAAAGAACTAGAGAAGCAAGAGCAAACAAATTCAATTCAAAAGCTAGCAGAAGACAAGAAATAACTAAGATCAGACCAAAACTGGCAAGACAATCCTAAGCAAAAAGAACAAAGCTGGAGGCATCATACCACCTGACTTCAAACTATACTACAAGGCTATAGTAACCAAAACAGCATGATACTAGTACTAAAACAGATATATAGGCCAATGGAACAGAATAGAGGCCTCAGAAATAATACCACACATCTACAACCATCTGATCTTTGACAAACCTGACAAAAACAAGCAATGGGGAAAGGATTTCCTATTTAATAAATGGTGTTGGGAAAACTGGCTAGCCACATGCAGAAAACTGAAACTGAACCCCTTCCCTACACCTTATACAAAAGTTAACTCAAGATTAATTAAATATTTAAATGTAAGACCTAAAACCATAAAAACCCAAGAAGAAAACCGAGGCAATACCATTCAGGACATAGGCATGGGCAAAGACTTCATGACTAAAATACCAAAAGCAATTGCAACAAATACCAAAATTGACAAATGGGATCTAATTAAACTAAAGAACTTCTGCACAGCAAAAGAAACTATCATCAGAGTGAACAGGCAACCTACAGAATGGGAGAACATTTTTGCAATCTATCCATCTGACAAAGGGCTAATATCCAGAATCTACAAGGAACTTAAACAAATTTACAAGAAAAAACAAACAACCCCATCAAAAAGTGACAAAGGATACGAAGAGACACTTCTCAAAAGAAGACATTTATGTGGCCAGCAAACATACGAAAAAAAGCTCATCACCACTGGACATTAGAGAAATGCAAATCAAAACCACAATGAGATACCATCTCATGCCAGTTAGAATGGTGATCGCTAAAAAGTCAGGAAACAACAGATGCTGGAGAGGATGTGGAGAAATAGGAATGCTTTTGGACTGTTGGTGGGAGTGTAAATTAGTTCAACCATTGTGGAAGACAGTATGGCAATTCCTCAAGGATCTGGAACTAGAAATGTCATTTGACCCAGCAATCCCATTACTGGGTATATACCCAAAGGATTATAAATCATTCTACTATAAAGACACATGCACACGTACATTTATTGCAGCACCATTCACAATAGCAGATGTGAAACCAACCCAAATGCCCATCAATGATAGACTGGATAAAGAAAATATGGCACATATACACCATGGAATACTATGCAGCCATTAAAAAGGATAAGTTCATGTCCTTTCCAGGGATATGGATGAAGCTGAAAACCATCATTCTCAGCAAACTAACACAGAAAAAGAAAACCAAACACCGCATGTTCTCACTCATAAGCAGGAGTTGAACAGTGAGAACATATGGGCACAGGGAGGGGAATATCACACACCGGGACCTGTTGAGGGGTTGGGGGTGATGGGAGGGATAGCATTAAGAGAAATACCTAATGTAGATGACGGGTTGATGTGTGCAGCAAAACACCATGGCACATGTATACCTATGTAACAAACCTGCAGGTTCTGCACATGTATCCCAGAACTTAAAGTATATATATATATATATATATATATATATATGTATATATATATATATATATATGTGTGTGTGTGTGTGTGTGTGTGTGTGTGTGTTTGTGTGTGTGTGTGTATAACCCTCCAAAAGACTCCTAGATTTGATAAATGACTTCAGTAAGGTTTTAGGATACAAAATCAATGTACAAAAATCACCAGCATTTCTATACATCAATAACAATCAAGCTGAGAAGCAAATCAAGAACTCAATCCATTTACAATGGCTACAAAAATACCTAGGAATACATTTAACCAAGGTGAAAGATCTCTATAATGAAAACTATAAAACAATGATGAAAGAAATTGTAGATGACAGAAAGAAATTCAAAAGTATCCCAGGCTCATGGACTGGAAGAATCAATATAATTAAAATGACCGTACTGCCCAAAGCAATCTGTAATGCAATTCCTATAAATTACCGATATCATTTTTCACAGAATTAGAAAAGAAATCCTAAAACTCATATGGCACCCCATAAAAGCCTGAATAGCTAAAGCAATTCTAAGCAAAAGGCAAAAAGCTGGAGGCATCATATTACCTGACTTCAAGGATATAGTAACTGAAACAGCACGGTACTGATATAAAAATAGACACACAGATCAATGGAACAGAACAGAGAACTCAGAAATAAAGCCACATACCTAGAAGCAACTGATTTTTTACAAAGTCAACAAAAATATACACTGGGGAAATGGCATCCTATTCAATAAACGGTGCTGGGAAAATTAGATAGCCACATGCAGAAGAATGGAGGAAGGCCCATATCTCTCACCACATACAAAAGTTAACTCAAGATGTGTTAAAGACTTAAAAGTAAGACCTGAAACTGCAAAAATCCTAGAAGAAAACCCACAAAAAACTCTTCTGGATATTGGCCTAGGCAAACCACTTATGACTAAGACCTCAAAAGCAAATGCAACAAAACAAAAAATAGACAAATGAGACTTAATTAAACTGAAAAGATTCTGCACAGCAAAAGAAAAAATTGACGGAGTAAACAGACAACCTACAGAATGGGAGAAAATATTTTCAAACAATGCATCCAACAAAGGACTAATTTTCAGAATCTACAAGGAACTCAAACAGTTCAACAAGAAAAAAACAACCCCATCAAAAGTGGGCAAAGACATGAACAGACATTTTTAAAAAGAAGATATACAAGTGGCTAAAAAACATACAGAAAATGCTCAACATCACTAGTAAGATGAGAAATGCAAATTAAAACCACTATGAGATACCATCTTACACCAGTCAGAATGGTTATTATTAAAAAGACAAAAAAGAACAGATGTTGACGTGGGTGTGGAGAAAAGGGAATGCTTATACACTGTTGGTGGGAATGTAAATTAGTACAACCTTTGTGGAAAACAGTATGAAGATTCCTCAAGGAGCTAAAAATAGAACTACCATTCTATCCAGCAGTCTCACTACTGGGTATCTACCCAAGGAAAATAAATAATTTTATAAAAAAGACAACTGCACTTGTACGTTTATCACTACACTATTCAGAATAACAAAGTCTTGGAATCAACCTAAGTGTCCGTCAGTAATGACTGGATATATACCATGAAATACTGTGTAGCTGTAAAATGAATGAAATGGTGTCTTTTGCAGCAACATGGATGAAACTGGAGGTCACTGTCCTAAACGAAATAACTCAGAAACAGAAAGTCAAATACCTCACGTTCTCACTTATAAATGGGAGCTAAACAATGCGTTCACATGGACATACAGAGTGGAATAATAGACATTGGTCCCTCCAAAATGTGGGAGGGTGGGAGGAAGGTGAGGGGTGAAAATTTATCTACTGGGCACAATGTGCACTATTTGGGTTATGGGTATGCTAAAAGCCTAGACTTTACCACTACACAGTATATTCATGTAACAAAAGTGCACTTCTACCCTCTAAATCTATAAAATAAAAATTAAAATGAAAGAAATGAATTAAGGATCAGAAACTTGCTTTGCATCGCATGGTTGGTGAGTGATGATGACACCAGGAATCAGATCCAGGACTTCCCAGCTCCATAGCCCATGCTTTTTACACTTACATTGCAAAGCCCACTTCAACCAAATTTCTCTGATTCCTCACATCCTCTTCTCGCACAATTTATACCCCAAAATAAGCCAACCTTTCCTGGATGAACTCTTAGCCATGGCTTCCTCAGGCTAAAGTTTTGAAGCATGGCAGGTTAGCAGAGCCAAAAGATAGTTGGGTTTTGCTTTAAGTGTTTTCTCAAGTTGTTAAAACTGGCTCTCAAATTGGTATCTTTAATTAGTAACTGAATTTACTAATATTGTATAAGGTTTGTGAATTCAGAGTGAGTAGAACATTGCCTTTTCTTTGCTTATTTGCCTTATTATAGAATTTCCAAAGTTTATCTTGGTCATAACTCCTGACTTGGGGCCTTCAAGTGATATTAGGCCCCTGAGAGTAATTCTCCTTTGAATCCAGAGCCTTCTGATCTTATGAAAAAGGAGATGTTTGTCTTTCCCTAGACTTTTTTTTTTTTTTTTTTTTTGAGATGGAGTCTCACTCTGTCGCCCAGGTTGGAGAGCAGTGGCTCCAGCTTGGCTCACTGCAGCCTCTGCCTCTTGGGTTCAAGTGATTCTTGTGCCTCAGCCTCCCGAGTAGCTGAGATTTCTCTAGACTTCTTGTGTCTTTCTTGTGGTAGAAGCAGGAAAAAAAAAAGAATTAAAATTGTTACAGCATATGAAAAAAAATCTCAGGACTAGGTTCCCTAGAATTTGGAAACTTTTGTTTATGATTTTTTTCTTCTTTTTTTGGGAAACATTTCTGGTTTCTCTCATCAGGAAGTTTGTTTATATATACAATAGTTAGTTGCATGGGTAGTAGGTTGTGTTTAGCAATGTCCCTGAGTGTGGCTCACCAAGGGGTTGGCATTTGGTTTAGCTTTTGCAGGTGAGGTGTTCTTAGGAACTTTGATATTGATTGAAGATTTGGAGGTGATCAGAGGTGAGTTCATTGCAGCAAAGAATATTGTCGCATAGGTTAGTTTACTCTCTTTTTTCTTCTTATATGTGTGTGTTTCTTTATTTTTAGCCTGTTCTTGCTATGTGATTATTTATTATGATTCCTGCTGCCTAGCATCAATTCTTCTCTATTTTCCAATCCTCATTCTCCAGCCTTTTATTATTTCTGTTAACCCCAATAACTTCCCTTATTGCTTAAAAAAAGCTCTTTCATATCAACAGCCCTGATACAATTATTGCTGGTATATATAGCAAAACTATTGACTTCAATACTTTATTTTATTTTATTTTATTTTTTTGAGACAGGGTCTCACTCTGTCACCCAGACTGGAGTGCAGTGGTGCAACCATGGCTCACTGCAGCCTAGACCTCCTGGACTCAAGCAATCTTCCTGCCTTGGCCTCCCAAAGTGCCAGGATTACAGCTGTGAGCTACCATGACAGGCTTTATATGTTATTTTTATATCAGGCCATCTCACTAAACACTCCGTTTCAATGCTTGTCCTGAATTTTGAATGTTAATTCTAATAGTTTTCTCCATTGATTACCCTGCCTCAGAATTTCTGGCTATTCAGATTATCTGCAAACAATCTATAAGTAAGAGAAAATTTTTGTCTCTTATTTTCTTAAATTTGTGCCTCTTGCTTCTTGCTCTTGTATTGAGTAAGACATCCAGAAAAATACTGAATAGAGGAGTGACAGAATGAGATTTGCTGTAGTTTTTAGTTTTGGATACATATAAGGCTTACTTATATTTCTAGATTACTAAGCATTTTTAAAAGAAGTCAGTGTTGAATTTTATGGAATGTCTTTTCAGCAACAATTAAGTTGATCATGGTTTTTCTCTTTTCCTAGGTTAAACCATCCTAACATTTCAGTGTTGATAGTAGTGGTAATCATAGCATTGATACTTGACGTTTATCAAGTGTTATTATGCCATTCAGTATTCTTAGTTCTTTATGCTCAACTTAGCATCATAACTCTTTTACAACATGTTTGGATGTCGCTCTTCTGGCCAGAAGCCTCTGTGGCCCATGGCACCTTTGCCCAATTTTTGCTTGGGCCGCTGGGCTCATTCTGCCCACTTGATCTGGCAGGCTGCACTTGGCTCATGTTACCCAGCTGGATCCTATGCCTGCCAAGGGTGAGCCAGGCATGGAGTGGTGAGGAGTGTGTGAGAGAGTGTGAGGTCCAGCCACTGTGCAGTCAGACATGCCAGCTGCTGCTGTGGGGCAGGCAGCTCCAAGTGCCAGCATGGGTGCCAGCTCTCTGCAAGGCTGTGGCAGGTCCAGGTGCATGGCAAGCAGCTTCCTCAGCTGGCACTGGGGAATGCAGTAGTGCCTGAAAGCTTGGAGATGCCAGGCACCACAGGACCACAAAGAGGGAGTAACAGCTTTGGCTCAGGGAGCTCCCAGGTCTGGGATCCCCAAGGGGTTGCAGCTCTTCTCTCCTTCTCTTTGCCCACAATGTGGCAAGCAAGGGACATGTTT
Source organism: Homo sapiens (assembly GCF_000001405.40). Lineage (NCBI taxonomy): Eukaryota > Metazoa > Chordata > Mammalia > Primates > Hominidae > Homo > Homo sapiens. The sequence goes on from NC_000001.11 coordinate 43,101,568, forward strand.
CTGCCCTGTTTGTGTTACAGCTGTTAGTTCTGCCATTTGGTCAGTCCTGAGGTCTTGTCCTGCAACCAGGAAGAATGAGGTAGACAGAGAAGTGGAGGGTGAGTAAGATGAAGAAAATGTTTATTGAACAATGGAAGAGCTCACAGGACACCTGCAGGGGGTAGCTCCTTTCTGCAGCTGGGGTGTCCCAACGAGTGTTCAGCTCCTAGCACAGGAGACCCTGGAGTGGGAAGCTCCTCTCTGCAGGCAGGTCATCCTGTCATCTCTGCAGCTCTCAGCAGACAGAAGGCCCTGGAGTGGGTTTCTTCTTCCTGCAGGCAGGCCTTCTGGTAGTCTCCTGGGGTAGCTCCTTTCTGCAGCTGGTCTGCCCATCCTCTGCTCAGCTCTGGCTGAGCCCAGGGCTTTTATGGGCCTCAGAGGGGAGGAAGTGCCTGCCAGTTGGCCCATGGGTGGCCATGAGTGGCCAGGAAAAGGCACCACAAGTTTCCACTCCAGTCTGTGGGACTGGCAGCCCAGCCCTCAGCCTTCAGGCCCTTACTGGCCTGAATGTGGGGCCTCACCAGGGGCCCACCCCTTCCACCATCTTCTGTCTGCCTCCTGCCACCATTCATGGCTTCTGGGCTCATAGCAAATTTGCTTTGAGATCAGAGCCAGTGCTGACAGCAGGGAGAAGCCAGGCAGCAGGAGCAGCCACTTCTGAGCCTGCAAGGGCAGGGGTGCCTTCCTGGGCACCCAAGAGTACGGGGATGCCTGAGTCTGCAGCTGCAGTTTGTGTGGCTGCAGCTGCACAGAAGTGGGGAGGGGGGCAGGGCTCCTGCCTGCTCCATGAAGGGGGAGACCTCTGTGAAGTATAGCCATGGTTTGGGTGGCTGCAGCTTTACCTGAGAGTTCAGGGAGGCTGAGATCTGCAGCCATAACTTGGGGGACTGCAGCCACAACTTGAGCAGCTGCAGCCCAGCCCAGAAAGGCAGGGCTTCTGCCTCCTCCATGGAGTAGGAAGCCCAGGTCTGCAGTGTGCTTTGGGTGGCTTTGAGTGGCTACAGCTGTGCCCAGTAGGGCAGAGATCCTGCCTGCTCCATGGAGCAGGAGGCCATGTCTGCAGCCCTTGTTTGGGGGGCTGCAACAGCACCTGGGGAGCTCCTGCCCAACTCGGAAGGGGTGAGGTTCTCATTTGTCCCCTGCTCCCTCAGGCTCCATGGCACATGCAGCCCCAGCGGCACCTCCCTGCTGCAGTCCAAGTGATGGCAAAGGCAGGCCGTCTGGAGCACCGCTACTACTGTATTATTACCATGTCAATTTATGAATGAAGAAAATGAGGTACTGAAAAATGTAAAAACTTGTCTCTAAGTTAGCCACTTTTTGGCCATGACATTATTATTCATTTAGAACCCTGCTGATTTTAATTTTCCTGATTTAATTTTCTTCAGAAATTTTACAACTATATTCATAAGTGAAATTAGTCTATGATTTTCTGTTTTCGTGTGCTGTCATCCAGTTTTAATATAAAGATTATGTTTTTCTTGGCCGGGCACAGTGGCTTACGCCTGTAATCCCAGCACTTTGGTAGGCCAAGGTGGGCAGATGACGAGGTCAGGAGATCGAGACCATCCTGGCTAACACGGTGAAACCCTGTCTCTACTAAAAATACAAAAAAAATTAGCCAGGTGTGGTGGCGGGTGCCTGTAGTCCCAGCTACTCGGGAGGCTGAGGCAGGAGAATGGCGTGAACCCTGGAGGCAGAGGTGGCAGTTAGCCGAGATCTCACCACTGCACTCTAGCCTGGGTGACAGAGCAAGACTCCATCTCAAAAAAAAAAAAAAAAAAAAAAAAAAAAAAGATTATGTTTTTCTCAAAGCATTAGTTTGGAAATGTTCTTCCTTTTTCTGTGCTCTGCTGTTTCCCATTTCATTTTCTAAATTAGTTTGTATTATATTTAATAATAGCAACCATTTACTGAGCACTTACTTGGGTTAGGCACTATGTAAAACCCTTAACATACATTAGGCTATTTGTTCATCACAATTGAAAAACATATACTTTTTTATTTATAAGATGTATTAGTTCTTTCTCATGCTGCTATAGGGAACTGCCCAAGACTAGGTAATTTATAAAGAAAAGAGGTTTAACTGACTCACAGTTCCACATGGCTAGGAAGGCCTCAGGAAACTTACAATCATGGTGGAAGGCACCTCTTCACAGGGTGGCAGGAGAGAGAATGAGCGCAAGCAAGGGAAATGCCGGGTGCTTAAAAAACCATCAGATCTCGTGAGACTCACTCATCATTATGAGAAAAGCATAGGGGAAACTGCCCCTATGATCCAATTACCTCCACCTGGTCCTGCCCTTGACAAGTAGGGATTATTACAATTCAAGGTGAGATGTGGGTGGGGACACACAGCCAAACCATATTATAAGATTTTTTTTAAGTTTATTTGTCCAAGGTTACACAGCTAATATGGGTAGATAAGGGTATGAATCTAGGCTATCTCACTCTAGAGCTGGGTATATTCTTAACTTGAGTGTCAGGAGTGTGGGGGAGACTATATCTACAGGTCCAACTTGCTCCTGGACAGAGGATGTATGCAGAGGAGATGCCTCACAAATGCCCAGAGTGTGGTTGGAGATGCAGTCATAGCTCCCAACTTGCAGTGCATCAGATAACCCACACAGAACAGAAACTGTATTGTTGCTTCCAGTGTGGGGAAAGCTTCAGCCCCAGTTAATTTCTTTTTATGCATAAAAGAGCCCACACAGGGGAAAGGCCTTCAAGCATTTAGTATGTGGGAAAAACTTCAGTTAGAGCTCAAGTCTCATTGCTCATTAGAGAACCCATACTGGGGAGAGACCTTACAAATGTCCCACTTGTGGGAAAGGTTTCGGCAACAGTTTTAATTGTATCACTCATCAGAAAAGTCATTCTTGAAAACAAGTGTTAAATGACCAATATGGAAAAAGGCCTTGCAACCACTAGTGCCTTAATTGACTGGTTATGTGGTAGGAAGGGGGGGAATCCTGACTGATTTAGAGTCAGACAATGTGTATCTCTCTCTCTAAAACCTATGTAAAAAGTCTGTTTCTGAATTAAAAAAAATTTTTTTTTTTTTTGAGACAGAGTCTCACTCTGACACTAGGCTGGAGTGCAGTGGCATGATCTCGGCTCACTACAACCTCCGCCTCCCTGGTTCAAGTGATTCTCCTGCCTCAGCCTCACAAGTAGCTGGGACTACAGGCATGCACTACCACACCCAGCTAATTTTTGTATTTTTAGCAGAGACAGGGTTTCACCATGTTGGCCAGGATGGTCTTGATCTCTTGACCTCGTGATCTACCTGCCTCGGCCTCCCAAAGTGCTGGGATTACAGGCATAAGCCACTGCACCAGACCTCTGAATTACAATATTCACCTCTTTTGCTGCTGTGTCTGTCCCACAGACCCTGCCCGATGGATGAAATGAGTACTCAGACACAGGTATGCAGTGTAAGAGCAGCTAAGTGACTGCCTGGCTCTAGTGGCCAGAGAGCAGCCCTGAGAAGCTGGAACTGCTTGCTTTTATTCAGTGCAGGCACAGTGTGGAAAACCTGGAGCCCACACAACCTGTAGGTAATTAACATTTGTAGTTCCCCTTCCAGGGTGTGTTATGCACATGGATAATCAAAAATCAGTTCCTTGTCAACATTAGTAAACAAGCATGTTTAAGATAAATTCCCCCACACTCTCTAATGGTGTGAAGTAGTATCTCATGGTGTTTTTGATTTGCATTTTACTGGAGGCTAATGGTGTTGAGCATCTTTTCGTGTGCTTGCTGGACATCTGCATATCTTCTTTGGAACAATGTCTATTCAGATCTTTGCCTACTTTTTCATTTGTTTATTTGTCTCCTTATTGAGTTGTAAGTGTTCTTTGTATATTGTAGATATAAGTTTCTTATCAGATATATAATTTGCAAGTATTTTCTCCCATTCTATGGGTTTTTTGCTTTCTTGATGGTGTCCTTTGCAGCGTAAAAGTTTTAATTTTGATGAAATCCAATTTGTCTATTTTGTTTGTTTGTTTTTGCTTGTACTTTTGGGTCAGATTTAACAAATTATTGCCTAATCTGAGGCCATGAAGATTTACCCTTTATTTTCTTCTAAGAGCTTTATTTTATGTCATTTATATGTGTGTGTGTGTGTGTGTGTGTGTGTGTGTGTGTGTGTGTGTGTGTGTGTGTATATATATTTTTTTTTTTTTTTTTTTTTTTGAGACAGTTTCCCGCTGCCACCCAGGCTGGAATGCAGTGGCATGAACACAACTCATTGCAGCCTTGACTTCCAGGGCTCAAGCAATCTGCCCTCCTCAGGCCCCCAGCTAGCTGGGACTACAGGTGCATGCCACCACATCCAGCTACCTAAGAGCTTTCTATTTTTAGCTTTTACATTGAGATCTTTGATCCATTTTGAGGTAATTCTCATATATTATGTGAGGTGGGAGTCTGTATTAGTCAGTTCTCACATTGCTATGAAGAACTACCTGAGACTGGGTAATTTATAAAGAAAAGAGGTTTAATTGGCTCATGGTTCCATGGGCTGTACTGGAAGCATGGGTGGGGGAGGCCTCAAGAAACTTACAATCATGGCGGAAGGTGGAGTGGAAGGAGGAACATATTACATAGCCAGAACAGGAGGAAAAGAGCAAAGGTGGAAGTGCTAAGCATGTTTAAACAACCCGATCTCATGAGAACTCACTATCATGAGAACAGTAAGGGGGAAATCTGCCCCCATGATCCAATCACCTCCCAGTGTGTCCAGAATTGGTGGGTTCTTGGTCTCACTGACTTCAAGAATGAAGCCGTGGACACTCGCGGTGAGTGTTACAGTTCTTAAAGGCGGCGTGTCCAGAGTTTGTTCCTTTTGATGTGTGGATGTGTTTGGAGTTTCTTCCTTCTGGTGGGTTCGTGTTCTCGCTGGCTCAGGAGTGAAGCTGCAGGCCTTTGTGGTGAGTGTTACAGCTCTTAAGGCGGCGCGTCTGGAGTTGTTTTTTCCTCCCGGTGGGTTCGTAGTCTCAATGGCTTCAGGAGTGAAGCTGCAGACCTTCGCAGTGAGTGTTACAGCTCATAAAGGCAGTGTGGACCCAAAGAGTGAGCAGCAGCAAGATTTATATCAAAGAGTGAAAGAACAAAGTTTCCACAGTGTGGAAGGGGACTGGAGCTGGTTGCCACTGCTGGCTGGCACAGCCTGCTTTTATTCTCTTATCTGGCCCCACCCACATCCTGCTGATTGGTCCATTTTACAGAGAGCCAATTGGTATGTTTTACAGAGAGCTGATTGGTCCGTTTTGACAGGGTGCTGATTGGTGCGTTTACAATCCCTGAGCTAGACACAAAAGTTCTCCGTGTCCCCACTAGATTAGCTAGATACAGAGTGTCAAATGGTGTATTTACAAACCCTGAGCTAGACACAGAGTGCTGATTGGTGCATTTACAAACCTTGAGCTAGATACAGAGCGCCAATTGGTGCATTCACAATCCCTTAGCTAGACATAAAGTTTCTCCAAGTCCCCACCAGATTAACTAGATACAGAGTGCAGACTGGTGCATTCACAAACCCTGAGCTAGACACAGGGTGCTGATTGGTGTGTTTACAAACCTTGAGCCCTTGAGCTAGATACAGAGTGCTGATTGATGTATTTACAATCCCTTAGCTAGACATAAAGGTTCTCCAAGTTCCCACTAGACTCAGGATCCCAGCTGGCTTCACCCAGTGGATCTCGCACCAGGGCCGCAGGTGGAGCTGCCTGCTAGTCCCACGCGGTGCGCCCGCACTCCTCAGCCGTTGGGTGGTAGATGAGACCAGGTGCCATGGAGTGGGGGGCAGTGCTCGTCGGGGAGGCTTAGGCCACACAGGAGCCCACGGGGGAGGGAGGGGGGCAGAGGGGTGGTGAGGGGCGGGGGGCAGGGGGTGGTGGGGGGTAGGGGGGCGGTGGGAGGTGGTGGGGGGGCGGGGGGGTGGTGGGTGGTGGGGAATGGGGGGGTGTGGGGGTGGTGGGGGGCGGGGGCGTGGATGGGGGGTGGGAGACTCAGGCATGGCGGGCTGCAGGTCCCGAGCCCTGCCCTGTGGGGAGGCAGCTAAGGCCTGGTGAGAAATCCATCGCAGCGCTGTGGGCCAGCACTGCTGGGGGAGCCGGCGCACCATCGGCAGCTGCTTGCCCAGGTGCTAAGCCCCTCACTGCCTGGGCCAGCAGGGCCGGCCAGCCACTCTGAGTGTGAGGCCGCCAAGCCCACGCCCACCCGGAACTCCAGCTGGCCCGCAAGTGCTGCGCGCAGCCCCAGTTCCTGCCCGTGTCTCTCCCTCCACACCTCCCTGCAAGCCGAGGGTGCCGGCTCTGGCCTTGGCCAGCCCAGAGAAGGGCTCCCACGGTGCAGCAGTGGGCTGAAGGGCTCCTCAAGCATGGCCAGAATGGGCACTGAGGCCGAGGAGGCACCGAGAGTGAGCTTTGGGGCTGCAAGGGCTGCCAGCACGCTGTCACCTCCCACCAGCAGGCCCCTCCTCCAGTACTGGGAATTACAATTTGACATGAGAGTTCAGCAGGGACACAAATCCAAAGCATATCATTCTGCCTGCGGCCTCTACTAAATCACATGTCCTTCTCACACCGCAGAATCCAATCATCCCTTCTCAACAGTCCCCCACATTTTAACTCATTTCAGCATTAACTCAAAAGTCCACAGTCCAAAGTCTCATCTGAGACAAGGTAAATCCCTTCCACTGATGAGCCTGTAAAGTCAAAAACAAGTTAGTTGCTTCCAAGATACAACAGGGGTACAGGTATTGCATAAATAAACCTGTTTAAAAAGGGAGAAATCAGACAAAACAAAGGGTCTACAGGCCCCATGCGAGTCCAAAACCCAGAAGGGCACTCATCACATCTTAAACCTGCCAAATAATCTCCTCTGACTTGATGTCACACATCCAGGCCACAATGATACAAAGGGTGTGCTCCCAAGGCCTTGGGAAGCTCTGCCCCTGTGGCTCTGCAGGATACAGCCCCCCTCAGCTGTTTTTACAGGCTGGCATTGAGTGCCTGCAGCTTTTCCAGGTGCACAGTGCAAGGTGTCACTGGATCTACCATTCTGGGATCTGGAGGATGGTGGTCCTTTTCTCACGGGGCAGTGCCCTAGTGGGGACTGTGTGGGGGCTCCAATCCCACATTTCTTCTCTGCACTGCCCTAGTAGAGGCTCTCCATGAGCACACCACCCCTGCAGCAGACTTCTGCCTGGACCTCCAGGCATTTCTATACATCCTCTGAAATCTAGGTGAAAGCTCCCAAGCCTCAACTCTTGCCCTCTGTGCACCCACAAATTTCTTACCATGTGGTAGCTGTCAAGGCTTGTGCCTTGCACCTTCTGGAGCAGTGGCCTGAGACATATCTGGGACCCTTTTAGCTATGGCTGGAGCTGGAGCAGATGAGACATAGGGAGCAGCATCCTGAGGTTGCACAGGGTAGTGGGGCTCTGGGTCCAGCCCATAAAACCATTCTTCCCTCCCAGGCCTCTGGGCCTGTGATGGGAGGAGCTGCTGCAAAGGTCTCTGAAATGTCTTTATGGCATTTTCCCCATTGTCTTGGCTATTAACATTTGGCTCCTCTTTACTTATGCAAATTTCTGCAGCCTGGCTTTAATTCCTCCCTAGAAAATGGGTGATATGGTTTGGCTGTGTCCTCACCCAAATCTCATCGTGAATTGTAGCTTCCATAATTCCCTCATGTTGTGGGAGGGACCCAGTGGGAGATAATTGAATCATGGTGGCAGTTTCACCCACAGTGTTCTCGTGGTAGTGAACAGGTCTCATGAGATCTGATGGTTTTATAAGGGGAAACCCCTTTCACTTGGCTCTCATTCTCTTCTCTTGTCTGCTGCCATGTGAGATGTGCCTTTTGCCATCTGCCATGATTGTGAGACCTCCCCAGCCATGTGGAACTGAGTCAATTAAACCTCTTTCTTTTGTAAATTGTCCAGTCTTGGGTATGTCTTTATCAGCAGCATGAAAAAGAACTAATACAATGGATTTTTCTTTTCTACCACATGGTCAGGCTGCAAATTTTCTAAACTTTTATGCTCTGCTTCTTTTTCAAATATAAGTTCCAGTTTTAGATCATCTCTTTGCTCACAAATATGGGCATAGGTTGCTAGAAGCAGCCAGGCCACATCTTGAACACTTTGCTGCTTAGACATTTCTTCTGCCAGATACCCTAAATCATCACTCTCAAGTTCAAAGTTACACAGATCCCTAGAGCAGGGGCACAATGCTGCCAGTCTCTGCTAAAACATAACAAGAATGACCTTTACTCCAGTTCCTAATAAGCTCCTCATCTCTAGTTGAGACCACCTCAGTCTGGACTTCATTGTCCATATCGCTATCAGCATTTTGGTCACAACAATTTAACAAGTCTCTCTGAAGTTCCAAACTTTTCCTCATCTTCCAGACTTCTTCTAAGTCCTCCAAAGTGTTCCAACTTCTGCCCGTTTTCCAGTTCCAAAGCCACTTCCACATTTTCAGGTATCTTTATAGCAATGTCCCACTCCTGGCACCAATTTCTGTATTAGTCAGTTATTGAATTGCTATGAGGAACTGCCCAAGACTGGGTAATTTATAAAGAAAAGAGGTTTAATTGGTTCATGGTTCTGCAGGCTATATAGGAAGCATGGGTGGGGAGGCCTCAGGAAACTTACAATCATAGCAGGGAAGGCAAAGAGGAAGGAGGGATGTTTTACAAGGCTGGAGCAAGAGGAAGAGAGCAAAGAGGGAGGTGTTACACATTTTTAAACAACCAGATCTTGTGAGAACTCACTATCACAAGAACAGCAAGGGGGAAATCCACCCCCATAATCTAATCACCTCCTACCAGGCCCCTCTTCCAATACTGGGAATTACAAATGGACTTAAGATTTGGGTGGAGACATAAATCCAAACCATATCAGGGTCCAACCTCACTCTTTTACATGTCACTATCCAGTATGTTAGTACCATTTATTTAAAGACTATGCTTTTTGCATTGAATTGTCTTGGCGCCCTTGTCTAAAATCAACTGTTCGTTAATGCATTTATTTCTGGACTATCAGTTTAGTCCACTGATTTACATGTCTATCTTTATGCCAGTAGCTGTCTTTTTTTTTTTTTTTTTTTTGAGTTGGAGTCTCACTCTGTCACCCACACTGGAGTGCAGTGGCGTGATCTCAGCTCACTGCAAGCTCTGCCTCCTGGGTTCACACCATTCTCCTGCCTCAGCCTTCCGAGTAGCTGGGAATATAGGTGCCCACCACCAAGCCCGGCTAATTTTTTGTATTTTTAGTAGAGACGGGGTTTCACCATGTTAGCCAGGATGGTCTCAATCTCCTGACCTCATGATCCTCCCGCCTCGGCCTCCCAAAGTGCTGGGATTACAGGCATGAGCCACCATGCCCGGCCACAGCTCACTGTCTTTATTACATTAAATTTGCATAAATTCTGATGTCAGGAAGTATGAATCTTCTGATCTTTTCCAAGATTGCTTTGCCTCTTCCAAGTCCCTTGAACTTCCATATGAATTTTAGAATCAGTTTGTCAAATTTTGCAAAAATGCCAGCTGGGATTATGAAAGGGATTGTGTTGAAGGTATAGATAAATTTGGAGAGTATTGTCATTTTAATAATATTGTCCTCTGGCTCATAAACATGAGATGTCTTTCCATTTATTTCAATCTTTAATTTCCTACATAATGTATTGCACTTTTCACAGAATAAGTTTTGTATTTTTGTTAAATTTATTCCTAAGGATTTTATTCTTTTTGATGGCATTATAAATAGATTTTCTTAGTTTCATTTTTAGATTCCTTATTGCCAGAATTGCTTTCTTGTATATTAATCTTGCATCCTGCAGCCTTGCTGAATTTATTAGTTCTAACAGTTTTTTAGCCAATTCCTTAAAATTTTCTATATACTAGATTATGTCATCTGCAAATATAGATAATTTTACTTCTTCCTTTCCATTCTGAATGTCTAATAAAATTTAATCTCTTGCCTAATTGTCCTGAATAGATAATCTGTGTAGTATTTTATTATGTGACTATACTATAATTTGTGTATCCATTTTACTATTGTGTATTCAACTTAGTTTTGGATTATTTTGGCTATTACAAATAATACTGCTATAAGTATTTTTACATATCTTCTGGTGTGCATATGCATTAATTAATTGCTATTGGGTATATATTTAGGACGGGAATTACTGAATCATAAGGTATGCATATGTTCAGCTTTACTATTTACTGATGAACAATTTTCTAAAGTGATTTTATCAAGTTTTACTCTCACCAGACGGACATGAGAGTTTGTTACTCCGTGTTCTTACCAACTTTTGGTATTGTCAGTTTCACACAATATGAACCATTCTGGTGGGTGTGTAATGGTATCTCATTGTGGTTTTATTTTTATTCTCCCAATGATTAATGATGCTGAACAACTCTTTACATGTTTATTGGTTATTTGAATTCCTCTATTGTAAAACACTGCCTCAAATATTTTATCCATTTTAAAAGAAGTTTGTCTTTTTCTTATTCATTTGAAGGAATCTTTTAGATATTCTAGATAGGACTCTTGCTAGATACTGTACATGTATTACGAATTTCTTCTCTTCCTCCTTCCCTCCCTCCCTCCCTCCCTCCTTTCTTTCTTTCTTTCTTTCTGTCTGTCTGTCTTTCTGTCTTTCTTTCTTTCTTTCTTTCGAGATGGGAGTCTTGCTTTGTTGCCTAGCCTGGCGTCAAGTGATCCTCCCACCTCAGCCTCCTCAGTGGTTGTGACTACAGGCACACACCACTGTGCCTAGCTCACTCTTTTAATGGCACCTTTGGAATTTCTTAATTTTCTTATCTTTTCTTTTTTCTTTTTTTTTTTTTTTTTTTTTTTTTTGAGATGGAGTCTAGCTCTGTCGCCCAGGCTGGAGTGCAGTGGCACGATCTGGGCTCTCTGCAAGCTCCACCTCCCGGGTTCACGCCATTCTCTTGCCTCAGCCTCCTGAGTAGCTGGGACTACAGGTGCCCACCACCACACCCAGCTAACTTTTTGTATTTTTAGTAGAGACGGGGTTTCACCATGTTAGCCAGGATGGTCTTGATCTCCTGACCTTGTGATCTACCTGCCTTGGCCTCCCAAAGTGCTGGGATTACAGGCATGAGCCACTGTGCCTGGCCAATTTCTTAATTTTCAAACAATCAAAAATCAAATATAAGAATATTTTTCCTTTCCTTATGGTGAATGCCTTTTGTGTGTTTTTAAATAAATCTTGCCTATCTTGAGGTCATATAGATATTTTTATCTTGCAAAACTAAAACTCTATATTCATTAAAAAAAAAAAGCCATTTTCCCCCCCAGCTTCTGGCAACCACCATTCTACACCTGTCTTTATGAATTTGACTACTCTTGGTACCTCATATAAGTGAAATTCATACAGTATTTGTCCTTTTGTGACTGGCTTATTTACTTAGAATACTGTCCTTAGGGTTCATCCATGTTGAAGTATGTGTCAGAATTTCCTTCCTTTAAGACTGAATAATATCCCATTGTATGTATATACATTTTGTTTATTTGTTCATCTGTTGAAGGATACTCGAGTTGCTTCCACCTTTTGGCTATTGTAAATAATACTACTGTGAACATGGGTGTACAAATATGTTTGAGACCCTGCTCTCAATTCTTTTATGTATATGCCTAGAAGTGGAATTGCTATGGTATATCCATAATTCTGTTTTAAATCTTTTGGGGAGCTGCCATATCATTTTCCATAGTAGCTGCACCATTTTTACAATCCTACCAACAGTGCACAAGGATTCCAATTACTCTATATCCTTGCCAATACTTGTTATTTTCTGTTTATTTAAAAAATATAATAGCCACTCTAATGGATGTAAGATGGTATCTCATTGTGGTTTTGATTTACATTTACATTTACCTAGTGGTTAGGGATGTTGAGCATCTCTTCATGTGTTTATTAGCCATTTGTATATCTTCTTTAGAAAAATGTCTAGTCATATCCTTTGCCCATTTTTTTTTTTTTTTTTGAGATGGAGTTTTGCTTTTTTTTTCGAGATGGAGTGCAGTGGCATAATCTCGGCTCACTGCAACCTCCACCTCCTGGGTTCAAGCCATTCTCCTGTCTCAGCCTCCCAAGTAGTTGAGATTACAGGCCCCTGTCACCATCCCCAGCTAACTTTTTTATTTTTGGTAGAGACAAGGTTTCACCATGTTGGCCAAGCTGGTCTTGGACTCTTGACCTCAGGTGATCTGCCTGCCTTGGCCTCCCAAAGTGCTGGGATTACAGGTGTGAGCCACCACGTCCAGCCCTCCTTTGCTCATTTTTAAATTGGAGTTTTTGCTGTTGTTGTAGAAATTCTTTATACATTCTGGATATTAACCCCTTTTCAGATATATGATTTGCGAATATATTCACTCATTCAATTGGTTACCCTTTCACTCTGTTTCTTGTGACTTTTGAGGCACAGGAATTTTAAATTTTGATGTAGTCCAAGTGATCTATATTTTATTTTGTTGCCTGTGCTTTTGGTGTAATATTCAAGAAATCACTGCCAAATCCAATGTCATGAAGCTTCCCCTTATGTTTTCTTCTACACATTTTATAGTTTTAGGTCTTACGTTTAGGTCTGTGATCCATTTTGGGTTACTTTTTGTATGTGGTTTAAGGTCCAACTTCATTCTTTTGCATGTAGATATCCAGTTTTCACACCACCATTTGCAGAAAAGACTGTTCTTTTCCTATTTAATGGTACTGACACCCTTGTCAAACATCATTTGACCACATAGAGGTTTATTTTTGGGCTCTCCAGTCTATTCCATTGGTCTTTATGTTTATCTTTATGCCAGTACCACACTGTTTTTATTACTGTGGCTTTATAGTAAGTTTTGAAATCAAGAGACCTCTGACTTTGTTTTTCTTTTTCTTTTTTATTATACTTTAAGTTTTAGGGTACATGTGCACATTGTGCAGGTTAGTTACGTATGTATACATGTGCCATGCTGGTGTGCTGCACCCACTAACTCGTCATCTAGCATTAGGTATATCTTCCAATGCTATCCCTCCCCCTCCCCCACCCCACAACAGTCCCCAGAGTGTGATATTCCCCTTCCTGTGTCCATGTGATCTCATTGTTCAATTCCCACCTATGAGTGAGAATATGCGGTGTTTGGTTTTTTGTTCTTGCGATAGTTTACTGAGAATGATGATTTCCAATTTCATCCATGTCCCTACAAAGGACATGAACTCATCATTTTTTATGGCTGCATAGTATTCCATGGTGTATATGTGCCACATTTTCTTAATCCAGTCTATCATTGTTGGACATTTGGGTTGGTTCCAAGTCTTTGCTATTGTGAATAATGCCACAATAAACATACGTGTGCATGTGCCTTTATAGCAGCATGATTTATAGTCCTTTGGGTATATACCCAGTAATGGGATGGCTGGGTCAAATGGTGTTTCTAGTTCTAGATCACTGACTTTCACAATGGTTGAACTAGTTTACAGTCCCACCAACAGTGTAAAAGTGTTCCTATTTCTCCACATCCTCTCCAGCACCTGTTATTTCCTGACTTTTTAATGACTGCCATTCTAACTGGTGTGAGATGGTATCTCATTGTGGTTTTGATTTGCATTTCTCTGATGGCCAGTGAGGATGAGCATTTTTTCATGTGTTTTTTGGATGCATAAATGTCTTCTTTTGAGAAGTGTCTGTTCATGTCCTTCACCCACTTTTTGATGGGGTTGTTTGTTTTTTTCTTGTAAATTTGTTTGAGTTCATTGTAGATTCTGGATATTAGCCCTTTGTCAGATGAGTAGGTTGTGAAAATTTTCTCCCATTTTTTAGGTTGCCTGTTCACTCTGATGGTAGTTTCTTTTGCTGTGCAGAAGCTCTTTAGTTTAATTAGATCCCATTTGTCAATTTTGTCTTTTGTTGCCATTGCTTTTGGTGTTTTAGACATGAAGTCCTTGCCCATGCCTATGTCCTGAATGGTAATGCCTCGGTTTTCTTCTGGGGTTTTTATGGTTTTAGGTCTAACGTTTAAGTCTTTAATCCATCTTGAATTGATTTTTGTATAAGGTGTAAGGAAGGGATCCAGTTTCAGCTTTCTACATATGGCTAGCCAGTTTTCCCAGCACCATTTATTAAATAGGGAATCCTTTCCCCATTGCTTGTTTTTTTCAGGTTTGTCAAAGATCAGATAGTTGTAGATATGCGGCGTTGTTTCTGAGGGCTCTGTTCTGTCCCATTGATCTATATCTCTGTTTTGGTACCAGTACCATGCTGTTTTGGTTACTGTAGCCTTGTAGTATAGTTTGAAGTCAGGTAGTGTGATGCCTCCAGCTTTGTTCTTTTGGCTTAGGATTGACTTGGTAATGCGGGCTCTTTTTTGGTTCCATATGAATTTTAAAGTAGTTTTTTCCAATTCTGTGAAGAAAGGCATTGGTAGCTTGATGGGGATGGCATTGAATCTGTAAATTACCTTGGGCAGTATGGCCATTTTCACAATATTGATTCTTCCTACCCATGAGCATGGAATGTTCTTCCATTTGTTTGTATCCTCTTTTATTTCCTTGAGCAGTGGTTTGTAGTTCTCCTTGAAGAGGTCCTTCACATCCCTTGTAAGTTGGATTCCTAGGTATTTTATTCTCTTTGAAGCAATTGTGAATGGGATTTCACTCATGATTTGGCTCTCTGTTTGTCTGTTGTTGTTGTATAAGAATGCTTGTGATTTTTGTATATTGATTTTGTATCCTGAGACTTTGCTGAAGTTGCTTATCAGCTTAAGGAGATTTTGGGCTGAGACAGTGGGGTTTTCTAGATATACAATCATGTCATCTGCAAACAGGGACAATTTGACTTCCTCTTTTCCTAATTGAATACCCTTTATTTCCTTCTCCTGCCTAATTGCCCTGGCCAGAACTTCCAACACTATGTTGAATAGGAGTGGTGAGAGAGGGCATCCCTGTCTTGTGCCAGTTTTCAAAGGGAATGCTTCCAGTTTTTGCCCATTCAGTATGATATTGGCTGTGGGTTTGTCATAGATAGCTCTTATTATTTTGAAATATGTCCCATCAATACCTAATTTATTGAGCGTTTTTAGCATGAAGGGTTGTTGAATTTTGTCAAAGGCTTTTTCTGCATCTATTGAGATAATCATGTGGTTTTTGTCTTTGGCTCTGTTTATATGCTGGATTACACTTATTGATTTGCGTATATTGAACCAGCCTTGCATCCCAGGGATGAAGCCCACTTGATCATGGTGGATAAGCTTTTTGATGTGCTGCTGGATTCGTTTTGCCAGTATTTTATTGAGGATTTTTGCATCAATGTTCATCAAGGATATTGGTCTAAAATTCTCTTTTTTGGTTGTGTCTCTGCCCAGCTTTGGTATCAGAATGATGCTGGCCTCATAAAATGAGTTAGGGAGGATTCCCTCTTTTTCTATTGATTGGAATAGTTTCAGAAGGAATGGTACCAGCTCCTCCTTTTACCTCTGGTAGAATTCGGCTGTGAATCCATCTGGTCCTGGACTCTTTTTGGTTGGTAAGCTATTGATTATTGCCACAATTTCAGATCCTGTTATTGGTCTATTCAGAGATTCAACTTCTTCCTGGTTTAGTCTTGGGAGAGTGTATGTGTTGAGGAATTTATCCATTTCTTCTAGATTTTCTAGTTTATTTGTGTAGAGGTGTTTGTAGTATTCTCTGATGGTAGTTTGTATTTCTGTGGGATCGGTGGTGATATCCCCTTTATCATTTTTTATTGTGTCTATTTGATTCTTCTCTCTTTTTTTCTTTATTAGTCTTGCTAGCGGTCTATCAATTTTGTTGATCCTTTCAAAAAACCAGCTCCTGGATTCATTAATTTTTTGAAGGGTTTTTTGTGTCTCTATTTCCTTCAGTTCTGCTCTGATTTTAGTTAATTCTTGCCTTCTGCTAGCTTTTGAATGTGTTTGCTCTTGCTTTTCTAGTTCTTTTAATTGTGATGTTAGGGTGTCAATTTTGGATCTTTCCTGCTTTCTCTTGTGGGCATTTAGTGCTATAAATTTCCCTCTACACACTGCTTTGAATGCGTCCCAGAGATTCTGGTATGTTGTGTCTTTGTTCTCGTTGGTTTCAAAGAACATCTTTATTTCTGCCTTCATTTCGTTATGTACCCAGTAGTCATTCAGGAGCAGGTTGTTCAGTTTCCATGTAGTTGAGCGGTTTTGAGTGAGATTCTTAATCCTGAGTTCTAGTTTGATTGCACTGTGGTCTGAGAGATAGTTTGTTATAATCTCTGTTCTTTTACGTTTGCTGAGGAGAGCTTTACTTCCAAGTACGTGGTCAATTTTGGAATAGGTGTGGTGTGGTGCTGAGAAGAATGTATATTCTGTTGATTTGGGGTGGAGAGTTCTGTAGATGTCTATTAGGTTCACTTGGTGCAGAGCTGAGTTCAATTCCTGGGTATCCTTGTTGACTTTCTGTCTCGTTGATCTGTCTAATGTTGACAGTGGGGTGTTAAAGTCTCCCATTATTAATGTGTGGGAGTCTAAGTCTCTTTGTATGTCACTCAGGACTTGCTTTATGAATCTGGGTGCTCCTGTATCGGGTGCATATATATTTAGGATAGTTAGCTCTTCTTGTTGAATTGATCCCTTTACCATTATGTAATGGCCTTCTTTGTCTCTTTTGATCTTTGTTGGTTTAAAGTCTGTTTTATCAGAGACTAGGATTGCAACCCCTGCCTTTTTTGTTTTCCATTTGCTTGGTAGGTCTTCCTCCATCCTTTTATTTTGAGCCTATGTGTGTCTCTGCACGTGAGATGGGTTTCCTGAATATAGCACACCGATGGGTCTTGACTCTTTATCCAATTTGCCAGTCTGTGTCTTTTAACTGGAACATTTAGTCCATTTACATTTAAAGTTAATATTGTTATGTGTGAATTTGATCCTGTCATTATGATGTTAGCTGGTGATTTTGCTCGTTAGTTGATGCAGTTTATTCCTAGTCTCGATGGTCTTTACATTTTGGCATGATTTTGCAGCGGCTGGTACCGGTTGTTCCTTTCCATGTTTAGCGCTTCCTTCAGGAGCTCTTTTAGGGCAGGCCTGGTGGTGACAAAATCTCTCAGCATTTGCTTGTCTGTAAAGTATTTTATTTCTCCTTCGCTTATGAAGCTTAGTTTGGCTGGATATGAAATTCTGGGTTGAAAATTCTTTTCTTTAAGAATGTTGAACATTGGCCTCCACTCTCTTCTGGCTTGTAGGGTTTCTGCCGAGAGATCCGCTGTTAGTCTGATGGACTTCCCTTTGAGGGTAACCCGACCTTTCTCTCTGGCTGCCCTTAACATTTTTTCCTTCATTTCAACTTTGGTGAATCTGACAATTATGTGTCTTGGAGTTGCTCTTCTCGAGGAGTATGTTTGTGGCATTCTCTGTATTTCCTGAATCTGAACGTTGGCGTGCCTTGCTAGATTGGGGAAGTTCTCCTGGATAATATCCTGCAGAGTGTTTTCCAACTTGGTTCCATTCTCCCCATCACTTTCAGGTACACCAATCAGATGTAGATTTGGTCTTTTCACATAGTCCCATATTTCTTGGAGGCTTTGCTCATTTCTTTTTCTTTTTTCTCTAAACTTCCCTTCTCACTTCATTTCATTCATTTCATCTTCCATTGCTGATATCCTTTCTTCCAGTTGATCACATCAGCTCCTGAGGCTTCTGCATTCTTCACATAGTTCTCGAGCCTTGGTTTTCAGCTCCATCAGCTCCTTTAAGCACTTCTCTGTATTGGTTATTCTAGGTATACATTCTTCTAAATTTTTTTCAATGTTTTCAACTTCTTTGCCTTTGGTTTGAATGTCCTCCCGTAGCTCAGAGTAATTTGATCATCTGAAGCCTTCTTCTCTCAGCTCTCAAAGTCATTCTCCATCGAGCTTTGTTCCCTTGCTGGTGAGGAACTGCGTTCCTTTGGAGGAGGAGAGGCGCTCTGCGTTTTAGAGTTTCCAGTTTTTCTGTTCTGTTTTTTCCCCATCTTTGTGGTTTTATCAACTTTTGGTCTTTGATGATGGTGATGTACAGATGGGTTTTTGGTGTGGATGTCCTTTCTGTTTGTTAGTTTTCCATCTAACAGACAGGACCCTCAGCTGCAAGTCTGTTGGAATACCCTGCTGTGTGAGGTGTCAGTGTGCCCCTGCTGGGGGGTGCCTCCCAGTTAGGCTGCTCAGGGGTCAGGGGTCAGGGACCCACTTGAGGAGGCAGTCTGCCCGTTCCCAGATCTCCAGCTGCGTGCTGGAAGAACCACTACTCTCTTCAAAGCTGTCAGACAGGGACATTTAAGTCTGCAGAGGTTACTGCTGTCTTTTTGTTTGTCTGTGCCCTGCCCCCAGAGGTGGAGCCTACAGAGGCAGGCAGGCCTCCTTGAGCTGTGGTGGGTTCCACCCAGTTGGAGCTTCCCGGCTGCTTTGTTTACCTAAGCAAGCCTGGGCAATGGCGGGCGCCCCTCCCCCAGCCTCCCTGCCGCCTTGCAGTTTGATCTCAGACTGCTGTGCTAGCAATCAGCGAGACTCCGTGGGCGTAGGACCCTCCGAGCCAGGTGCGGGATATCATCTCGTGGTGCGCCGTTTAAGCCAGTCGGAAAAGCGCAGTATTCGGGTGGGAGTGACCCGATTTTCCAGGTGCGTCCGTCACCCCTTTCTTTGACTCGGAAAGGGAACTCCCTGACCCCTTGCGCTTCCCAAGTGAGGCAGTGCCTTGCCCTGCTTCGGCTCGTGCACGGTGCGCGCACCCACTGACCTGCGCCCACTGTCTGGCACTCCCTAGTGAGATGAACCCGGTACCTCAGATGGAAATGCAGAAATCACCCGTCTTCTGCGTCGCTCACGCTGGGAGCTGTAGATTCGGCCATCTTGGCTCCTCCCCGACTTTGTTTTTCGATTGTTTTGTCCCTTGAGATTTTATCTTAGTTTGACGTGGATTTTTTTTCATAGAATCATTGCCCAGGTAATTTTTTAATTTCTAAAAAGAAATCATTGAGATTTTGATAGACATTATGTCAAATCTGTAGATCCCTTTTGGTAATATTGACTTCTTAACAATATTATATCTTCCAATCTATGAACATGGATTGGAAAGGATATTCTACTTAAGGGTGTCTTCCTTAATTTCTTTCACCAAAATTTGTAGTTTGCAGTGAACAAGTCTTTTGCCTCTAAGGTTATTCCTAAGTATTTTATCCCTTTGATGCTATTGTAAATAAAATTTTGTTCTTAATTTCCTTCTTGGATTGTTTGTTGTTAGTGCATAGAAAGACAACTGATATTTGCATGTTGATTTTATATCTTGTAACTTTGCTAAATTGGTTTATTAGTTTCAACACTGTTTTTGTTGGGATTTTTAGGGTTTTCTACCTATAAGACCAAGTTGTCTGTGAACAGAGATAATTTTACTTCTTCCTTTCCAACTTGGATGCCTTTTATTTCTTTTCCTTGCCTAATTTCTCTGGCTAAGACTTCTAGTACTATGTTGAATAGAGTGATAAAAAGAGACATTCTTGCTTCTAATTTAGAGGGAAAGCTTTCAGTCTTTCACCATTGAGTATGACGTTAGTTGTGGGCTTTTCAAAGATATGCACAGCGGCTTTTAAACGTCTTGATTTTCCTAAGACTTTCACCCCTGCTTCTTCTCAGGGTCTTAGATGTTCCATTGTAATTCTCTGCCTGTAATCTCCCGCTCCAAGTGCCCTTGGGTCTACAGTTCTCCGGCAGTTTTCATGTGCCATGGCACCTGCCACTGCTTTCAGTGGGGTCCAACCTGCTATCCAACTATGCCACCGTTCCCATCTAAGCTGAGTCAGATGAGATAAAAATCAGTTCCTCAGGCAGCCTCCAGACAAGACAGAACAGTGCAAACAAGTCCCAGTCTTTTCCCTCTGAAAGGGGAATTGTGTGACTTCCTCCTGACTGTGTTGCACTGAGGAGAAGGTAGGCAAGGGCTCAAAAAAAAAAAAAAAAAAAAAAAAAAAGCAACACAATTTCCTACTGTGTTAAGTGTTGCTTTGTCTTGATTGGGTGTTTAATTGATTGGTTGCTGCAGATCCTTGACTGGTTTCTACAGCTCCTACAACTGTAAGAGCCGAGATTTTTTTTTTTTAGACAGGGTCTTGCTGTTGTCACCCAGGCTGGAGTGCGGTGGTACAATCTCAGCTCACTGCAACCTCCGCCTCCTGGGTTCAAGCAATTCTCGTGCCTGAGCCTCCCGAGTAGCTGGGACTACAGGCATGTGCCACCACACCCAGCTAATTTTTGTATTTTTAGTAGACACAGGGTTGTGCCATGTTGGCCAGGCTGGTCTTGAGCTCCTGACCTTGAGTGAGCTGCCTGCCTTGGCCTCCCAGAGTGCTGGGATTACAGGCGTGAGTCGGCGCACCCGGCCTCTGATTTTCAGTAAATACGTTGTCATTTACTTGATGTTTCCATGGGAGAACAGGGACCTGGAGCTTCTGCCATCTTGCTGACATCACCATAACATAACTCTTTAGACTTCCAAGTCTTGTCTTTTTAAAAACGTTCACATTTAGTTCTATGATCCAATTTGAATTGGATTTTTGCATGAATACCTGGTTTTGAATTGTAACTCCACCATGTTATTTCAATGTGGCCTTAACCTCTCTGGGCCTCAGTTCCTTCATCAGTAAGATGAGGGGCAAAATAGCATTGGGAGGATTCTGCATTTACATCTGAAGAACTTAGAAACACAACTGAAAAATACTGTCGTTTTTTTCCTTATCCACACTGGATACATTCCAAGGTCCCCAGTGGATGCCTGAAACCACAGATAGTACCATACCCTATATATACTATGTTTTTTCCTATAGATAGGTACCTATGATAAAGTTTAATTTATAAATTAGGCACAGTAAGAGATTAACAATAGCTAGCAATAAAATAGAACAATTATAAGAATAGACTGTAATAGGCTGGGCGCAGTGGCTTATGCCTGTAATCCCAACACTTTGGGAGGCCGAGGCGGGCAGATCACTTGAGGTCAGGAGTTTGAGACCAGCCTGTCCAACATGGTGAAACCCTGTCTCTACTAAAAATACAAAAATTAGCTGGGTGTGGTGGTGCGCACCTGTAATCCCAGCTACTAAGGACGCTGAGGCAGGAGAATTGCTGGAACCCGGGAGGTGGAGGTTGCAGTGAGCTGAGATCATGCCACTGAACTCCAGCCTAGGAGACAGAGAGAGACAGTCTCAAAAAATATACACACACACACACACACACACACACACACACACATATATATACCATAATAAAAATTATGTGAATGTAGCCCCTTTCTGTCTCAAAATATCTTATTGTGCTGTACTTACCTATTTTCAGACTGCAGTTGATCATGGGTAATTAAAACTATAAAAAGTGAAACCACAGATGAGGGGATACTGTAGTACATTTAATAAATGTTACTTGCCATTAATATTTCTGTAGATTTTTGATCAACTTTTGCTCTGGAAGATCAGAGGGGACTGACCTAATTAGGTCTGATAAAAGGCTTAACTTTATCACTTAGCATTGCTTGAGTATTTTACTGGCCTGGTGGGTGTACTGAGAAAAGCAGGCTTATGTTTCAACAGTGGACTCTATTGTGCGAAATAAATATGAGTCTCCTCCCTCTTTGCTGTTGCCTTATTTGTACTAGCATGCCAGTTTGAATACACAGTGTTCATGTCAATATTTTTGTTGATCAATTTATCAGCTCAATTTATAGAAACTTTCAGAGTCTTCCTTATTGATGTGTTTCCTGGGGCAAGGCCCATTGTTTTGCTTAACATTTCCTAGAACCTAGATGGGCCTCTGTACTCAGTTGCCCCAAGAATTTTGATCAAAACATGGACCAGGCTTTGGTATTAAATTTCCAAAGCCTGGAGGCTGAAAGCAGTTTGGAAAAGAGTTGATTCACTTTAAGCAGTTCTTCCTCGTGGGTGTGTGTGTGTGTGTGTGTGCGTGTTTGATTTTAAAGATTTCTGGAATACTTTCTAAATACAGAAAAATATGCAAATGAATATAACAAAAATATAACAATCATCCTTGTATCCATCATCCAGGTTTAACACCTTTTAACTTTTTGCTATAATTGTATCAATCCATTCTTCCCCAGAAGTAGACACTATTCTGAAATTAGTGTATATTCTTCTGTTGATGTTTATAGTCTTTTATCAAATATGGATTTATTAAAAAATAATATTATATATAGTATTATTTTGTTCTCATATTTTAAATATAAAATAATGTATGTTTTACTTTTTCTGATTTGTTTTTTTCACTCAACATTCTTGTTAATGACTTATCTATGCTGATACATGGATCGTTGTAGTGGGTTCATTGTTAACTGTTGCATAGAATTTCATCCCCTAAATATTCCACAATTTATTTATTCACTCACCTACTGAAGGACACACACACTGTATAGATAGTGTTTAATTTCCATTTACCTTTCTTCTTTAGTTTTATATTTATTTATTACTAATTCATCTTCATACTTTCCCCACTATTGTCTAAGTTTTCTCCCAAATTCAGATACACAAGATTTTCTTAAAACTTCATCTTGTTGAAGATCTCTTTTCTGGAGCCTTCTGAGTTGCTTCAACCTGGTTTGGTTACTTTGTTATCATCCTGAAGTCTCACTTTTCTCTCATATTGGGGATGCCTTCTTGGCTTCTCTCCTGTGCTAGAGTCTCCGTTCCTCTGCCCCTCATCTCTGCACCCATTCAATGGTGCTTCGTGTTTATGCAAGGAGCTGTGGTAGAGGGATTAGAAGCATAAGCTTCAGAAGGAGACAGATCTAGGTTGAATCTTTGTTTATCACAATTATGAGCAAATGTATTATCTTCACTTAGCTTCAATTTCTACATTTATAAGGTGGACATAAAACACCCATCTCACAGAGTTGCCATGAAGATTAAGTGAAATGCTATTTCAGCTGATATTTGTGCTACACATATTTTCCCCCAGACTACACCGTAACTTTTCAATTTGTTTGTTGTACCTTTAGATACATAGACACATTTTATTTGTAGTCAAATGTATTATCCTACATAATTTACATTTTATATGTTCTGTATCCTTCCCTACCCCAAGCTCATAAACAGATCATTATTATAATTTCTTTTAAAAGTTTAAAGTTTTGCTTTCACATCAAACTGATTATCTACCTGAAATGGATCTGTATATATGGTGTGATATATAAGGCTCTGTTTTTTTAAATATGGGTAACCAATTGTCCTAAGATCAAATATTGAATAGACCATTTTTTCTACTTTGATTTGTAGGGCTTACTTTTGTCATATTACTGTCCCATGTATGAAGGTCTGTTTCTGGTCTCTTTATTCTGTTTCAGTGGTCAAAAACCACACAATTTTAATCACTATAATTTAAAAATAAACACTAATATCTTTAAAACACTAATATCTTTCTGTTCTTTCATAAAATTGATAAACTCTTATGTAAACTTACATTGTACTTTGTATTTTCTCTGGTGTTTCTATATACACAACCCAATTATTTATGAATGCTAGCAACTTTGTTTACTCATCAATTCTTAAACTCTATGTTTGTTTTTCTTGTCTTACTGCACTAGTCAGGACATCTAGTGCAATGTGAAGAGAAGTGGTAATTATGGGCATCTTTGTCTTGTTTCTGACTTAAATTATATGTAGTATTTTACCATGAAGGTTGATGTTTGCTATAGATTTTTAGAAGATATACTTTTTAGGTTTAAGAAAGTTGCTGCTGGTTTTTTGTTGCTGTTGTTGTTGGTTTTTTCTTTTTTCTTTTTTTTTTTTTTTTTGAGATGGGTCTTGCTCTGTTGCCCAGGCTGGAATGCAGTGGCACAGTCATAGCTCACTGCAGCCTAGAACTCCTGGGCTCAAGTGATCTTCCCTCCTCAGCTGCCTGGGCTTCCTAAAGCACTGGGATTACAGATGTGAGCCACTGCACCTGGCCAAGAAAGCTTCTTTTAATCCTTATTTGCTAAAAGATTTTTTTTTTTGTACATATGAGATATGGTTTGCTAATGTATCGAGGCTCTTTACATCTCTCTTCGTAAATGAAACTGGTCTATGTATTTTCTTTCTTCAGCTTTTTACTGGCTTTGGTATCAAATTAGATTGATTACCGTAAATGAATTTGAGAGCATTTCCCGCCCAGTGTCCCCCTTTTTGGATTATTTGGAACAACTTGTGTAAAATTAGAATCATATGCCACTTGAATATTTGACGGAACTTGCCTTTAAAATTTCCAAGGTCCTTTTTTTAGTGGGGAGGGGGGCAGATTATTACAAACTATTAATTCTATCTATTTAAAGGTTATAGATCAATGTAGGTTTTAAGACTGTTTTTGGTAAATTATATCCTTACATAAGATTGTCCATTTCATCTAAATTATATTTTTATATAAAAGTGTCCTTTTCATCAGTTTAAAAGTTATCTATTTTCAAATTTATTAGCATAAAGCTATTCATAGTATTTTTCTTGTGATTTTACCAAGCCTTATCTGTGACCATACTTTGTTATTTATTTTCCTGGGACATGGTATAGTTCATCTCCAGTCACCTTCCTCTGGACTTACAGGTTATTCTTGTCCAGAATTTTAGTGCTATTTTAAAAATTTTAACACAAAATTTGGTCATAACTATTATTGTTGGCTGGGTGCAGTGGCTCACACCTGTAATCCCAACACTTTGGTAGGCTGAGACAGGAGGATTGCTTGAGCCCAGGAGTTCCAGACCAGCCTGGGCAACATAGGGAGACCCCATCTCTACAAAAAAATTTAAAAATTAGCTGGGCATGGTGGTATGTGCCTATAGTCCCAGCTACTCAGGAGGCTGAGGTGGGAGGATCACTTGTGCCCAGGAGGCTGAGGCTGCAGTGAGCCATGATTGTGCCATTGCACTCCAAACTGGGTGACAGAGGGGGACTGTCTCAAACAATAATTATTATTATTACTTTACATACTTGATATTTATTTGTCATTTTTGTTGCCTGTAAATGTCTTTGTTTCACCCTTATTAGTGAAAGATCATTTTGCTGGATCTTGAACTCTAGGCTGACTATTGTTTTCTCTCAGCACTTTGCAGGTATTATTCCATTGTATTCTGACCTGTATTGCTGCTATGGAGTAGCCAGCTATCAATTTAACTGGCAGCCTTGCATAGGTAATCTCTCTTTTCTGGCTGCTTTTAAGACCTTCTGTTTGTCTTTTGTATTCAGTGTTACCACAACACCAGGGGCTTGGTGTGGGTCCTGCTGCTTGCCCCAGAGAAAGCCCATCACTGAGACCAGGATTATTGCCAAGGAAGAAGGCTTTAGGCTTTAATTGGGTGCTGTAGCCAAGGAGATGGGAGATCAGTCTCAAATCTGTCTCCCCTGATGACTGGAATTAGAGGTTTATATGGCAGGGAAGAAATATAACAATGTATAAGAAAACAGAAAATGTACCCCTCCCAAGGAACTAGGGAGGGGTAAGGAAGCAATAGTGATGAATGAGGTGTCTGGCATTTCATTGTCTGGATGCTGTGACCTGGTGAGTTTCAGCTCTTTGATACTTTTTTTGAGTGGCCTGAGGGTGTTGCTAAGAAGGAACTCAGATAAAACAAATGCAAGTTTCAAGCTTTAAGGGCCAGGCTTGGTGGCTCACGCCTGTAATCCCAGCACTTTGGGCAGCTGAGGTGGTTGGATCACGAGGTCAGGAGATCGAGACCATCCTGGCTCACACGGTGAAACCCCATCTCTACTAAAAATACAAAAAAAAAATTAGCTGGGCGTGGCGGTGGGTGCCTGTAGTCCCAGCTACTCGGGAGGCTGAGGCAGGAGAATGGTGTGAACCCAGGAGGTGGAGCTTTCAGTGAGCTGAGATCATGCTACTGCACTCTAGCCTGGGCGATACAGTGAGACTCCGCCTCAAAAAAAAAAAGAAAAAAGAAATTGACCAGAAGGGTCCATTTCTATGTTTATCCAAAAACAAAAAGACAACAAAAAAAGTGTCTATGGGACTATTGGGTTGATTTCATCCAGCAGTTGACCATGTTGTATCCAGATGTGAATTTCTTTTTACTTATCCAGCTTGAGAATTTGTCAGACTTCTTTAATCTGTTGTTTTGTCTTTCATCAATTTGGGGGAATTTCTTCAAGTATTGTCTTTCTCCTATCTACTCTTTCCTGCTACATCAAATTTATACAACATGTTCTCTTCTATCTTATGTGGATGTGGCTTTTAAGTTCTTTTTCATGTTGTTCATCTCTTTGTCTTGAAGTAATTTCTTCAGTTTTTAATTCCAATTTACTAATTACCTTTTCTTTCTTTCTTTCTTTCTTTTTCTTTTTTTTTTTGAGATGGAGGTCTTACTTTGTTGCCCAGGCTAGAGTGCAGTGGTGCAATCTCGGGTCACTGCAGCCTCAACCACCCGGGTTCAAGCAATCCTCCTGCCTCAGCCCCCCAATTAGTTGGGACTACAGGTGCGTGCCACCAGGACTGGCTAATTTTTGTACATTTGTAGACACAGGGTTTTGCCATGTTGCCAAGGCTGGTCTCAAACTCCTGAGCTTAAGCAATCCACCTGCCTTGACCTCCCAAAATGTTAGGATTACAAGCATGATTTATAATCCTTTGGGTGTATACCCAGTAATGGGATTGCTGGGTCAAATGGTATTTCTAGTTCTAGATCCTTGAGGAATTGCCACACTGTCTTCCACAATGGTTGAACTAATTTACAGTCCCACCAACAGTGTAAAGGCTTTCCTATTTCTCCACATCCTCTCCAGCATCTGTTGTTTCCTGACTATTTAATGATTGCCATTCTAACTGGCAGGAGATGGTATCTCATTGTGGTTTTGATTTGCATTTCTGTAATGACCATTCTTTTTTTTTTCTTTTTTTTTTTTTGTTGAGACGGAGTCTCCCTCTGTCGCCCAGGCTGGAGTGCAGTGGCACAATCTCGGCTCACTGCAAGCTCCGCCTCCCAGGTTCACGCCATTCTTCTGCCTCAGCCTCCTGAGTAGCTGGGACTACAGGCACCCGCCACCACGCCCGGCTAAGTTTTTGTATTTTTGGTAGAGATGGAGTTGCACCGTTTTAGCCAGGCTGGTCTCAATCTCCTGACCTCGTGATACTCCTGTCTCAGCCTCCCAAAGTGCTGGGATTACAGGTGTGAACCACCGTGCCTGGCCTCTAATGACCATTCTTGATGGGACTTTAAATTGAATAGTGCCCTTTTGGAAGCATCCATTAAAAGTTAGTGCATATATATATACACACACACACACACACACACACACACATATATATACACACACATATATATACACACATATATATATGTTTGGCCTAGCAATAAAAATTTGTATTATTGTTATGTTATGATGTCATTATATCCTCTACCTTAGAAAAAAGACATTATATCCTCTACCTTAGAAAAAATCATATTTCTTTATATTCACACACGTAATGTTAAAGCATATTTTTTTAAAGTGTGGAAGCAGACTTAACCTCTGGTATGAGGACTGGTGCTGAAGAGAGGATCGAAGAGAACCTTTACTTATTTGTATTTGAACGTTTATAATGAGCATATTAATGGCTACTCGTGTAATTAGAAAAAAAATAAAAGAAATCACAAATAATAGCAATTAAAACTTGAGAGGTTTCTGATGCAGCCAGGATGTACTAGCCCTTGCACTGTCACTTAAGAACCAGCAAAGCCAACTTTGAAGGCTCCTAATAGCACTGATCTTCAGTGACTGGTTTGCATGTCAAGGATAGCTGAAGGTGGATTAAAAACTTCTCAGGCAGACACATAATCACCTGAATTCAGGGACCTGCCTTAGAATTGTGTATGACACTTCGCAGTCATAATCACAGGCCCCCGGCTTTGAGCTGCTGAGAATCTCGCACAAGCTCTGCATTAGGCTGACACTTCCCAGGAGGATATAAGAACTGCCAATTATACAGAGAGCTACGCTCTGTAATATCTTGACAGTCTCCACTCTCTCTCTTTCCTCCTCCTGCTATGAGGCTCCAAGTTTATTCCCCAGTTACTGGGGGCCACTCCTGGGTCCCTCTGCCTCGGAAGTCTTCCCTCCTGGCTGTGGCCCAATTAAGCCACAGTTGAGTTGCTCAGAAGTGAGAATTCCTGGGAGGCTTGTTAAGTTCAGTGCTTCAGGAAATGGAAGGAACATCATTAAGAACTTCAGCTTAATAGGCAGCTGGGCCAACACCAGCTGCAAAGCAGAAAAAGTGTAAGTGACTCAGTGTCCCTCAGAGGCATCAAAAAAAACTTGTTTTAACTTTTACCTAATTCTATCCCAAGTGTGTACACTAGCTACGAAGCACATACCCAAGACACCTTCACTTTCCCCACCACTATCACTCTGTTATTTTCATCATGTATCATTACAACCTCATCACCCATCAGTATTCTCATCATCGCTTTGATTCACCGTCATCCCAGAACTATCATCCTTTTCCTATTACACTATCATTCTCAGTATTATCACCAACTCATCATTTAACCATTATTATCACCATCAGTATTATAATCACCCCCATTATCATTGCAAACACCATCATTCAGCTGCACCATTTCACCACTCCCATGGCCACAACCATAATATACGTCTGTAGTTCATGAGAACAGAAAAACATCCTGAAGATTCTAAGAAAAAGCCCTTATTTGAAAGGCAGACAACAAAAGTATTTTTAAATAAGTTTTTCTCTTATTTCAATCAGGTGCAAGAATAAGAAGGTAATAGACTGAGATAAGAAATTAAATGAAGAAATACAATAAAATAAAATTTGACACAATGGTCAAAATATAACCTAAACTGGAGAGAATAAACAGAAAAATGGACCTTGCATAAACATTAAAATCTTCTCAGAATGCAAGAGAAAAGAAGGAAAATTCTGATAATTACAGAATGGAGGATGAGTTACATAGATCCAACCTGTAAGTATTAAAGAATGTCTAAAGAAAACAGTAAATGGATCAGAGGGTCAGAGTAAGTGGATCCAGGGGTATAATATATAGGAAAACACTTTCTGAATTTCCAGAGAAATACTCTGAAGATCGAAATGCCCCACTATATTCCAAGCAAAATTAGTAAAAAGATCTACACCTGCATGCATTCTCTTCTGATAATCTCTTAACCACACTTCCGCTAGAATGATCCATTCAAATCACAAGTCTTAGAACATCATTCCCAGGTTCAAATGCTTTAATCTCTTTCCAGAGCTGTTAATATAAAGGACTAAATTCCAACATGGCCCACAAGGCCCATGGTTGGCCTTGCACTTCTGCACCTGCTCTCCCTTGCTTTCTGCCCGACTGGACCTTCTTTCTGTTCCTTGCACAGGCATGCTCCTTCTAGCACAGGAACTTGGCATATGTTGTTGCCTCCCCCCAGGAATGCTCTCATCCTCCCCCACGAATTTCCTCTGGTTAACTCTTATTTTAGGATCTCATACAACACTTCCACAAGGAAACCCTCCCAGACCTCTCTAACGAGGCGAAGCATACCTACTATACGCTCGTGTAGCACCATGCACCTTTCTACTTTAGTACTTCCGACAAGTAGGTTTATGTTTATTTATAGGACTCTTTGATTACTATCTGCCTCCCACTCAGAGTATAACCTCCACAAGGGTAGGGACCAAGGAGCCAAGTTAAGTTTCCAAGCAGGGCACACACTGCCAGATCCCGTATTAAACACACACATCCTTGCAACACCAAATTGGGAAGTTCCACTGCTGGCTGTCCGCTGTTGCCCTTTCTCCTCTTTCTTCTTTCACGGGCCTCTCCAGTCAGCCTTTGCCTTAAGAATTCTCCAGGTGTGCGGGAGACATCAGACTCATTTATCCCCAAAATTCCAAGGGACACATCAAAACGTCCCAAGCCCTCCCAGTGAACTGTCCAACGTCATCATGGGGCAAAGGTGGGGAGGAGACCTAGAGGACAGCCCAGGAGGGAAAAAGCCACATTACTCTCCCCCTACAATAAAGACTACATTTTCCTGTTTAAAGAACCTCCCTTTCACATTTCAAGTCTTTTCTTGTAGTCTATAGGTATGTGATAATGGAGTGATGGTCACAAGATTGGTTTGTGTCTAGCAACGTGTTGAGGCTCTTTTAAAAAGTAAAGATGTAAAGATCTCAAAGTCTTTTGAGAAAACAGGAAAAGTCCCAGTCAACATCCTGTTGTGATCATATTCCTGAAAGACTGGAAGATAGGAATATGAAAAGGGGATCAACCACGATTCCACTTCCCTAAAACCAATGGCTTTTTCTTTTCAGTGTATTTTCTTCCACTGTTTTATCAAGTACTGCTTTTCTCCACTTCATTTCACATCACATGCATTGCTCCAAATTACTCCATGCTGATTACATGTATCTTAAATGGATGCATAATATGATGCATGGTTTCACAAAACTTTATTTTGTAATCAATACTGAAATGAACTTCTTCGCAGATGTAGGATTTTCCATTTTTGTACTAATTCCTAAGGGGTGATTTCTAAAACTGATGTTATAGACTATGTTTGGCAACTGATTTTGCTAGCCAACATCCATTCTCACTGCTTCTAGTAACAGGACTCTGAAGCTTTCCTCTGCTGAAGCTTAAAAAAGCCCAGAAATTCCAGCACACTATTTTGTGTGGTTAAAATAAAAGGATGATCAAAGTATGAAGCACATAGTTTATTGCCATACAAAAATTTCCTTTGTTCACAACGCTTAAAGATGGGGAGAATAATTAGAACAAATTTCACTGGGAATACACTTGACAGGTGAAGTACATTAACCACATAGTGAATGAGTTCCAATTTTGTTACAGTCGAATTATTAAAGTCTAGTTGGTCAATTAGGATGACAACAGGCTTCTGTGGAAAGAAAAGTCTAATTGAAGTTTAGGGAGTGCCTTTATATGGCTTGAGCAACACAGTGGAAATCTGTGACAACATTTATATTCCCTAGACATGAGAGGGCAGTGCCAGTGTTGACTGGTGAGGCTTCAGAGATTAACTCAAAGGCTAACATGGTTCGGCCCTGTTGCAGCCTGAGCTGTAGGTCTTTGCAGAAGCAGCCGACAGAGTGTAGCCCTGCCACGGCCTAAATTCTCAAAGTGTCTGTCAAACTCTTAGGTTATATGTACTTTGGAACCCAGCAGTTGAAGTCTGTAACTCACCTACGAGGTGTCATAGGTGTGATGTGTTATGTAACATTCTCAGAGGGAAGAGAAGTACACTCCAAGTTCTTACCACATAAAACATATATCACTCATGTAGCAAATTATGTAAGTGTTTGAAATCATTTCAAAGCTACGTAACACACATCGAATACTTCCATCAAATGTCCATATAGACTATCATGTAATCAAAGAATAGACTCCTTTTTTCCCCAACAGATGCCTCTTTTTTCTTTTTCTTGCCTTATAGAACTGGCTAGATTCTCCAGCACAACATTGAATAAAAATGCAGATATTCTTGTCTTGTTCTTGAGCTTAGGACAAAATCATTCATGCCTTTCACCATTAAATGTAATTTTAGCTGTAGAGTTTTCATAGATACTCTTCAT
Source organism: Homo sapiens (assembly GCF_000001405.40). NCBI lineage: Eukaryota > Metazoa > Chordata > Mammalia > Primates > Hominidae > Homo > Homo sapiens. Next base: position 43,133,212 of record NC_000001.11, read on the forward strand.
CAGGTTCAGGAAGTTCCTTCTATTCCCTCTTAGCTGAGAGTTTTTATCAGGAATGGTTGTTGGATTTTGTCAATGCTTCTCCTTCATCTATTGAGATCAATCACATGGTTTTTAGTTTGTTTATATGGTGAAATACAGTGATTGATTTTGGGATGTCAAATGAACTTTGTGTTCCTGCAATAAATCCTACTTGGTCATGATGTATTATTTTAAAAATATATTGTTAGATTTGATTTGCTGATTTTTAAAGAATTTGTGCATCTATGTTCTTAAGGAACATTGGTCTATAGTTTTCTCGTAACGTCTGTTTGGTTTTGCTATCAGGGTAATGCTAGCCTTGTAGAATGAGTAGAGAAGTATTCTCTTCAATATTCTGGAACAGTCTGTGTAGAACTGAAATTGTTTTCTCATTAAATGTTTGGTAGAATTCACCAGTGAAGCTATCTGGGCTGGAGTTTTCTTTTAAAGAGAAGGTCTCTTTAAAAATTTAATTTATTTAATAAATAAAGAACTATTCAAGTTATCTATTTCTTCTTGAGTGAAGACTGGTTCTTTGAGAACTATTCATTGATCTTTTTTCCTTGTTTACTGTTTACTGCTTTATTGATTTGCACTCTAATTTTCATTATTTCATTTCTTCTGCTTATTTTTCATTTCATCTGCTCTTCTTTTTCCAGTTTCTTAAAGTGGTTAAGAATGTTACTTAAGTACTGCTTGAGCAACATTCCACAAATTTCGATATGTTTTCAATTTTTATTCAGCTCAAAATACTTTCTAATTTTCTACTTTTTAGAAGTCTGTTATTTAGTTTCCAAATATTTGGGGATTCCTATTAGTCTTTGTTATTGATTCCCAATTTAATTTTCAGTCAGAGAACATACTCTTCTGAAAGGAAAATAAAATCTTGGCACTTCAAATTCACTATGCCAAAAGGGAAAAATTAACCTTGGAAGCTGAGTCATGAAAAAAAGCAAAACGCTTGCTTTTTCTTTTGTTCTTAAACTGATAGCTATAGCTAGAAGGCCACATGTGGGAGCCTCCCTCACCCTGACAATGTAAATTAACAGCTTATCTTCACAGGCAAGGGACAAAAAGAAATCATCTCCCACCCACCCCAGGAATGCATGTTTGACTGCTTCCTCTACTCTATGTTTATTTTATGTAAAGTGCAGATTTACTGAGCAGAAGACAAATACATAATTGACTGTTCCCTCTACCCCTCCTTTTGTAGTGCAACATGTGGATTCAGTGAGCCTAATCAAAACCTTGAAAGAATGTGACCATACCCTCCCTCTTTTTTTTCCTTTTTCCCCTTTCCCCTCCTGCCCACTTTTCCACATTTAAATATTGAATACTTCAAAATCCTATTTGGAAAAAAGTACAGGTCACAGATCCTACAATCCTACTGTGGCTTGTGTCTCTTTTTCCGAGGCACATCCTCAACCTTGGAAAAATAAACTTTTAAATTGATTGAGACTTGCCTCAGTGATTTTCTTTGGTGTATACTCTGTATCACTTGAATACTTTCCAAGTGAAGACATGCTTTATAATCCAGAGTATGGACTGTTTTGGCCAGATGTTTTCTATATACTGGAAAGAAATGTGTATTCTGCTGTTGTTGAATGGCATGTTCTATAAATCTCAATTACATCAAGTTGGTTGATAGTCTTGATGTCTTCTATATCTCTGTGGATTTTCCATTTGTTCTAGTGATTATTGAGAGAAAGGTATTGATATATCTGCCTATAATTCTGGATTTATCTACTTCTCTTTGGAGATTTCTCCATTTTTGCTTCATGTATTTTGAAGCCCCTACTCACCAGCATGGTCTTCCTGAGCCCCTCCAAGAGTAATCTCACCACCAGCCCATCCACCCCTACCCCAAGGTCAACAACAGTGTCAGTAGTTGGCCTACAGGGGACCCATTGTGTGCATGTGATTAGGGAGACTCTGGGACCACCTGCCTAACTCCTTGTACACTTCCAACCACCCTTACTCCGTGTCTCCCAGACAACCAGACTGGGGCAAGTGTTGGGAAGATGGAGACATAGGAATGATCAGGATGGGAAAGAGGCTCCTCCCCCTCCTCCAACAGGCACTGCTTCCAGCCCAGACTGGTGTGTGTGGTTGTAGGGCAGGAGGGGGTGTAGGGCCAGACCTGAATCCATCTATGAGGAAAAGTAAGCCTGTAGGCTCAAGTCTCCACTCCACCCTGAAGTTTGGCAGGGTAAGGCAGATGGAACTCCTCTAGCTCCTCCAGTGCTATGAGCTGCTTCCTTTCTGAGAGAGAGGTAGGACTTGTGAGTCAGTGCTTCAGGTGTCCCCATGTCACTACCAGACTGCTCATGGCCACCAAATTCTTCCAGCAGCCTTGGGCTGGGAGAGGAGGCAGTCAGGGTGACTATTGATGGCATTAAGTGTTGGAGGGCTGTGCAACTCCCCGCCCCTTGACCCACTCTCTTCCCTTTGGCTTTGCAAAGGAAAACCTCCTTGTTTCTCACCTTTTCTTACCTTCTGGTGAGGTAAGGTGAGGGAGAGAGGCCTTACGTTTCTTCTCACTGCCTCTCACAGGTTATCCAAGCCCAGAAGTGTTACCAGAAAGGGGACCGGATCCAGACCCCAAGAGAGGGTTCTTGGATCTCATGCAAAAAAAGAATTCAGGGTGAGTCCATAGAGTAAAGTGAAAGTAAGTCTATAATGAAAGTGAAGGAATAGAAGGATGGCTGCTCCTCCATAGACAGAGCAGCCCGGTGGATTGCTGATTGCCCATTTTTATGGTTATTTCTTGATTATATGCTAAACAAGGTGTAAATAATTCTGGCCTGCCTTTTTTAGATCATATTGCGTAACTTCCTGTCGTTGCCATGGCATTTGTCAACTGTCATGGTACTGGTGGGAGTGTAGTAGTGAGGACGACCAGAGGTCACTGTCATTGCCATCCTGGTGTTGGTGGGTTTTAGCCAGTTTCTTTACTGCAACCTGTTTTATCAGCAAGGTCTTTATGACCCATGCCTTGTGCCAACCTCCTGTCTCATCTTGTGACTAAGAATGCCTTAACCTCCTGGGAATGCAGCCCAGCAGGTCTCAGCCTTATTTTACCCATCCCCTAGACAAGATGGAGTTGCTCTGATTCAAACGTCTCTGACAAAAGCACTCTCAATATCTGAGCCCCCCATTAACAAGAACAAATAAATAAACGAAAACCATAATAAAACATCAATAATCTGGTGTCTAGGAGAAATTTAGCTGTTGTACACCATTTGTTATGATGAAACTCCTCCAGCTTCTCCAAATGCTGTGAGCCATCTCGTGTCTGAAGTTCAGATAGAACCTGTGACTCAGGTACCTCAGGTGTCCAAGCATCACTACCAGATTGCCCTTGACCACCAGATTCTTTCAGCAGCCTTGGGGTGGGGGAGTGGACAGTGAAGGTGACTGTTGCAAGCATTAAGTGTTGGAGTGCTATACTGCTTCCATCCTCTCCAGCCCCTCTGTTCCCCATGATTTGTTTCTCCTGGAGTGAATACACGCGGAGGACCTTAAGAGCAAGGTCTTAAAATATGTGCAACACATACAAGCTTTTCAAAGAACAATTATTCAGAATACATACAGAACTCTTACAAATCAGCAAGACAGGCAAGCTAGTAGAAAATAATTTAGAGATAGAAACAGGCACTTAGTACAAAAGGATACGCAAATCACCAATAAATAGGCAATGGCCCTGGGACTTCCTGCTCACCGTACCTGTACCAACAGCCTGACTGGGCCAGGCTTTCCACTGGTGCAGTTCTCATACCTGTCACTGCCAAGAATGGCTCTTTTTGAAGTGAGGCTGCTGAGTCTGGGAGCATCAAGAGTGGGAGGGAAAGCATGGGCTTGCTATAGCCATGTTTCAGAGCAAAGAGCACAGACTGGGGTTTGGGCACTGATTAGTCTGTCAGTGTTTATTGTGGTTTTGCCAATTACTTTTCCCCTTGGGCTTTAGCGTCCCTATTTATCTGATGGAAGAGTGGGATGAAATCAGAGTTGTTACCTGATATTCAACACATGAATTCTATTTAATTTGGCCAGCACAGTCACTGTCCTTCTCACTCTCACTCTCTCAAATAGGATTGGCTGTCAACATTTAAATATCAAGATTTCGGAGCGGGGCGCGATGGCTCACGCCTGTGATCCCAGCACTTTGGCAGGCCGAGGTGGGCAGATCACGAGGTCAGGAGATCGAAACACAGTGAAACCCCGTCTCTACTAAACATACAAAAAAAAAAATTAAATTAAATATCAAGATTTCTGGCTTCTCTTGAAGAATTAGGTGATGGGCCCACATTTCCACACTAAAACAACTGTCCAGAACTGCGTAGGAGGCCGTGTCTATTAGGCTGGATCAGAAATCTTGCTCAAGCAACACCCCTGCTGCCTCCCTCAGCATGAACCTCGGTATGAAGACAGAGACAATGTTATGTGTTCATCCCATAGGTTCTTCCCAGGCATTTCCCGGCCCCGTAGGGTTAGCATTGGTTGGCAAAAACCATGTGACAGAGATTTGCTGATGGCAATGTGATGCAGTAAAGAGATGGTGTAAATTCTCCATGTATTCTTACATTGTGTGGTTGGAAGCTAGAAACCTCTGAGAGGACAGACTGGCAAGAAAGAACCAGCTGACATCCCCAAGTGATCACTATAGGACAGCTGCCAAGAAAAGCTCGCTGACTCCTCTGAGCCCCAAATAGAAGCAAAAAACAAAGCTTGGTTGTGTTAAGCCACTGATATGCAGGGGTTATCTGCTACCATGGTAGAGCTTGTCCTCTGCTGACTGATGAAATGGATCATAAGAATAGTAGCAAATATTCATTGAGTGCTTCCTGATTTGAATGCCTAGTCATTGGGCTAAATACTTTACATATAATACCTTAGTTAGTCTTAATAATTATTCTGTCTGATAGGTACTATTATTTTACCCTTTTTAGATAAGAGGTTTAGAGATGTTAAGTCATATACTTGAGTTCATAGTAAGTGAGAGAGTTAGGCAGTCTGATGCCAAAACTTTCGCTACGCTCCTCTCTTTTTTCTATTCTATATTGTCTCGCTGAGTCTGTCTTTCTCTGTAAAAAAGGCAATGATAACCTCAACTTTAACAGTCAGATATTAGTTGTGCTAAGAGATAGTCTGGGTTAATTTTAAATTATTTGGATCAGTTTGAAGTTACGTGGAGAAATTGGCAATGGTTTAATCTACTTGAACCAGTCTATACCAGATAAGTACAGTTAGAATTAATTTGAGCTGGATTCTGCTAGTATAGACATTCTGGAACACCCTTGGATTTTTGCTAATCCTTTAACAGAGATATTATTGGCAGTTAGATAGTAATTATTATGTTAAGAAAATGTAATTATATTCTTAGGTTACTGAAGAGTTTAATCAGAAATAATTAAATGTTTCAAAAATCATGTGGGCATCTCTAACACTGCTAGTGTAGCAAAACCTCCTGTCCAAAACCTCCTTCCAGTCACTACCTCCTCCATCTTTTCCAAAGAAAAGCCTTACCCTGACTTAACATGCCATAGTGTGGGCGAAGGATTACCCAGGTGCTGAGGCAAGAGACTGAAGGCACAAACTGTTGCAGTATAATAAGGAAAATAGTTAGAATAAGAATAGTTATAATACAAATTAGATATAGAGATAACCATAGACATTATCAATCATTAGTATAAATATTATTACTCATTAGCTTTTAATATTACTCTTTGTTGTATTACTAATATAACCAAGGAATAACCAGCGGGTATAGGGTCAGGTGCCAACGGGACATTGTGAGAAGTGACCTAGAAAGCAAGAGGTGAGCCCTCTGTCACACCTGCATAAGGGCCACTTGAGGGTTCCTTGGTCAAGCAGTAATGCCAGTGCCTGGGAAGGCACCCGTTACTTAGCAGACCGTGAAAGGGAGTCTCCCTTTCCTTGGAGGAGTCAGGGAACACTCTGCTCCACCACCTTCTTGTGGGAGGCTGGATATTATCCAGGCCTGCCCGCAGTCATCCGGAGGCCTAAACCCCTGCCTGTGGTGCTGTGCTTCAGTAGTCATGCTCCTTGTCCACTTTCATGTTCCTCCCGCACTCCTGGTTCCTCTTTGAAGTTCTTAGTAGATAGTGGTAGAAGAAATAGTGAAAGTCTTAAAATCTTTGATCTTTCTTATAAATGCATAGAAGAAAATGCTGACATATACTGCCTTCCCTCTCTGCTTCGGCTACCTAAGAGCAAAGGGCCCCCTGTCCCATGATCACGTGACTTGCTTGACCTTATCAATCACCTGGACGACTCACCTGCCTTACCCTGCCTCCTTGTCTTGTATGCAATAAATATCAGCACACCCAGCTATTTGGGGCCACTACCGGTCTCCACGTCTTGGTGGTAGTGGTCCCCCGGGCCCAGCTGTTTTCTCTTTATCTCTTTGTCTTGTGTCTTTATTTCTTACAATCTCTCGTCTCCGCACACGGGGAGAACACCCTCAAAGCCCCGTAGGGCTGGACCCTACACCATAGATTAGTTTTGCTTAGCTTTAAACGCTTTATAAATGGAATTACACAGGATGCATTATTGTGCCTGCATTCATTCAACACTATGTATGCCAGATTTACCCATATTATTGTATGTAGCTGTATTGTTCATACATTTGTATTGCTGTATAATATTCCAGTGTATGAATATGCCATAATTTATTTATCCATTACACTGTCATTGAATATTGGGTTGTTTCCAGTTTGGGTTTATTACAAATAATGCTGCCATGAACCTCTTTCATATCTTTAATTATACTTGTGTAACCATTTATTTAATACATATAGATAGGCAGGAAGTTACTGGATTATACAATACATGCATACTCTTCTTTAGTACATAATGTCAAACATTTTCCAAAGTGGTTCTACCAATCTACATACCCAGCATCAGGGTATAAGAGCTCCAGTTGCTCCATAATCTTGCCAGTATTTGGTATAGACCATCTTTTTAATTTTAGCCATTCTGATGGGTCTGTAGTATTAACTCATTGTGGTTTTAATGTGTATTTTCCTGAACATCTATGAGGTTGAGCACCTTTTTATATATGATTGGTCATTTTGCTCTCCTCTTTCATGAAGTACCTTTTCAAGTCTCTTACTATTTTTCTACTGGAGTGTGTATTTTTTTATTTATTTATAGGAGTTCTTTTATATATTACTGATAAGATCCCTTTTTATATTTGTGGATTTTCTTTTTACATTGTATGGTGTGGCTCTATCATAATTTACCTATTTTTATTTATAATTATTTAGATTGCTTTCAATGTTTTTATTCCAACAACTTCTATGAATTGAGGATTGTGGGTATTGTTTAGGATAGAGTATTTAGTATCAATCTCTTAGGTTTTTTTCAACAGCATTCAGCACCATATGAAAGGCAAATGGCTGGGATCAGCCAGGTTGAGTTTTTCTTTCCAGGAAAGTGAGATTAAAAAATATAATACCACAAGATAATTGATAATATTGGTTTTCAAAAAGTCATTGAAATTATAAAATTGATAAGGTCAATCACGTGACTTGCTTGACCTTATCAATCACCTGGGCTACTCACCCTCCTTACCCTACCCCTTGTCTTGCATGCAATAAATATCAGCGCGCCTAGATATTCCAGGCTGCTACCAGAATAGCGCACCCAGCTATTCAGGGCCACTGTTGACTCTGAACTATGTAAGGAGGGAAGTAAAGACAGCATGGGAATTAGAGTTACTAGATATAGAGAAAGAAAGGATGGTGGGCTGGAGGCCAAGTGAATTGGGAGGAATAGAGTGACTACACTGTAAGGACAGGAAGTCATGGTCAGAGAACAGTATATCTGAATATGTGGTTTCAGAAGTGGGACAATTCTTCAGTAATGAGAAGGACCAGATATGCCCGTAAGTGGCTGAAGTAGAAGGCAAGTGGTGAATTTTGGTGAAAATTTGCAAACCATGCATCTGACAAGGGGTTATATCCAAAATATACAAGGAAATCAAACAACTCAATAGCAACAAAACAAAACAAACACCAAATAATTTAAAAGTGGGCAAAAGACCAAAATAGACATTTCTCAAAAGAACACATATATATGGCCAACAGGTATATGAAAAAAATGTTCAACATCACTAATCATCACGGAAATGCGAATCAAAACTACAGTGTGATATCACCTCACCCCAAATAGAATGAGTATTATCAAAAAGGCGAAAATGACAAATGCTTGTGTGGATATGGAGAAAACGGAACCCTTACGCACTGTTTTGGTGGGAGTGTAAACTAGTACAACCATTATGGAAGACAGTATAGAGTTTCCACAAATGAATTAAAAGTAGAAGTATCATATGATTCAGAAATCCCACTACTGGGTACTGATCCAAAGAAAATCAATATGTCAAAGGGAAATCTGCACTCCCATGTTTCCTGGAGCCTTATTCACAATAGCCAAGCTATGAAATTATCCTAAAAGTCCATCAATGCATGAATGAATAAAGAAAAGGTAGTACATATGCACAATAGAATAAAATTTAGTCATAAAAAAAGCATGACACCTTGTTATTTGTAGCAATGTAGATGAACCTATAGGGCATTACGTTAAGTGAACTTAGAGGACATCACATTAAGTGAAAAAGCCAGGAACAGAAAGACAAATACCACATGATCTCACTCATTTGTGGGCTCTAAAAAAAGTCAATCTCATAAAAGTACAGAACAGAATAGTGGTTGCTAGAGGAGAAATGGGGAGAGATTGGTGAAAGAGTACAAAATTACAGATAGGAGAAATAAGTTGTGGTGTTCTATTTCACGTTAGAGGGACTATTGTATATTTCAAGACACCTAAAAGAGTCTTTTCGATATTTGCACCAAGAAGAAATAAGTGAAGTGATGTATTTGTTACATATACTGATTTGATCATTACACAATGTACACAAGTATTAAAATATCACACTGTACCCCATAAATATGTGCAATTCTTATGTGTCAAAAATCAAACTTTTACAAAATACAGAATGTGTTATAAGTAAAACACACACACACACACACACACACACACACACACACACACACACACACAGAGAGGCCAGAGAATTGAATCAGGCCATCTAAATGAACACTGAAGTCACTCAGTGTGATGAACTCAAGAATAGGACTTTGAGACAATTGTAACCATGTTAATAGGAAAAGAGAGAAAGAGAGTGTCCAGGAGATGTTAGGGGACAGTGCAGGGAAATGGTGATGTATAGCACAAGCTTTAAGGAGCAAGAGGTTTTCTTTTTTTTTCTTTAAACATCCCTCCACTGGGAGTTCAGACCCACTGCCCATCTATCTCCCTAGCACCTGCTGCTCTGTGTTCCCCCACAGGCCCCTCAGGTCACTCAGCATCCTCAGCATTGGGCGGGTCACTGCTTGGCTCAGCAGAGACATGAGGAAGGGTCCTGAGCTTTATAACCCTTGGGCACTGCAGTGGGGAAGTGGTCATGGGCTGGGGCACCATTGCTGGTTTTCAGTGTTCGTGCTGAATTTATCAAAGTTTAACAACATACCTTATACCAGCAATTCAAGTCTATTTATATGTAAATATGCATATTATATTTATTCATCATATATAGTTGCATCATTTATACAAATATCAATACAACTGACTCTAAAATATTATATATTTAATAAATAAAGTCTATATTACAAATACATATGTACATATACACATAATGTGTGTAATTTTTTTTTAACTTTTAGGCTCTGGAGTGCATGTGCAGGTTTGTTATATAGGTAAACTGCATGTCACAGGGGTTTAGTGTACTGATTATTTGCCACCCAGCTAATAAGTATAGTACACCATAGGTAGTTTTTCAATCCTCTCTCTCCTCTCACGACCGTCAAGTACACATGTAGGAGCAAGAGATTTTTAGTAAGAAGAGAGGAATAATGGTTTGAAAGGAATCAAAAGGAGCAAAGAGAACCTATACACCACATTCCCACACTGAAGTACTTAGAGTTTCAGAGAATAAGTAGAGTCTCTACCTGAAATACACAGGAAGCAATGTCCTCAAGGGAAATCCAAATTACATTTAAAGCCAGGAGAAGCAAGGAACTGTCCGTAAAGAAGCAGTCTAAGGAAATAGGGAAGTTTACTAATCATGCAGCTGAACTTCCATAGAGTACAACTGAAAGTAAGGGAGGAAAAGGGTGTTGGGTCAAGAAAGAACAATCAGAATATTATGGTGATAAAAATACCAGAGAGAATAGGTGAGCAAAGGGACTTATGATTTGGATGGTGATCAAAGAAACCAGGAATGGTCAGCAGAGGGGGTTGCTTCATCAGACTAAAGAAAGGGGGAGGGTGCACTCTCCTTAGTTATCTGACATGGAGACAGGCATCTCTGGTAGTGAGCAAGGAAGTCCAAATCTAGTCGTTAGGCACCCAGGAGTGGGCAGTCATCCTGCCAGTCTCAGCCCTACGTTTATGGTTCCAGTTAAGAGTAAGTCATCAAACCAAGAGAACACAGGAACCAAGATGGTACGCTCCAAAAAGTTCAGTTCTGCTCTGAAGCGCCCCCTACAGGATCCTGTTCAGAGACGCAGGAGGAGGCAAAGCTGCTGGTCTGCGCTTTGCGCCATTCTGTGCTCCCTCCTACCTGCCCTCTTTTGGCCCAAGTTCTAGTCCCATCTGCTTTGTCACCCCCTGCCCACCTAAGGGACTTCATTCTCTGGTCTTCACCGTCCTCATGGTAAAATGGACGTGACATCTTTAATCACACATATCTATCCAGTGATGTAAATGCAGTGAAAAGGGCTTTGAACAGTGTTGTCAGGGAAGGAGACTGAGGCACTAATTTCTTCCCATTTTCCCAATTCCTGCTTCAGCACCGCTCACCTAGGCTCCAGCCCTCTAAATCTATCCTAGCCCTTTGGTCGATCTTTGCCTACTGAGGGCAAAATTACATAGTATCCCAAAAACAAGGATTAATACTACAGCCCCATTTCTTCTCTTTGCCATTTCCCATGACAACTCTTAAACCTAGAAACTGGTGCCATTTCCCTGATTGGTGGGACCTGCTCACTAGACCAAAAGGGATGTGTATGTACATTTCATAATGGGCATTCAGTTAGGGGATGATGTGAGGGCTGTGTGTGAGATAAATCCTGGAGTTGGTCTGGCCACATCCCAATGACTCATTTGGACTCCTTTGGACAAGTAACTAGAGCTCCCATTTGAAAGAATGACAAGCAAGCTACCTCAAATTTCTCTTTCTCAACCCATGACTTCACCTTTTCTGTTCCTTAATGCTCTCATCATCCAGCCCTCCTTTCTGCTGTTTTTCCTCAGTTTTCAAGCCTGCACCCTAGTCTTCTGTGCCATCCCACTTTTTTGGGGTTCTGCCCTATCTGTTACCCCTCTCCGAATAATGTCAGCCCCGCCCACTACCCTACTGTAAGGATCTGCCCAGCTCTTCCTCTGTGGGTTTTAAACCGTGCATCTGCTGCCACCACGTTCATCAGGGTCCCAATTTCCATTACACCCCTGCCTTTCCCCCGCTCCTCCTCCTAGCCCTTGTTTCTAATCCCCTGTACTCTAGCTCCCACTCCCAATCGAGCCACCCCCAACCAACCATGACAATTCACAGCTCTCATCCTGGAGAGATGGTTTCCCTCATGCTGGGACAGTTCTGGGGCAGTTCAGAATTGCCAGGACTGTGGATTCCCAGCAGCTTGGCCTGGTGGACACACGGAATGCAAGACAACAGCAAACCCACCTTCAGCCTTGGTAAGTGACAGGACCCCTTTTCCATGACCAGATCCTGGTTACCTTGATACTATTTCTATTTTGTCTCCATTCCCGTCTGGGCAATCCTCTTCAGATGCCAGAGATTTCCTTTTTTTTGACAGTTTGCTCCTTTCCTCTCATGCCTGGTCAGCCAGCCTGCATGAGGTTCTCTACGTTTGAGACTGGCTTCTCCACGGAACTTGGTCTGTAGCCACAGAGCAAACTGCAGGGCCATTGACAGAGAATGAAGAGGAGAGTGAAGAGTGGAACACATCTAATGTGTTCTCTGGAGGGTAAGTCTTGTCGATCTGCCCTGCATTCAAGTGAGTGCAACCCCTGAGAATCACACATAGGGCACAAGGTCCCTGCTGTAGATAGATGGGGACTTAGGTTTGTTTCCTTTGGTCTGGTTCCTCCCAGACTCCATTTTCTTCATCCTAGGATTCCAGGACCATCCCAAGGACGTTCTGCCCTTGAGAAATGTCTCCTGCAAAAAGGGGAGGGTCCCTCCATTGTGCTCTCATCAAAGCTCTGAGGGTGAGCCTCTTGCTCAGGCAGCACTTCTACTTCAGAATGGGAAAGGTAGCAGTCTAGAAGGCAAGAATGTGTCCAGATCCTGACCAGATGATAGCATCACATGAACACATGACATTAAGAAGTGCTCTCCTCAAACTGAGGTCTAGATTCAATATAATCTCAATAAAAATCCCAAAAGATATTTTTAGGGAACTTGACAAGCTCATTATAATTTATATGGACATACAAAGGGCCAAGAAGCGGCAAGACTGTCTTGAGAAGACATTCTTCCCTACCAGATATTAGAATGTGTTACATAAATTATGGTAATTAAGATAGTGTAGTGCTGTTGCAAGCTTAGACAAATAGACCAATGGCACAGAATAGAGTCCAGAAATGGACTTGCACAAATGGGGACACTTTTTTTATGGACACAGTAGCATAGCAGACCAGTGAGGAAGGACTATCTCTTCAATAATTTGCTGGTGGGTCAACTGGATACTCCTTTGGAAAGAAAAAATTAAGCTGGATTCCTACCTCACACTGCACTCGAAAACCAATTTCAGGTGGAATACAGATCTCACTGAGAAAGGGTAAAACAACAAATCCTCTTAAATATTAATAGTTCTGCCCACAGATGGCCATGGAGCTCTTGAGATGTGTTATGAAGTGTAAAATCTGCACTGGATTTTAAACATTAGTAGGACAAAACAATGTAAAATATCTCAATAATTTTTATATTCAAACGTTGAATCATTGACAAATTGGATATACTGAGTTAAATATCACATTATTAAAATTAGTTTTATCTAATTCTTGCTCTCTTAATGCAGATACTAGAATGTTTTAAACTACATGAGTGGCTCAGCTCATACTTTTATTGAACAGCACTGCTCTAAAAAGTAACATAAAAGTAACCTCAGGTCATCAAATTAGAAAAAGATGTCTTAAATGAAAATTAAGAAGCAATAATCATAAAGGAAAAGACTAATATATTTGACTACGTTTAACTTTTGGTGTCCAGAAGACACCATTAAGAGACTAAAATGGCAAGCCACACAGAGGGAAAATACATTTGCAGCATGTACAGCCCTCAAAATAATATATTAAGAACTCCAACAAATTGATAAACAATCCAATTAAAAATTTTGTTCAACACTGTGTCCCAGACTAAACCCATTCTGCAATTCACATTGTGTCCTGAGCGAATGAATGGATGGATGAATGAATGAAGTACTGAGTGGGGAAGAGCACAGTCTTCAGACAGTATTTAGGTGCTTACTAAAAATAGGGGTGGCTTCTTTCTTTATGCTAGACCTACTTTTTATTTATTTTTTATTTTTTAGAAGGAGTCTCGCTCTGTCCCCCAGGCTGGAGTGCAGTGGCGCAATCTTGGCTCACTGCAACCTCCGCCTCCCGGGTTCAAGCGATTCTCCTGCCTCAGCCTCCCGAGTAGCTGGGATTACAGGCATATGCCATCACGCCTGGCTAATTTTGTATTTTTGGTAGAGATGGGGTTTCACCATGTTGGTCAAGCTGGTCTCGAACTCCTGACCTCAGGTGATCCACCTGCCTCAGCCTCCCAAAGTGCTGGGATTACAGGCGTGAGCCACCGTGCTCGGCGATTCTTTTAAAATAAACTACATTATTTAAGGTATCTAGCAGACTCAAATTCATAGAAACAAAAAGTGAAATGCCAGGGGCTGGAGAGAAGGGAAAAGGGAAACTTGTTGTTTAATGGGTGTGAAAAAGTTCTGGAGATTGGTTTCACATAGTTTGAATATACTTAATACTACTGTACTGTAATACTTAAAAATGGCTAAGATGGTAAAATTATATTACGTGCATTTTAAACACAAACATTAAAAATAAACTATAAAGTCAACAAGTTCCTTAATTAGGAAAGGTTTATTCTGTCAATATTATCACATTGGTAATCTTGGTCACACTGGCCAGAACGTTTTCTCAGAGAGGAAACCTCCGGTTTTTTTGTGAGGTTTTGATTCTGGGCATCTGCTTTAAGGTGGGAGAGGTTTCTGACTCCTTCCAAAAGCTTTTTTAGGAAATGATTGGCCAAGGTGAGGTCCAATCATCTGTCCCTTACCTCCTGGGTCTGCCCCTTGCCGGGAAGCCCTTTCCTGGCGGTATCCAGGGGACCTTCTAGTAACCAGCCGGGCCTGAGGAGCTGGGGCAAGTGAGTACAGTGCCAGAATAGGGCGGGGCGCGAAATAAGATCCCGACCGGCGGGCGCGGGGCGGGGCGATGCAGGCAGGGTAAGGGGCTGGCAGAGTGAGACCCGCCCCGACCGGGCAGCACTACCCGAGCGCTGTTGCCTGGAGACCACGGGACGCCGTTGCCTGGAGACAGCGGGGACGCGTTGCCTGGAGACTGTGGAAGGCCCAGGCAAGAGGGCGCGTGGCAGCCCAAGGCCATGGCGGGACACCCAAAAGAGAAGGTGATTCCAGATGAGGTCCATCAGAACCAGATCTTGCGGGAACTGTACCTCAAGGAGCTACGAACCCAGAAACTCTACACGCAGTATCACGTGAATCCCCTCCGCAAGAGTGAGAGGCACGGCGGGGTGGGGGAAGGGCGAGAGCGGGAGGGCGCCGGGGAAGGAGGAGCCCTCCGGGTTGCGGGGTGGGAACGCGGTCCCAGCAAAAACTCTTTCCCCAGCACCCGCCCCCTTTCCTAGATTTCAGGAACCATGACTTTGGAGAGGCCACATCATATCAGATGTATTCGCTGTATTAAAGTTCATGCGCAACACGATTAAATCTTTTCGTTGTAGAAAAAAAAAAGTTGTAGGGCTTTTTATTATTTTACTTTTGAAATAATTATATTTTGCAGGCTGTTTGTGTTTTGTTTTTGTTTGTATTTTGGGTTGTTTTTAACAAGTGAAAGGTTTTTCTTCAGGCTTCTGATATTGCCCTTCGGAAAGTTCTGGGGTGCCCCCTGATAAAACATCCCTACCCTCCACTCTTGTCACTGAGCACTCTCCTTGGGCAGTTTGTTCTGTCCTGTCACACCAGCTTCCCCTGAATGCCACTGGGCCTGAAATGGAGCTTCAGATCCACACGCCCAACCACCTCACAGCTCCCCTCCCTGGACAACCCACAGGCACCTCAGACCCAGCAGGAGGAAAGCCAGGCTCATTCCCACCTTCCCCACTCTCTGCTGCTCCAGAATACCCTGTCTCTGCAAAAGGCCCCGGATGATTCACTCTCATGATCAGAATCATTCACTCTCATCATCTAATGATCTCATGATCATTAGAAGCCTCGGAGTCCTCCTCAAGGTCTCTCTCCCTCCACACACTTAAAAAAAGGCACAAGTCCTGTTTATTAACATTCCTCTCCCCTGACCCACTTGTTCCTGCTTCAGTGAAAGACACCATCATGCATATGGATTCCTCTCTGCCTCTGCTCAGGTACTTTCATGCTCTAAGTAGCACCTCAAACAGCCTCTGCCTGCATCCTCACTCCTGAAGCCTCTGCAGGGCCCTAGTCCTTGCCGCCTGGATTGGTCTGATGGGCTCCCAACTCCTTATTCTCTTTCCCTCCAAGCTGGCCCCTCCGACCAAACCCCTACACCTTTGCTAGCTTAGCACTATGCTAGGAGGACAATTAGATCACATCAATCCCACCTAAAATCCTTCTCATAGCCTCTGAGGTAAAGTTTAAATCAATCACGACATAAGGCGCATTGGATCTGGCTCTGGTTCCTGCCAGCTTCATGCCATACTCCTCTCCCCCACTTTACCCTGCTCCTTTAAGAAATACTTTGGTGCCTACTCTGCACCAGCCATTGCTGACGAATCCCACACACACTCCTTTCCCCCCTGCCATTTCTAAATACATGGATTTCCTAAATGCATCATGTCATTTCCCACTTTACCTGCATAAACATTGTTGCTTCTTCCTGAATGCCTCTCCCAACTCTGTGCCTAATATGTAAAGTCCACTTTGTTGCCTGGCTCTATAGAGAAAATGTACTGTCTTCACTTTCCTTCTAACTAACTTGGTTTTCTTCTGGAGTCCCCAACCACTAGTTTCAGGAAAGCAAATTAGTGTCCAAAGCCGTTCAAACTCGGTCCATTCCAAATAATGGAAATAATCTCTTCAGGCAACCTTCATGCTCTCTAGGGAAAATGCTGCCTCCCAGCTCATGTCCCTTGAGCATGTGAGCCATTGGAATAAAGTGAGAAAATATTACAACTTGTATTGATTACTTTTATTTATAAAGATAGAAATTTTATTTGCTAATATACTGATAATAGTCCATAAAAACTATATAATTATACATATTTTAAGGGCGCATGCTCTAAAGTTCTTTTACTGATAGGAGTTTGAGACAAGCAGCTTGGAGACCACTGGTTTCTACTGGTGTCTGCTCATTTCCCACTACTCTCCATCCAGCTCACTCCACTGGAGCCACTCTGGCTCTCTTGACGTTTCTCAAACTCCCCAGGCTCACGCTCATATGCTTCCCACACACACAGCACATTCCCTCACTTCATTCAAAACTCTGCTCATATGTATCTCCCTAGAGATACATCACCCACACCCCAGCCCCAACGCCAACTCTCCATCCACGTAACCTGCTTTACTGTTCTCTATCACACTTACATTTGCCGGGTGATATATGTATGTTTATTGCCTGTCACCACAAATAGAGTAAAAGCTCAGGGGACACAAGAGCCAGCTCTGTCTTGTTTACAGCCTGTTCTTCAGTGCACAGTAATTATGAGCTGAGTGGATGAATGTGGGTGCTGCTCCTCTGTTACCATGTGCCCTCCTGGGCATAGATCACTGCCTGGCAAACCTCTTTGGCCTTCCCCATAGGCCAGCACTGTCCAAGAGAATTCATCAGTGATGAAAATGTTCTCTGTCTTGGCTGTAGTCAAAACTGTAGCCATTAACCGCCTGCAGCTATTGAGCACTTGAAGTGTGACTAACGTGGCTAAGGAACTGAAGTGTTCATTGTAATTAATTTTAGTTATTCAAATTCAAGGAGCCACATGTGGCTGATGACCACCATTCTGGGCAGTGCCACTCTAGATTGTGAGGTTCTTGAGGGCCTTATCCAATCGTGCATTATCCTAGCACCCAGGATAATACCTGGCATGTACCAGATACTCAGTGAGTGCCAAATGGGTGCCCTGTTTAAGGTGGACCTTAGAGAGGGCAGGGAACTCATGTTTTAATCTGAACTTGTGAAGCTGTTTTCTTTTTTTCTAGTTCATACAGTCACCAGGAAGCCCATGTCTTGGCATGATAACCTGGAGGAACCTGCAGATGGTAAGTCCTGGGCTTTGAAATGCCATTGAGATAGAGCCCAGAGAGGCAGGCTGGCTGGAGAGACCTCTCAGGGTCGTGATATCTTGGAGCAAGCATCAGAGTCCTCTGCTTTGATCCTGGAAATGGGACTCATACTAACCAAGCTCAAAAAAGACGGATACTCAGACAGTCTGTGGTAGATAGAATAAAAAAAATAAAAATTTTTTTAAATAAAATTTTTAAAAGATGGACATACTCAATTATAACTGTCAAGCCAACTAACGTTCCTATTGACTTAACATTGCCTTCGTTCATTCATCAAACATGTAGATGTTATAAGCACAAGTTCTGAAGCTGTACTAACTCAGTTCAAATCCTGGTTCTGCTACTCATTAACTGTAACATTGGGCAGGTTTTTTACCTCTTTTAGCCTATTTCTCAGGATTGATGTGAGGATTAAACAAAGCAATACCAGTGCATAGAACAGTAGCTGGTACATGGTCCTCAGGAAATATTAGTCCCATGATTATTTTCATTATTAGGTAATCTCTATGGTGGGGCTGGGTGGAGGGATCTCATAGCATAATGAAGAAGAAGAGAAGTAGACTTGGAAATAAGTAGACAAGTAAAGAGGGACCATGACTGATGTGAGAACAGCATAGGAAACAGGTGCCCCCATCAGGCAGTGGAGTTCTGGGAAGACCTCTTGGAGGAGGCGACCACAGGGTGAGGTGGAGAAGATTGTGGAAGGACATTCCGAGTTCTATAGAAAGTTACAGAAATGAGAAACATGACTACAAGTAGTTTGGCATGGCCACAACATACAGGTGGAGAAAGGGCCCTATTTGGGAGTGAGAGAGGAGAGATATTTGGTGGAAAACCTGATCCCTCTTGGAAAGCTTTCCTTCTTCCCCTCTACCTTCCATGAGCAAAATTTGGTGAAGGACAGATGACCGCGGCTGGGATGGGAAGTGGGGGAGCAGAGGCTCTCAGAGCATTACGAAGGAGGCAGATAAGTCAGTAGACTAATAGAGAGGGCATCATCACAGGCAATAAGGTGTTATCTGTAGTGCACTCTCCTGACTAGGGTAAAGGATGCAAGCTGGGAACCTGTAGCAATAAGGAATAGAACAGGAAATGAGGGTCCTGAAAGCCAGGCAGGAGTTAGCTGCTCGCTCTCTTATATGAAGGATGTGCCAGCCCAGTGTCAGTCCCTTGAATCACCTTCCTTCATTTCATTCCCAGCCATCTTGCTGAGATAGACATTTTCCTCCCATTTCACAGATGAGTAAAGTGGCCCAGAGAAGTGATGCCACCCAACAAGCCGGTAGTAGCACTGACTCCAAAGCCCAGGTTCATTCCATTGTCCGCCTGCGTCTCTCCGGTGGAGACTCGATAGGGCAGAACTATGGAGCTGCAAATCCATCTGTTGTCGGCAGCCATACTTATTTCAATACACAAAGATTTGACCTCACTTCTTACAACCTTGCTCCTCACTCTCTGTTGTGCTACACTGGCCAAACTCGCTCATGCCTCAGGACCTTTGCTCTTGCTGCCTGTGGTGTGCTCTTCCTCTGCCTCTTCCCAGGGCTGGCTCCTGCTTGGCAACCAGAGAGGCCTTCTCTCGCCACCCCATCTACAGCAGCTGCCCTTGCCTGCACATGACCCTTCACCTATTCCTTTCTTCACAGTGTGTATCCCTGTCTGCCACCATCACGTCATTTTGTAAACCTGAATACTGTGTCCTCTGCCTCATCTAGAGTATGAGCTCTAGGAGAGCAGGGACCATGCTGTCACTCAGCACTCTATGCCCAGCGCCCGGAAGCATGTCTGGCACAGAGTTTGAGCTCACCACATATTTGTTGAAAGATGAGTGGAGAGACCAGACACCCTGGTCTTGAGGCTGAGGCAAACCTCCAAGGCACAGATGCTCTGCCTGAAAGGAACAATGTGGACGCAGGAAAGGGCACAGGACCAACCTCTGGTCCCAAAGCCTGACTCCTTCATAACTCATACCTCGTCTCCCAGCCAGGTTTCTGAATCTCATTCACCATGCTGCCCAGGGACCAAGGAAGAAGTACCCAGAGACACAGACTGAAAACCAGGAAGTTGGATGGGACTTAGAGCCCTTGGTAAGCGTGGCTCCTTCCTCAGGAAATACGAGGAAACACAGCAGCAATGTAAGTGGTGACCGTAGAATAGAGCAGGGGGCCAGACATGCCTGGGCTTGAACCTGGCTACCTCTTACCAGCTGGATAAGTTACTAAGCTCTCTTATGACTCAGTTTAATTGTTGTAAAATGGAGCTAATACAGTACCTATCTCATAAGCTTGTTATGAGGATGAAACGAGGTGATATTTGTGCAGTACCTGGAACAGTGCCTGGCACATGGTAAACACTGTGTGTTTAAATAAAGGTACTGACAACAGATACCTGAGTCAGCTCCATCAGCTATCAGCAAGGTGGTCTTGGGTGTACCACTCAATATCTCTGAGTTCGGCTTCCTTATCCATAAAAAATGGACATGTGGCTGAGCGTAGTGGCTCACACCTGGCATCCCAGCACTTTGGGAAGCCAAGGCAGGCGGATCACCTGAGGTCAAGAGTTTGAGACCAGCCTGGCCAACATAGTGAAATCCCATCTGTACTAAAAATACAAAAATTAGCTGGGCATGGTGTCGCACGCTTATAGTCCAGCTACTGGGGAGGCTGAGGCAGGAAAATCACTTGAACCCAGGAGGCGGAGGTTGCAGTGGGCCGAGATCACGCCATTGCACTCCAGCTTGGGTGACAGAGTGAGACTCTGTCTTAAAAAAAATATTAATTTTAAAAATATATAAATAAATAACATTTTTTAAAATTAAAAAAATAAAAATTTAAAAAATTAAAACAAAAAAGCATAAAAAATGGACGTGTGAGTAAGGGTCCTCTCCTTGTTTGATTGGAAGGGCACAATTAGCCACTTTAGCACACAATCACCCCAAGGAATACAGTGCTTCCTTTTTTAAGGAAGAAATGTGCAATATGGAATAGACAAGTCAAAGAAATTTCTGCCACACGAGTCTTTAAATCTGCTTATGTCTTTGGTCATGCAGAAGGTTTTCATTTTTAAGTCATCAAATATGCCACCAATTCTCATTATGGTTTCTGGGTTTTGTGCCTTGCTTAGGAAAACCTTCAACACCTACATTACCAAGCAACTATTCTATATTTTTCTCTAACTTTTTTTTCTTACTTCTTCTTCTCTCTTTATATATGTGTGTGTATATATATATATATATATATATATATATATATATATACTCTCTTTTTATATATATAAAAATATATTCTCCCTTTTTATATATATATTCTCTCTTTTTATATTCTTTTTATTTATATATGTAAATATATATAAATAAAATTATATATAAATTATTATATAAATTTTTATATAAAAATTATATAAAATATTAAATAAAATTTTATATAAAATTATATAAAATAAAAATATATAAAATAAAATTATATATAAATAAAAATTATTTATATATATCCCCTCTTTTTATATATATACATACAAAATATGTACATATATATGTACATATACACACACATATATGTATACATATATACGCACATATACACACACATATATGTATACATATATACGCACCTACAAGGACGGACTTGGTACAAAGAGACAGGTATGGTTAGAGAGCTGGAGAAGATAACTACTCAAAGAGAAAGAGGAGGTGGGGAGGTAACATCGTGAATAAGAGAAAAGTGTTAAAATATGTATTCAATGACAGTTATTGAATATAAATATGAATAATGGGTCAATATTCAATGACTGTTAAAAACCAGAAGGAATGGTACTGGAAGTGCTAGTGGAAAAAAATAAATTTAAAATTTAAAAACCAGAAAGAAGACTTTTCCAAGTGGGGAAACTACTGTGAAGGGCATAGGCACCACTATGAGGTTTTGCAGTGAGGGAGGGAAAGAGCCTGGCCTCGACTCTGATTACAGCATGGGCAAGTGCGACTGTGTAGCCAAGGAACGAGGTGGGGGTAAGTGACGGAAAAATACTAGGAGGAAACATCAGGGATAAGGGCAGATTCTGGCTAATTTCCACCTAATAGGGTGCTTGCTGAAGGCAGGCTAGCAGGATCAGACATCACTTGGAGAGTGGTGGAGGATGGGGAACCCAATCAGATATCAAGGGTGATCAGATATTAAAGGTAGGGGGTTCTGGTTAAATCAGCTTAGCAGGATTTTTGCTAGAATTGGACAATGTAGAGGAAATGGAAATCCCAAAATCAGACCTAGTTGAAAAGTAATTCAGGGTTCCTGAGTAGAGTTCATTCAAGGAAAGAATCTTTGCCGGGGAGAAGAAAGGTTGTGAAGGATGGGGTGTTTGTGTGAAGATAGAAATCAGCCAAGATAGATCATGAAGCAACTTAGAAGAATAGTACAATGCACAAGTAAATTAATTCACCATTCTTCATTTTGTTAAAGAGTAAAGACCTGGCTCACACAAGTACAAAGTGTGCATGTGGAGATGTTGCATCTTTGACCTTCCAGGACATCTCGTGCAGGCTTACGATGACAGGAAGGACAAGTGTGGCCTGCCCTGCTCAGACCTTCGTAGGCTCTGCAGATCACAGAGTGCATGTGTCTCCAGATCAGTGAGCACTCTGGAGTTGCAGAGGGTCTGCAAATATTCCATGCTGTTCATCATATAAACCTGGGGACAATGCCATCACAAGAGCACTGCTAGCATAGTAAGAAAGTATACCCCAAAAACCATGAGATGCAGGTGTTGTGTAACCAGAAGAGGTAATTAAGTTGGAGCTTCAGAATGAAGTAGCTGGGCCAGAAGAGGCTTGATCAGCTGCAACTTGAAGCTCCCTGCCCCCTGGCAGAGCCTCACCTTGGATAGACAAGATACCTCCAGTCTCAGTACTGGGACACTGGCAAAGCCAGACTCAATGACCATCATTCAGCCTCTCATCTCCTGGTAACATTTTCTGGAAATACATTTTTTAAATTATTTGCACGGTGTAACTTCTATAAGATCGATGTGTCAGAGTGCCGACTTTTACTTAGATTCTATGTGACTCTTTCAACAAATTCATTCTTTCAGCAAATATGCATTGAATACCTAGCATGCGCTGGGTCTTGCTCTAGGTGCTGAGGATACTGTGGCCTCCCAGTCAGGCAGTGTGACAGGGAGAACCACGACTGTGCGTAGGTTATTCTCCTCTGACCTCACAACCTTTTTGATGTACATGTGGTCATCTCCATTCCGCAATGCAGCCACAGGCTGGGAGGGTGGAGCCTGATATAAGCCAGGCCCATTGACTCCAAACCCAGGTCCTCCTGCATCCTCACAGGCTTCTTTCTGATTCTGCATCCTCCTTTCTAGATCAACCCAGAACGCCATGACCGCAGGCTGAATCACTTCAGGGTCTGCAGTGACATCACTCTGTACAAGGCTAAAACGTGGGGCTTAGGAGATGATCACCACAAGTAGCATCCCAGCGGATGAGCCCATCTGTGGATCTAATGCCTTAAGTGTGCACAGCCCAGAGAAATAAAATACTACTTTAAAACGAAGTTTCACTTTTCTCATTTCTGGTCAAGTCCACTGATTGAAATCCTTGTGTGGTAAAGCAATGTGAGAAATCAGATAAAGATGGTGGGCTAATTGCATACAATCATCTGCTCTGCCTTCCTAATAGTAATAAAGGATCACAAAGGGATACAAAACCCACCACTGAGAGAATGGAAGGAAAATGTTACCAATAGAAAAAAACTGGAAGTGTGTTCAGGAGATAGAAAGCTGATGGAGGAGGATGGCAGGAACTACAAAATGCAAGCTGATGGAATGCCTCTGGGCACAGGGTTTCCAGAACTCTAGATAGAGGTTCAGGACTCTGAGACAGAGTGAGGTGTGAAGCAGAGAACTGAAATTGGATGTGGGTAGGGGTAATCCCACCCCTACACCAGAAGCCAGGTTTATAACCTCTCCCCCACGCTGGAGGCTGGGGGTTTATTCTTGGGGGAAGAGGAGAAGCCCAGGGCTCAAGGATACTAAAACACAAGGCATGAGCCAGGCATGGAGCTGAAAATCATCTGTGAAAATCTACAAAAAGAAGGCTGAACCCCTAGCCCAGGTGCCCACCCACACATATACTACATTTTTACCCTAGGTTTGAAGATGGAGTGTTCCCCTCTGGAAAAATAATGAAACTTCTCTAGAGACCCCCACATAGTACTGTTTGAGAGACCTTTAAGGAAAGAACCAGGGAAGTCAGTTTACATTTCCCCTTCCTGCTACGAACCATTGCTCCTGGACCTCATCCTGTTAAGCTAGCACGTGCTTCAGAGTTGCAGCCATCTCAGCTTCTGCTCAGCCTCTGCAGCCACTGTGCCACCTCTGCATGACCACATAGGCCACAGATCTGTGCAGAGTGAGCAAACGACTGGGTGGGGGCTGCATCAGCAGAAATCTGGTCTCCTGCACCCCTAGGTGCTGCACGTCCCTGAGGAAAGGGTGGAGGGCACAAGGGATCCAATACCATCTCTTCCTCATGGGGCCTTAGCTTCTTAAAGAGGATGCCAAGGAAGGGAGGGGGCGGAAGGAAGGAAGTCAAAGGAATCTTTACAAAAGGGCCAGCAGGTAAGGAAAGTAATCTAGGAACTGATCATAAAGATGTCATTGAGCCAGGCACTGAGGCTCAAAAAAAAACAAAAAAGGAGAAATGAAATCAAAGAGGCAACTCACGAGATAATGGAGCAGGCAAATGAAAAGAAGTGTGCTGAGGCCGGGTGGTGGCTCACGCCTGTAATCCCAGCACTTTGGGAGGCCAAGGCAGGCGGATCACGAGGTCAGGAGATCGAGACCATCCTGGTTAACATGGTGAAACCCCGTCTCTATTAAAAATACAAAAAATTAGCCGGGTGTGACAATGGGCACCTGTAGTCCCAGCTACTCGGGAGGCTGAGACAGGAGAATGGCGTGAACCTGGGAGGCGGACCTTGCAGTGAGCTGAGATGGGGCCACTGCACTCCAGCCTGGGCGACAAAGCAAGACTCCATCTCAAAAAAAAAAAAAAGAAAAGAAGCGTGCTGCCGCTGAAGCCTCAAATGATGAGTTCCAGAAAGTTAGACTTGTTCCCAGCTGCCATCAGGCTAGAGCCTTTGTTGACCATTCTGTACACCAAGGGAGTTGTCTTTGTAAAACCGCAGAAGCCAACGTTGCCATCCTATGTTGCTATTTAAACCATAGAAAACCAGAACAGGAGCATTTTGGCATTTTTTTAAAACTAGGAAGTATAAAAACTTAGAGAAAATAAAATTAATATCTAAATTTTAATATGTAGTGATCATTTTGGCTTTTCCTTTGGCCTAAGCGGATAAAGAAGAAACTGTTAAAGATCTCTTATTCCTGAGTGAGGGGGAATGCATCTAATGACAAGAAATCATTGCTCATTATTTAAAAAGAGCTAGGTATATTTTGTCTTAGGATCTTGATTTTTATTTTAATTATTTGTTTTGAGAAGAAGGCCATGGACCCTCCAATATATAGTAGGGTTTGGTTAAGGATGGAAACCCTGAGGGCAAGTCTCAGCAGATTCGCCCCATTTTATGTCACAGAAGCTCATATACAGAAATTCAGAGTACATTGATGAGGAGCAGTGGAATCCTGCATTGTGGTACAAGGTAAGATACTTGTAAATGCTGCATATAATCTCGGTTCTCTTTTGTAAAATACAAATGAAATACTATGCATCGTTTTTATATCAGAATAGAACAGGTTAATTTTCCTCTACATATCTGTTTGCATATTTCTTATGTATCCACTCTGCTTGTTTTCAATGTTCTTTTAAAATTTTTGTTGGGCTAAAAAGAGCCTTTTCTTTGGTATCATCATAGCTACCATCATCTACAGCGAAACTGCATATCTAGTACTGGAAGTAATTCAACCAGCAATGTAGTAGGTAATATACAGGATAATGATCAGATATCATTTCTGATTGGCCAGAAGAGTGAGTTTACATGCATGCAGTTGAGGTCCAATGACTTCCAATTAAAGATCTTAGGCCTGGCGTGGTGGCTCACACCTGTAATCCCAGCACTTTGGGTGGCCAAGGCGGGCGGATCACCTGAGGTCAGGAGTTCGAGACCAGCCTGGCCCACATGGTGAAACCCCCATCTCCACACTACAAAAATTAGCCAGGCTTGGTCGTGGGCGCCTGTAATCCCAGCTACTTGGGAGGCTGAAGCAGGAGAATCACTTGAACCCAGGAGGCGGAGGTTGCAGTGAGCCAAGATCACGCCATTGCACTCCAGCCTGGGTGACAAAGCGAAACTCCATCTCAAAAAATAAAAAACAAACAACAACAAAAAAATCTTATACCAAAAGATTCTGCAACATTATTGGACATCTTGTCTTCAATGTGAGAAAGGTACCTATTATAATTACACTTGAATTCATCATCATGAATATTTGAATTTTCAGGACAGCATAAAAAGTGGATTTGTTGATATGCAGAAAGGTGAATCTAGTTTTATAATCTAGTGTAAATTATAAAATAGATTAAATGCCTGAATGTTTTCATCACAAGGTTGTGCTCTGAAAGCAATCAGTGTGCTTCTGCAGCTCTGCTCCTGCAAAGAGAGCAACCACATTTTCTGCTTTCATCTCCTTCCCAACTCTGCCCGAAAAACAGAAAGCTCTTACTTTGTATACTCATCTAAAAAAGCATATAAAGTCAGTCTTCACTTTGCACAATAGTGCAGGACTACAAAGATGTCCTGCTTGCTGAAACTATGCAAAGTGATCTTAATCATCATTGGGGGAAAATTACAATTGTTCTGTGACCTTTAAAAAAAATTGTCCAAAAGTCCTTGAGGTGGGCAGATCACGAGGTCATGAGATCGAGACCATCCTGGCTAACACGGTGAAACCCCGTCTCTACTAAAAATACAAAAAATTAGCCGGGGGCAGTGGCGGGCACCTGTGGTCCCAGCTACTCGGGAGGCTGAGGCAGGAGAACAGCACGAACCCGGGAGGCGGAGCTTGCAGTGAGCCGAGATCGCTCATTGCACTCCAGCCTGGGCGGCAGAGCGAGACTCCGCCTCAAAAAAAAAAAAAAAAAAAAAAAAAAAGTACCAATCTGGCCGGGCGCGGTGGCTCACGCCTGTAATCCCAACACTTTGGGAGGCCAAGGCGGGCGGATCACAAGGTAGGGAGATCGAAACCATCCTGGCTAACATGGTGAAACCCCGTCACTACTAAAAATACAAAAAATTAGCCAGGCGTGGTGGCGGGTGCCTGTAGTCCCAGCTACTCGGGAGGCTGAGGCAGGAGAATGGTGAAAACCCAGGAGGCGGGGCTTGCAGTGAACCAAGATGGCACCACTGCACTCCAGTCTGGGCAACGGAGCAAGACTCTGTCTCAAAAAAAAAAAAAAAAAAAAAAAAAAGTATGAATCTTTAAGTCTTCGAAACAAAACTAAACAATGAAAAAAAAATTTGTGTGAAAGTATTAAAAACTCTGTTCAATGCGTAACAAAATTAAAATACTAAAATTTAGTAGACTCACTTTAAAACAGTAGAAATATTGAGAATCAAGTGTTTTATTTCTGTATGAAAAACCATGCTTGTCTTCTTTTTTCCCTTCTATAACTTACGATGAAGAACAAGCATTTTTTCCGTGCCTTGGCAAATTGTCTTTACTCCTTTCTAAGTTTGGATTTAGTTTCAACATTTTATCACTTGATCTTCCAATGTCATTAGATAGCTCCAAGAGTCCCTTTAATGTACAGTTTTTTACTAGTGTCACTCTCTGGAGACATCTTCATCCTTTCCATCTCTTTCCTCATTTGTAAGTTTGCCTTCACAAGGTTTCTCTGGCTGTATATCTAGTCTCTAGAAGGGCAACAGCATTCACAGTCCAATATCAGCTATTTCATCTACAATTCCATTTGCATTGCACTCAAATTTTACTTCCAGCCTCACCATTTAAAAAATATTTTTTTTTTCTTTTGAGACAGGTTCTCACTCTATCACCCAGGCTGGTGTACAGTGGCACAAACATAGCTCACTGCAGCCTCAAACTCCCAGGCTCAAGAGATTCTCCCACCTCAGCCTCCTCAGTAGCTGGGACAAGTGCATACCACCAATACCTGGCCAATCTAAAAAAAATTTTACTCTATTTTTTTTTGAGATGGAGTCTTGCTCTGTCGCCCAGGCTGGAGTGCAGTGGCGCGATCTCGGCTCACTGCAAGCTCCGCCTCCTGGGTTCATGCCATTCTCCTGCCTCAGCCTCCCGAGTAGCTGGGACTACAGGCGCCCGCCACCACACCTGGCTAATTTTTTGTATTTTTAGTAGAGACAGGGTTTCACCGTGTTAGCCGGGATGGTCTCGATCTCCTGACCTCGTGATCCGCCCACCTCGGCCTCCCAAAGTGCTGGGATTACAGGCGTGAGTCACCGTGCCCTATCACTTTTTGTTTCTTTGGTGTACATTAATCCTTGGTGGTCAATTCCCTCTCAGGTATCTACTTCTATAAAATGCATGAGGAGTTTATTGCTAAAGACAAAGAGGCAACACAACTACACACTTTGCTGTGTGTGTGTGTGAAATGAATAACTGATGCAGTGACTGATCTTGGGACAGACTTTGAAAGAAGTGATGGTCACTAGTCTTCGTGCATCTGTCATTTATGAAGTGATTTGTGGACTAAAGAGCTAGCAGCGACTGTTTCTACTTTACGCATCTACTCAGTTATTACTTTGGTAACTGAAATGTGAACATTGTTGAGAAACTTATTTAATTACATCATGATAACTGAATTCATGCATATTAGAATCTGTATTGGGGACTCCTAGGTTCCTACTTATTTTTCAATTGATGGGATTGTATTTATTTTAAAGCAATATGAAGGAGGCTGAGTGCAGTGGCTCATACCTGTAGTCCCAGCACTTTGTGAGGCCAAGGCAGGATTGCTTAAGCCCAGAAGTTTGAGACCAGCCTAGGCAATAGAGCAAGACCCTGTCCCTACAATAAATAAATAAATAAATAAATAAATAAATAAATAAATAAATAAAAACACCTAGCCAGGCATAGTGGCATGCACTTGTAGTCCCAGCTACTTGGGAGGCTGAGGCAGGAGGATTGCTTGAGCCAAGGAGTTTGAGGATACAGTGAGCTATGATCACATCACTGTAATCCAGCATGGGCAATAGAGTGAGACCCTGTCTATACAAAAAGAAAAAGAAGGCATAATGCTACCTGCACCTTGATCACCCTTTATTTTGAGGGTTGGAATGATAGAAGTGATGTAAATGAGTTCTACAGAGGATATTTCTAAAACTAAGGAAAGTGAGTCCATATGTAAATCTTTGCTCTGTAATAAAAAAGAGAAAAAAACAAGAAGTAAAAGAGGGGGGACATAGTTTTCAAGAAAGCCTTTAGAGGTATGTTGTTATTAAAAACTTACTTTTGGCTTTATCAATGTGAAATGTTGTTAACCTGTGCTTTCTTTTGTGAAACTCTCAATATTTACTTGCATAATTCAAAGTCTCAAACTGCTTCTGAGCCTGTTACACATTATCCCCATTCAATAATATGGCATGAATTATGAAAGAGGACAGAGTAAATATTTTTGTCTTCTTGATATGACCTGTGTGACCAGTTTTGTTAGTTGAAATTAGTTTACAAAAACTAAATTCTCTTTGTTCTACATTACAATCTTAGTATTATATGAATCCAGAAATATCCTTTTCATGTGCCAATAATGCTACAAGAAAATGTGAAAATAAATTATTCTTTCTGCTAAAGATACTATATAGCTCTCAGGCATTTCTAACTTCTTTAAAAATAAAGTATGATTTCTAAACTGGAATGGAGAGAGAAGGGGCAGGTAAAATGGTTTACCACCCTATCAACACAGAGTAAAGCCCAACAATTAATGTGGCCTGCCTACTCAATGTACCACCTACGCAGAGCTTCCGCTTATGTATGAACAACCAAGGCTTGCCAGATATTAAGGAAAGAAACCCCAGCAAAACAATCCTAATCAAAGGAATATGAGAGGATTATCAGATTATCGGATTATATTAGGATAATGTTCTAAGTGTTTTACATTGATTAACCGAATACTGACAGGAACCCAATGAGGTAGATACATCTACATTATGCTAGAGATGACAAGGCAAATAAAAATTAAATTCCCTACGGTCAAACAGCAAGTAAGCAACACAGCCAGGCCCCAGAATCCACGCTTCTTAGCTTCTACAATACTCTACTGCTCAAACACGGGAAAGAGGAGATCAAAATGCATGGGCTGCAGAAACAGAATGAAGGGAACAGAGGGAAACTTTATCAAAAAAATTAAAACTATAATCATATTCTGAGAGATATAAGATACTGCATCTAGAGGATAAGAGTAAAATGATATGAAAAATGACCAAATAGAGAATAAGAAACTCTTGGGGGATAAATGAAATGAAAGCTAAACTTCATATTCAATAAAATGATTTTAGGCCGGGCATGGTGGCTCACGCCTGTAATCCCAGCACTTTGGGAGGAAGAGGCAGGTGGATCACTTGATGTCAGGAGTTTGAGACCAGCCTGGCCAACGTGGTGAAACCCTGTCTCTACTAAAAATACAAAAATTAGCTGGGTGTGGTGGCGCACGCCTGTAATCCCAGCTACTCAGGAGGCTTAGGCAGAATCACTTGAACCTGGGAAGTGGAGGTTGCAGTGAGCCAAGATTGTATCACTGCACTCCAGCCTGGGCGATGGAGTGAGACTGTGTCTCAAAAAAAAAAAAAAAAAAAAAAAAAGATTTTAAAAAACAAAAATATATCTCCCCCCAAAAGTAGAACTGAAATAAAACTTAAAAACAGTGCCTGCGAAATTCTAAAATTCTAAGGAGGAAATTCCTATCAGCCCAAATTAAAGGCAATTTCAGAAATGCAAGGAGATAAAAAGTTTACCTCTCATCTTCCCTTTCTTAGTAAGATACCAAAAAATGGTACACAGCAAAAGAAGGCATATGCTAAGATGGGAAAACATGGGATTCTGGAAATAATGGTGCCAACTTAAACGGTCTAGAAAAAAGGTGACAGTTGTGTGGCATAACTAGGTTGTAGGAGAAAAATTATAAAGTGGGTAAAATGACAAAGCATCTGGAAAGAACTAAGAATATAGAAGGAAAATTAGGCAAGCAGAAGAATGTAAGGTGAAGGTTAACTGGAGGAAAAACCAAAAGCTGTACCACAAAGAAAATCACGGTGGCTCACACCTGTAAAATATGGGCATTGAGCTTTACAGGGATTGATCGTAATATAACTATTTAGAAGGATGAGACAAAGGAAATGAGAAGGTGTCAGTTAAATCATTATTTATCATAAAATGAAGGCAATTTGAACTCAATGTCTAAATTATCAATAGATAGCAATGGAAAGTAACTTCTCAATCTTTTAGTCTAGACTATTTAACCAAAGGTATGTGTTCCTTTAATAATTTTTCTTTAGTTTATTGAAAGAAATGTTTACAACATGACACCAACAGAAGGGATCAAAGTGTGTCGTGAAATTGCGAGTCTTCATTCCTTTTTCTTGGTTCTTTGTATTCAAAGATGCTATTTAGTGTGTTCTGTTCTTCATCTTCTCTCTTGTTCGTTTTCCAGGTCTCTTCTACAGAAAAAGACATACCACATCTGGTCACATAGCAGCTTGCCTTCTGCCCCAGGGTGAGGACGAACAGAACTGAAGGGAGAGGGCAGGGTTGGGAGTGGGAGGGGAGGCTGAGCCTGCTCCTCACCCGGGCACCTGGGCTCACTTACATTTGACCCTTTCTTGCCAGGCCTCTTGAGGCCTCTGCCATGAGCTGTCTTGGCCCGGAAGCTAGATACATCATCATAGCTCTCCCGAGTGTTCCACTTTGAGCCTTTCTTCTTTCCACCAAAACCAAACTTCTGGTTTTTATACCGTCGTTTAGCACTGGGCCTGGAAAAGAATGGTCCTAGACATCACTACAGCACTGTAAAGCCTGATGAACCTGATGGCCCAGCAATGCTCTCAGTTTCCTTTCTATAAGCAAAGCCCCTTAGGCACGTCTGTAACCCAGAATCTCATCCTTGGCCCCACAATCCTATGCTACAGCCTCTCTAGACAAACTCATCTAGCTCACCTATTTACAGTTTTGACCACCAGGGCAGGAAAATAAAGCAAGAAGCAGGGAAGGCTCTACATATATTACATGGCTTCCTGCTGTCTTTAGAAAGCTTTCTATTTTAACCAAATCTTATTAAATCACCCTCAGTTGTGTCTATTCCTCTCAAGGGTAAATACATGCAGTTAACATCCAAATGTAATATGTTACATTTGTAACATTCAAATGTAATGTAATGAATACGTTCAAATGTAAACATTCAAATGTAATTATAGGCATTCAAATAACATTCAAATGGAATAACATTCAAATGTAAAACTGGTCATCCAATAGGAATCTTGAATTCAGCATCTCCAAATTCACATCATCTCCTGGACTGGCTCTGCTTCCTGTACATATGCCCTCACTTGAGGCTGGCGCTGCTCCCACCAACCCAGACACACAGGCTAAACATGTGGGAGTCAGCCTTGGTTCTTCTCTCACTCTTTATACCCAATTCAATTACTGAGTCCTGCTCATTTCACCTCTTAAATGTTTCTTCAATCCTTATCTCGACTTTTGCAATAGTACCCTTGTCAATTTCCCAGCTTCCCTCAAGTCTGTCACTTATACAAAATCCACTGTGATCTTTTTAAAAACATGAATATAACCTGCTCATTACTGTTAGTACAACCTACAACCTAGTCTCTCCACTGCCTTCTGACAAAGCCCAAGCTCCTCAACAAGGCAAACCCACAGCCCAGGTCCCCCCAAACACATTGCACCCCTCCTTGCTTTGCACTGTATTCCCAGTGACACCAAGGGCTTACTGTTCCTCACAAAACCCTGAGGTTTCACATCTCGATGGCTTTGCTCGTTCAAGCTCTTACTTCTTCCCAAACCCAGCTTCTCTTCTATTCTCGTGGTTAATTCCTACTCATGCTTCAAGCAATGCTCAAGTCGAACGCTCCTCCAGAAATCCACCCCAGACCCTGTCAGGTATTTATAAAAGCTGACTCAGTACTAATCCCCAAATGCCTCTATCATAGCACTTACTATCTTACATGGAAATTATCATTTCCCCTAGGCCTGGTATCCAGGTATGCAAAAAAGCAGACTAGAAAAAACAATGAGAGCCCACATTCTCTCTTTCAGTCTTCATACTATGAGGCAGACACTATTTCCTCAACTTAGCAGATGAGGCAATTAGCATTTAGAAAGGCATGGTAACTCGTTCAAAACTGCCCTCCTACTGAGTGGTAGAGTCGGGATCTGAACCCTAGGTCTGAACTCTCAACCATCGCACTGTGTGATGGGGAATCAACTTTACTCAGCATTCACTTAAAGGGTGCCACATACTTAAAAGTACCTTCTTAGGATGGGTGCAGTGGTTCACACCTATAATCCCAGCACTTTGGGAGGCTGAGGTGAGTGAATCACTTGAGGCCAGGAGTTCACAACCAGCCTGGCCAACATGGTGAAACCCTGTCTCTACTACAAATACAAAAATTAGCTGGGTGTGATGGCAGGCACCTGTAGTTCCAGCTACTCAGGAGGCTGAGGCACAGAATTACTTGAGCCCAGGTGGCAGAGGTTGCAGTGAGCCAAGACTGTACCAGTGCACTGTAGCCTGAGTGACAGAATGAGACTGTCCAAAAAAAAAAGAAGTTTAAAAAGTGCCTTCTTTTACTCTTCAAAGACTGACATGGCTAAAAGGGCCCATCACACAGTCATAGGGGTCCTGGCCCCAGGCAGCAGCTGCACTCTCTGGACTCTATGGCTGCGCCGGTGGAGGTGCTATGTCTGCCATACTCGTGACCTGTGGCCCCATCGCACCTCACAGAACCAAAGAAACCATGCCAAAACCCTTCTCACCCCTTCCTCATCTGCTGGCCTTTGGCTCCTGCCTTCTTGCGCTGTGCCAGAGGTTTCTGATCTCCCTCAAGGAAATCCAGTTTATCAGAGAAGCCTGTAAGTGAAGAAGTAGTTTTGATCAGCACCATTGTATTTTAAGAATAAAAGTTTAAACCACCATATGAGGCTGTTATTTGCTACACTGATTTTAAGAGTCACATCCTGCTCTCCAACACCATTCCCAAAACTTTGATCCGACAGGTCCACATCAACCAAGAAGGCTCCAAAGCACTAAGTGTTCAAATCAACTCTAAAGTACCTGCTACCCTCGTTCCCCTATTAGAGATGTACCAACCTTTCTGATATTTCTTAATAGCATTCATCATATGGGCTTTCTCCTGCTGCCTCTTCTGAAGAACCTCCGTTTGCACCTGTGATATGAACACAAGGACCGTTACAGCCATTCCATACCATTACTCCAGTGTCTACATTGTCTTAATAGCAACACCATGATTAATACCACTACCCTCTGACATTTACTACGTGCCAAAAACTGTGTTAGGGACTCTAAGTATATTCTCAGATCTAGGTATATTCTTCATAGATGAAGATATATCTGTCTCATAACAATCCAGTGAAGTTGAAATTTGTGTTATCCCCTAAACTGAAGCACAGGGAAGTTAACTTGCCCAAGTCGCACAGTGAAAAAATGCACAGCCAAGATGACCCAGGCTGTTTGACTCCAAAGCCAGCACTCACCCTATTATACAATCCTGCCTACAAAACTGAAGTAAATCATGTTTAAGACTACATCGATTTTTCGCATCACATTTGGACAGATTAATTATCTAACTCACTGTTACTAGGCATGAAAGTACCAAAAGGAAGAGAAAAAAACAATGTCCCCAGGTAAAGAAAAGAAAAAAGTTTGAAGGATAAAAGGAGACACTTTATAATACTCTAACAGAGGGTTTCTCAATCTTGATACTGCTACAGTGTGGAGAGAATAATTCTTTGCTGGGGGGTAGGGGCCTGTCCTACACTGTAGGATATTTAGCGGCACCCCTGCCCTCTACCTACTAGATGCCAGTAGTACCCTCCCTCCCAAATTTGACAACTAAAAATATCTCCAGGCAGTCACAGAAAACTCTTGGGGAGCAAATTCACCCCCAGTTAACAAACTCTTCCCCAGTGTTTCCTTAAATTAGGAACAGTGAACTAATAGGCCCAAGTGAGTTTGTCTTTGCTTTTGGTAACTTTGGCTATGTTAAATTAATTACTGGTGTCTTTGAGAGAATCTCAGCCATCCACCTCCAGATCAAAGAAATAATAAATCCGCAGCAGGCCTTTTGTAGAGGACAGGATCCCAGCCTATTCCTACTTTGCTGAGAATGTATCAGTGAAATGACTCCAAACGTGGACAAGAGTTCTGCAGCCCAGATCACAAGTGCTTATGTCCAAATGTTGACGAAGTCTTAACACCCACACCAATCTTCCTCACATTCATTTCTTCCCACAATCCTAACTTTAAAATCTGTCATCTTCTTTCTTAGATGACCATGAAATAAAAAAGGAAAACCAAGAAAAGTTTTAGGGTATGCCTGATCTGGTGTTACATTAGAACTCAGACATTCATAGTTCAAACACGCAGGCAATCTTTCAGATTGGATGACAATCATTATGATAATTTCTTCAGGTACGTGATTATCACATAGATCAGTGAATCCCAAACCAGGATGCATTTCAGAATCACCTGGAAAGCTTTTGGGGAAGAGGGGAAAACAGGCACAGATTCCTGGGGATTCTGAAGTCTAGAATTCTGTTTTGAAAAATTTCCCCTGGTGATTTTGCTATAAGGTCAGGTTTGGAAACCACTCATCTGGACCCAGTGTACAGATGTGAAAACTAACGCCCAGAGAGGTGATTGGCTCACCTGCAGTCACCATACTACTCCTGGGGAACCACTCATGTCCAGGCAAGATTGTGCTCATGAATACCAGCACATACACTGAGAGACGGTAAATACATGATCAACACACAGTTCCGTTCAGTTCAGGGGACCAAGTCAGACCACGGCAATCTCATCTAACACACACTCCGCCTCTTCCTGTTCCCTGCACACTTTTCTTCTCACCTTCTTCCCGTATTTCCTAAGTGCTCGCAGTTGCTTAGCTTTTTCAGACCTCTCCATGGCAGCCTGTTTAGTCTGCAGCTTCTGTCGAATCTACAACACAAAATGCTGTCAGTTCATGTCATTTGAATCTGGAATGACCACTACTTAGGATTCGCTAGAGCAGGGAACAGATATTCCCTGTTCTTTAAACTGCGGAACTTATAAATCATCAGTTCCAACCCCTGAGGACAATGGGGCCCACAGGCTGAGCACTTTACCAAAAGTGCCAGAGTGAAGCCAGAGATTGAAAGTCACCTTCCCGCTCCCAGTGTGCTGTCTGTTTCATTATACAAACTGCCTATTTGTAGCCCAGGAAAGAAGACAAACTTCTCCCCATTTCTACTGTCAGTAGACTGAGGCTGGAAACCAGTATGCGGCCTCAGTGTCCTTTTCTAGTATACCACATACACAATAAAAACCCAGGCAGATACCAGGTGCCTAGCCTTTTCAGTCAAACATACACATTTTAGTTAAAGGATGAGAAGTTGTCAGTGAGAATTTGTACAGAGTTCACAGTAAGAAGGTGAACTACTACCACGACAAAAGCTCCCTAAAATCCAGCTTGAGACCCCAGGGTACTATTTAAATATACTTATCCCTCAGTATCCATAGAGGATTAGTTCTAGGACCCACTACAGATATCAAAATCCACAGATGCTCAAGTCCTTTATATAAAAATGGTGCAGCATTTGCATATAACCTACACTCGCCTCCAGTATCCTTTAAAGTCAGAGGACCTCAACTCCCAGGCCACAGACCGCTACGAACCCACTATGAATCTGTGGCCTGTTAGGAACCAGGCCGCACAGCAGAAAGTGAGTGACAGGCAAGCAAGCATTACCACCTGAGCTCCACCTCCTGTCAGATTGGTGGTGGCGTTAAATTCTCATAGGAGTGCGAACTCTACTGTGAACTATGCATGGAACTATGCATGCAAAGGATCTAGGTTGCCTGCTCCTTATGAGAATCTAATGCCTGATGATCTGAGATGGAACGGTTTCATCCCAAAACTATCCCCTCCCCAAGTTCATGAAAAAATTGTCATCCACGAAACTAGTCTCTAGTGCCAGACCGCTTCTTTAAATAGTCTCTAGATTACTTATAATACCGAATACAATGCTATGCATCACCTCATTCTCATGGATTCAATGTAGTTCTCGGCACACGGAAAATTCAGTTTTCCTTTTGCAATATTTTCAAATTTTTTTCCCCAATATTTTTGATCCAAGGTTGGTTGAATCCACAGATGCTGAACCCATGGCTATGGAGGGCTGAATGTATGTTGGATTACATGCTGGCAATCCCTTCTTCCAAAGTTAAATGAGGTCCAAGTTCTACCCAACTCTAAATTGTACTATATCTGAACCATCTAAGAATCCCTCATTTTACAGAGGAGAAAACTGAGGCCCAGAGAAAAGTAATTGTCTACAAGTTCTAGCACTGACAGTGGCAAGGGCACAAGAATGCTGTCCTCTCTGCACACCATGTCATGACCATGCCAGCTAGGAAATGCACTGGGCCATCTTCACCTCGGGGACCACACTTCACACAGCACTGTTCCTCTCCTTAATTGCTGATTTTAGAAAAAATGTCATTTTTATATGCATCTAATTGGTGGTAACTGGCATGACTCTGAAGTAGCCAATCTATGGAAGAGGTAATAATTGTCCTCTGACAACTGGCTCCCCGTTATTGGGCTCATAGCTATCTTTCTAAGCCAGCTGAATATGCTTAAGTACAAAGTTTTGACTTTCCAGAGGAAAACTTCTATTTCTTACCTTCTGCATCTGCAGATCAGATTTGGCCATTTCCGCAAAATAATCAGTGGGTCGCTTCGTAGGGACTTTGAGCTGATGGAGGCGGGGTAAGACTGCAAGCACTGCGGCCTGGGCTTGGCGATAGCTGAGAATCGTAGGACAAAATGTGTAATGAGGTGAAGGAGGAGGCCTTACGTTCCTTTTCACCGCCAATCATGAGTTATCCAAGCTCAGAAGGACTCTCAAAATCTGACCTCCATTAGCAAGAACAAACAAACAAAAACTGTCTCACTGATTTAGTATCTAAAAGAAATGTAGCCGTATACTAGTTTTTAAAAAGGGGAGGGG
The DNA here is from genome assembly GCF_000001405.40 of Homo sapiens. Lineage (NCBI taxonomy): Eukaryota > Metazoa > Chordata > Mammalia > Primates > Hominidae > Homo > Homo sapiens. The sequence continues at coordinate 43,171,083 of NC_000001.11, forward strand.
TGTTGCTAAAAATAGTTTAAGAGAATGACTACTCTAAAGGTACCCATTAACACAAACGAATGTCGATTATGGATTCTTATGTAATTACTAAAGCAATTCCACACAAGAACATCCCATAAGCAATGTTTGTTTGTTTGTTTTCCTAATAACTGAAGCATGCACAAAAAGTTTTAACATGAATATTTCAAATTAGCCCATAAAGTGGATTTTGGATCGTGACCGTGGACCAAAGAGCTCTTCTCTCAAACAGGAAGAATCTCCTAGCTATTCTTAGTCAAAAGAAGCCGCTCTCTCTACTCCTAGGCTTATTCTGAGTGCAGACTTACTAATTTCCCCTCTTTCCCACTCTCCTGCACAAGGATCCTCAACTTCTCCAACATTTGAAAACAAACATACAAACTCATCTCTCGCTGGAAGTCGTCTTCTGGATCAACAGCTTTCTGGTCCTTGTTCTGAGGTGCTGGCGCCTCAGATCCACCGATCTCCGGTACCGGACCCAGTGTCACATCGAGCCTTTCAACCCATTCCAGATCCCGCTTGAATTCTGCCAAACATTGCTTCAGGCCATTCTAGGAAATCCAGACACTGAGCTCACAAGAAGGGAACTCTGAGTTTGTCTTTCCCAAGCACAGGCTGTTAGGCGAAGGGACAAAGTGCTAATCCCCAATACCCAGACAGGTAATTGACCCTCTTGGCGAGGCGCAGGGTGCATCTTTCCTGGGACAAGAATCGGTCTCCCAAGCCCAACAGCGCCTGAAGCGCATCCCATGTCCGAGTACCCCCGACCCTGTGCCCACGCTCACCACGTCGTTCACGGCCTTCTTCGGCCCCTCTAGCACGACATTGAGGCCTGGCTTCAGAAGCCCTCGGGAAAACGCATCCTGCAACTGCAGGACACAATCACGGTCACTCCCAGGGGTGTAAGGCCCCCTCTCCCACGCCCAGCCCCACGAGCTCGGCTGACACCTACCTCTCTGTCTGTGACAAGGGATTCATCGGATTCCGACTCCGAATCCGAGAGCGGGGGAGTGTCCATCTCGCCGCACGCACGTCCCACACCTACAGGAAGAAACGGGGTATCCCGAGACCCAAGCGGCTAGCAGAGGGCGGCCCTGGCCGCTGCTGCCTGCCTTCAGCCCCCTACTCCCACGCCGTGGCTCCACGTGCCACCGAATCGCTCCAGCGCCAGCAACTCACAGCTACTGCTCAACTTTTGATTGGGACTTCCGCTTCCGGCGGCAAACCATACTTCCGGTTTGTCGTTGCTATAGGAACCGCTACGGCGTTTGAAAGTGTCCGGGTTGCTTAGGATCCCTACAGGTAGCGCCTCTGGATACATGCGTGGTCTGCTGACCCAGAGAGAAACGAAAGGTGGGAGGGGGTACCTGGGGGTCGCCAGAAGGAGCTGGTAGCAGTGAGGGTACAAAGGAAAAGGCAGAAAAAGGAGCCGCGGGGGTGGGGTGGCGCGGAGGAGGACCCCGGGGGAGGGGAAAGGGGAGGGACAAGGGGAGGGGAAAGGGGAGGGACAAGGGGAGGAGAAAGGGGAGAGACAAGGGGAGGAGCAAAGGGCGGGGAGGGCGAGTCCGGGCCGGGGGCGGGGTCGGAGCGGGGCGGTGCTCTCCACTCTGAAGCGCTGCCTTGGTCTTCAGCAGAACTGTTTGGCGGGAGATCATGTCAGCCGTGGTAGCTCAGACGCTGCATGTTTTTGGTCTTCGATCCCACGTGGCCAACAATATCTTCTACTTCGATGAACAGATCATTATATTTCCTTCAGGAAATCACTGTGTGAAGTACAATGTGGATCAGAAATGGCAAAAATTCATTCCAGGTAAAACTTTTTCCATCCTGACATATACAGGAATGGTATGTGCCACATATAACCCCATAATCCCAGCATGATGATTGGAAAGAAAGATTTTGGCCAATTTGAATATATATGCAGTATTATAAATGTAGAGGAAATAAATGGCGACTTGTATTATGAAACTAGATTAATCAGTCACGCATATGTAGTTAAAATCACATATAAAATGTTAATTTAAAAGTACTTTTTTCACTGTAATTTCATGAAAATATGTTAAGAACCCCTCTTTTGGTGTCTTCAATATCACTGCCTTTGTCATCACCAGAGCCACTTTTTGAGTTGTCTAACAGTTTTCCTGAGCACACCACCTTCATTATATCACCGTTTGAATCCAAGTATGATGAAGACACTGTAAACTTTATCCCAAGTCGCAAATAACCATTTGTATAGCATTACAGCCCTTATTTTTGTTCACAGTGGTCCTGTTAATGATATTCATTATTTCAACAACCGAATCCATTTTCCCATTCTTTGTTGCATTGACACCTTTTATTGTGACATATACATACAAAAGAATGTACCCTACATATATGTCATATTTAAAGAATTACAATAGAATGTAGATCTGTGAACCCAGCCACCCAGCATAGGAAACAGAATATTACCAGTTCTAGTGCTTCTCCCTGTATTCTGTGTCTTGCTGCATCAGTTCAATGTCATGCTTTTGAGATTCACACATCTCGATACATATAGCCAAGTTCATTTTATTGCTATGTAGTGTTCCATCATATGAATATAATGTCTCAAATATATGTATTCACTCTAATATTGAGGGACATTTGGGAAATAACAATCATTTGCTATTACAAACTATACTACTATAAACATTCTTGCATGCATATACATTCATCTATTTGTGCAGATTCTCTAGGGCACACAGCCAGGACTAAAATTACTGAGCAATATGATAGTACCAATTTACACTCCCACTAGAAGTGCATAAGAGTTCTTATTCCTCAGCAACCCTGCCAACCCTTGGTATTGTCCAACTTCGTAATTTTTTGCTAACCCAATGGTTGAGAAAAGGAATTGTGGTTTTCGTTTGCATTTTGCTATCATTAATGATGATGAGTATCTGTTTATGGGCTATTCCTATTTAGTCGTATGTTAAATGCCTTGTTCAAGTCTTTTACTTGTTTTTTACAGTTTGTTGTGCAGGATATTTTTGGGCAATTTTATTGATTTACATGCACAATTTATATATTCTGTATATCAATAATTTGTCAGATATATATATATGTCTTGCAAATAATTTCTTTCAGTTTGGGGCATTTTTCTCCCATCTTACAAGTATCTTTTGATGGACAAAAATTATTAGTTTTAATAAAGTCAAATTTATCAACCACATAATATTCTGTTGGAATAAGCTGTATTAAATACAGTTGACTTTAATTTATTGATGTTTATTTCCAGCATATTTGCTAAATTATTATTAATTCTAATGATTTGTCTATAGATTATGCAGAGACTTCTACATAGACTATCATGTTATCTACAAATAACGATGACTTTCTTCCTTTTTCTTGTGTTACCTGTGCTGGTAAGCACCTCCAGACAGTGTTGATTAGGGGCAATAAAAATGGACATCTGGCCAGGTGTGGTGGCTCATGCCTGTAATTCCAGCACTTTGGGAGGCCAAGGTGGGCAGATCACGAGGTCAAGAGATCAAGACCATCCTCGCCAACATAGTGAAACCCCGTCTCTACTAAAAATACAAAAATCAGCTGGGCGTGGTGGCACGTGCCTGTAGTCCCAGCTACTCGGGAGGCTGAAGCAGGAGAATTGCTTGAACCCGGGAGGCAGAGGTTGTGGTGAGCCAAGATCGCACCACTGCACTCCAGCCTGGGAAACCAAGCCAGACCCTGTCTCAAAAACAAAAATAAAAAAGATCATATGACTTTCCAATATAAATTAAATTATGGTTTTCTACAGACAACATTAATTTATATTTGCTCTCATACTTACCAAACTTTTTCCCACCATTACTCTTTACAAATCAGATATTCCAGCTGGGATCATTTTCCTTCTGCATTTACTGATAATGTATTAATAAATTCTCCCAGTTTTTGTCTGAAAATGACTTTATTTTATCCTCATTTCTGAAAGATAGTTTCAACAGGTGTGAAATTTTTATCAGCATATTATAGATCATATTCCATTGTGTTTTTTTGGCTTCTCTTTTGTTGCTGTGGTTAAGAAATTAGCTATCAGCATCGTCTTTCTGTAGATGATCTTTTTTTCTGGATGTTTAATATCTTCTCTGTCTATGGTGTGTGTGTGTATGTATCTATACACATACACCATATACATATATACGTATAAAATACACACCATATATACACACACCATATACTATATGTACATGTATATATACATAGTATATATACATACATATAGATACAGACACACACATCAGTATAGTTTTTATTTTCATTTTTTATCCTCCTAGGGATTATTTGAGATTCCTGGATCTAAGGACAGGTATCTTTTTTGTTCTGTTATCTCCTTCTGGAACTCCAAACCATCTCAACTCCATCCTTCCAGTTTTTTATTTTATTTTATTTTATTTATTTATTTTTTAAGAAACCAGGTCTCACTCTGTTGCCCAGGCTGGAGTGCACTGGCACAATCATAGCTCACAGCAGTCTCAAACTCCTGGGCTCAAGCCATCCTCCCCACCTTAACCTCCTGAATAGCTGGGAATACAGGCATGCACCACCTTGACCAGCTAATTGTTTTTATGGAGATGGGGTCTGGCTATGTTGCTGAGGCTGGTCTTGAACTCCTGAACTCAACTCATCCTCCCACCTCAGCCTCCCAAGTAGCTGGGATTACAGGTGCAAGCCACCACACCTGACGTTCATGTTTTTGGGTTTTTTTTTTTTTGAACTCTTATTTGGATTTTTTATACCTTACTCTCTCTGTGTTGCATTCTAGATAATTACTTTAGATGTATCTCGTAGTTCATTGCTTCTCTTTTCTGCTGCATCTAACTTAATGTTTAATGTATCCATTGAGATTTTACTTTCAGTTATTGTGCTCATATTCTTACACTTCTTACTGTATCACTTCTCTTCTGCTCCTAACTCCATCTTATATCACCAGGGGCCTTGTACACATGTGGGTGGATCCTTGCAGCCCATATGTTCAAATTCTACCCATATATTCTATAAGCAACCACCCTGTGCCCATCCTTCAGGCCCAGGTTGAGTAGAGACAGCCTGGGAAGAAACCCCCAATGTTGGTCTTGTCAGCAGGCTCAAGACTATCTGAGCAGGGAACTCCAGAGTCCTGGGTACCTGCAACGTGATCTAGAAGAGGCAGGACAAACTCCAGGCAGCCACTGTATCCCACTTAATGGTAAGGGGTACAGCCAGAGAAAGACTCCGGGATGCTCTAAAATTTGAGGCCCAAGGGAGGATCTCCACTGACCAAGTCTAAGGGTATTACCGGTGAAGGGAAAAATATAAAGGTCATGACATTGGGAGACCTGGCTTTGATCTGGCTCCCCATTTTATAGGCTCACAGAGCCTCAGTCTCCTCATCTGTAAGATGCAGATGATGCTCAGCTTGTTCAGCTCAGAGTCATGATGAGGCTCAACATATTCATTTGTTCACTCAACAAAAATGTATTAAGTACCCCCTGTGTTCCAGGCACAAAATAGACACGCACATATGCACATAAAATGCTGTCCTCACAGTGCTTCCATTCTAAGAGGGGAGAGTGACAAACAAAATAAAAAGAAGTACAGTCTACATGCTAGATAGTGATAGATGCTAATAAGAACAAACAAAGCATGGAAAGTGAAGCCGTTGGGGGAGTAAGAAGTTGTAGATAGGGAGGCTGGGGAGGGCTCACTGAGCAGTGATTTTTGAGTGAAGACTGAAGGAAAGGAAGGAGCTGGCTGTGCTGATGTGGGAGGGCAGGGGGAGTAGCCGAGAGACTAGCAAAGGCTCAGAGTTAGGAGGGTGCTTATTGTGTTGGAGGAATAGCTGGGAGGCCAGTGTGGCTGGAGTGGTAAGAACCGGGGGGTGAGGAGCAAGAGGGGAGGCAAAGAAAGAATGGGGAGCAACACCACAGAGGGGCTTGCAGTTCATGAGCTCTTACTCAGAGTCAAATGAGAAGCCATAAAGGGGTGCGTTCTGAGTGGCAACATGATCTGTGTTTCCTCAGGTTCATTCTGGCTGCTGTACAGAGGACAGATTTAAGGAGGAGAAAGAAAGGAAGCAGGGAGAACAGCTGAGGGATGATTGCTGTAATTCAGGTGAGAGATAATGGCACTTGGAGCAGGTAGAGGCAGGCGACAGGGTGGTGTGAAGAGATCAATAATGGATATGCTTTGACAGATTTCTTCATAGACACCATGTGGGGTGGAAGCAGGAAGAAGCAAGGTTTTGGGCCTGAGCATGGAAAGCATGGAGTTGCTGTTGATTGTGATAGAAAGGGCTAAAGAAGGAGCAGGTTGGTTTTGGACCTGTTAAGATTGATGTGCCTGCTAGATATTTTCATGGAGATGCTCAGTAAGCAGGTTGATTTCAGGTCTGGATTTAAGGGAGGGAAGTCCAGGCTAGGAAAGGAATTTGAGGGTCATCAGCCTAGAGGTGAAATGTAAAGCCCTTAGAGTAGATGAGACTTCCCTAGGGCAGTGGTCCCCAACCTTTCTGGCATCGGGGTAGGTTTCATGAAAAACAGTTTTTCCATGGACAGGATGGAGAGGGTATGGGGGATGGTTTCAGGATGAAACTGTTCTGCCCCAGATCATCAGGCATTAGTTAAGATTCTCACAGAGAGCACACAATCTAGATCCCTCGCATGCACAGTTCACAACAGGGTTTGTGCTGCTATGAGAATCTAATGCCGCCACTGATCTGAGCTCAGGCGGTAATGCTTGCTCACCTCCTGCTGTGTAGCCCAGCACCGTGGGTTGGGGACCCCTGCCCTAGGGCATGAATATATTTACAAAAGAGAAGCAGCTGAAAGAGTGAGCTCTGAGCACTCCTGCATTTAGTGCTGGGGAAATGGGGAAGAATCAGCAAAAGAGGCTTTGGAGGAGTGGCCAAAAAGATCACAGGATATCTATGTGAGAGGTGAAGGATTCCCTATTTAATAAATGGTGCTGGGAAAACTGGCTAGCCATATGTAGAAAGCTGAAACCGGATCCCTTCCTTACACCTTATACAAAAATTAATTCAAGATGGATTAAAGACTTAAGTGTTAGACCTGAAACCATAAAAACCCTAGAAGAAAACCTAGGCAATACCATTCAGGATATAGGCATGGGCAAGGACTTCATGTCTGAAACACCAAAAGCAATGGCGACAAAAGCCAAAATTGACAAATGGGATCTAATTAAACTAAAGAGCTTCTGCACAGCAAAAGAAACTACCATTAGAGTGAACAGGCAACCTACAGAATGGGAGAAAATTTTTGCAATCTACTCATCTGACAAAGGGCTAATATCCAGAATCTACAAAGAACTTAAACAAATTTACAAGAAAAAAACAACCCCATCAAAAAGTGGGCAAAGGATATGAACAGACACTTCTCAAAAGAAGACATTTATGCAGCCAACCGACACATGAAAAAATGCTCATCATTACTGGCCATCAGAGAAATGCAAATCAAAACCACAATGAGATACCATCTCACACCAGTTAGAATGGCGATCATTAAAAAGTCAGGAAACAACAGGTACTGGAGAGAATGTAGAGAAATAAGAACACTTTTACATTGTTGGTGGGACTGTAAACTAGTTCAAGCATTGTGGAAGACAGTGTGGTGATTCCTCAGGGATCTAGAACTAGAAATACCATTTGACCCAGCCATGCCATTACATGGTATATACCCAAAGGATTATAAATCATGCTGCTATAAAGACACATGCACACGTATGTTTATTGTGGCACTGTTCACAATAGCAAAGACTTGGAACCAACCCAAATGTCCATCAACGATAGACTGGATTAAGAAAATGTGGCACATATACACCATGGAATACTATGCAGCCATAAAAAAGGATGAGTTCATGCCCTTTATAGGGATACAGATGAAGCTGGAAACCATCATTCTGAGCAAACTGTCGCAAGGACAAAAAACCAAACACCGCATGTTCTCACTCATAGGTGAGAATTGAACAATGAGAACACTTGGACACAGGAAAGGGAACATCACACACCGGGGCCTGTTGTGGGGTGCGGGGAGGGGGAGGGATAGCATTAGGAGATATACCTAATGTAAATGACTAGTTAATGGGTGCAGCACACCAACATGGCACATGTATACATATGTAACAAACCTGTACATTGTGCACATGTACCCTAGAACTTAAAGTATAATAATAATAATAAAAGGATATCTATGTGAGAGGCGAAAATGTTTTAAGGAGGAGAGGCGAGGCATCAGCTGGGTCGAAACAATGCAAAAGCATTTTACAAACTCTAAAACCAGTCAACATATATCAAGAACATACTAAGTTCCAGACACTGGTGATTGAATGAATGAATGAATGAGCAAGAATGGCCTCTGCCCTCCAGGAGCTCTCAGTATTGTAGTGGAGGCAGGTTGTGTAATTCAAATGAGTAGGACTGTGCAAATGAGCTGGACAGATGCTATACCAGGTAGGAACCTGGCACAAAAGCACAATAGGAGGGAGTGAGCAGTGTTCCTTTGCCTCATCTAGGCTATTACATACTCCTAGTTTTAACTTTCCCTTATGCTTTTTACCTCAAATCTGTATTTTCAGCCTCAACCCCTCCCGCCAGCTTTAGAACCATGTCCACCTGCTGGACCTCCGTACCCAACTGTTCCACAGAGTGTACCTCACACACAATATATCTGAGATTGAGTTTATCTTTTCCTTTCTTCTCCCTCTCTTTGGGAAATGCAATCAGGGTCACATTATTGTTTTCGAGGGCTCTAGGTACTTTTGATTTCATGGCCCCCTCCTTCATTAAAAAATGTTTAAAAATATATTTATAGGCCAGGCGTGGTGGCTCATGCCTGTAATCCCAACACTCTGGGAGGCCGAGGTGGGCGGATCACCTGAAGTTGGGAGTTCGAGACCAGCCTGACCAACATGGAGAAACCCTGTCTCTACTAAAAATACAAAATTAGCCAGGCATGGTGGCACATGCCTGTAATCCCTGCTACTCGGGAGGCTGAGGCAGGAGAATCACCTGAACCTGGGAGGTGGTGGTTGTGGTGAGCCGAGATTGAGCCATTGCACTCCAGCCTGGGCGACAAGAGTGAAACTCTATCTCAAAAAATATATATATTTTATATATATATATATAAAATATATATACACACATATATTATTTAAAAATATATGCAGTAATATACTTTATGACTGTATTGGTATAAAGAGGAATATAATCTAGGCTGGATTCACCATTATATATTCATGTTTTTTCTGATTTTCAAATAAATACTAAAACATTTTCCTAGGTCCTCAAAAGTATTGTGGGTCCTGGGCACTGTGTCTAGTGGATAAGTGGATGGTGGATACAGGCCCAGGGCAGGGAGCGTGAGTGAGGCAAGGGAGGATGAGCTAGAGAGTGATGTGACGGGTCCCCATGTGTTGGGCCCTCATGCTGCTGCTTCACAACACGCCAAGGAGAGATGCAGCAAGTTGCTCAGCAGGCGTGCATGCCCAGCCCATGGGAATTCTCTGGAAGGGATGCAGAGAGTAGCTGTGGCTCAGAGAAGATCCCAGGTTCTAGGTCACTGAGAGCCTTGCACAAAAGTTTGGACTTCACCTGGGAGGCTGCTGAAAAATTTTAGGAAGGGTGAGTGCAAGGGAGGCTGAGGAATCCAGTAGTTGGCATCCCAACCTCTGGAGTAGAGGAGGAGTGATGAGCTAGCCACTCAGGGAATAAAGACCTCTATGGTCTGACCCTATTCCACCCCTTTAGGCCCATCTTTGGTCACCCCATCTCACATGCAATGCTCCAGCAACACCCACTGCTTGCAGTTCCCGCACTATGCTGTACCCTTTGTCACATCCACCCCGTGGCTCAAGCTCTTCCTGCTATCTACCACCCAGTCCCCATCTCACCTCACCCCCTGCCCTCCTTCAGGAAGGTTTCCCTGACTTCTCCTCCCACCTCATCCTCCAAGGTGCCTGCCCTAGTCATTTTCTTTTGGGGACAGTCTCGCTCTGTCTCCCGGGCTGGAGTACAGTGGCATGATCTCAGCTCACTGCAATCTCCACCTCCCAGGTTCAAGTGATTCTCCTGCCTCAGCCTCCCGAGTAGCTGGGATTACAGGTGCCTGCCACCACACCCGGCTAATTTTTTTATTTTTAGTAGAGATGGGGTTTCACCATGTTGGCCAGGCTGGTCTTGAACTCCCCATTTCAAGTCATCTGCCCACCTCGGCCCCCTGAAGTGCCGGGATTACAGGCGTGAGCCACCACACCTGGCCCCTAGTCATTTTCATAATACCCAAACACAGCTATGCCAAGGCCGCCTTTCTTCTTTGTGTCCACCACTGTCCACTCCAGTGCCCACCACAGTGCCTGGTTCCTGTTGAACCCTGGTGAAAGTGTGATCTACCCTGATTATTTCCTTTTTCCTCTGTTTGCAGGCTCAGAGAAGAGTCAGGGCATGTTGGCCTTGTCCATCAGTCCCAATCGGCGGTACCTCGCTATCTCTGAGACTGTGCAAGAAAAACCTGCCATCACCATTTATGAATTGTCATCCATCCCTTGCCGGAAGCGCAAAGTTCTTAATAATTTTGACTTCCAAGTTCAGAAATTTATTAGCATGGCTTTTTCTCCAGACTCCAAATACCTATTGGCTCAGACGTCACCTCCAGAGTCAAATCTTGTCTACTGGCTGTGGGAAAAACAGAAAGTAATGGCCATTGTTAGAATCGACACTCAGAACAACCCTGTCTACCAGGTACCTAGTAGTGTGACAAGTATCGTGAAAATTATAAAAAATAGAACTACTTTTTATTGAATGTTTTCTGTGTACCACAGTTCTAATTTCCTCCATGCATTTTAAAATTTATTCTTACAACAACCGTATAAGGTATGCACAATCATTATCCCCATTTTACAGATGAGAGAACTGAGGATCCAAGAGGTTAAGTAACTCACTCAAGATCACAGAGGTAGTGAATAGCAGAGCTAGGAGTTCCCCAACTCCAGCTCCTGTCTTCTCTACTCTGGCCCAGAACTGCTTTCTGGTCACAGGTTTGGCCCAGAAGTGGATTAATAAAACTTGCTTTCTCTCCCTGGTCCTAGCCTCTTTTTCCAGCAGCATTGCCGGGCAGTAGGAAGATTTCCGAAATGTGATGTAACATGGTAGGTCTTTAGGAAGCTGTTGCTGAAGTTGCAGTTATGTAAGGAACAGAACCTTCTATTGTGTCTCGAGGGCAAAAGGAAGAAGACCCCTCAGGAACCTGATTGATGGCTTAGGCAGGGGGTCCCAAGGAGGTTTGATCTTGGTTCACTCACCCTAGTCTAGGATCTAGCACTCAATTCCACAAGTTCAACGACTCAGTTGTGTTCATGTTCAGAGATTCTAGCTAATCAGTGTCTCTGGCATAGACTCAATTATTCAACTCACAAGATACTGATGTGTAAACCAGCATATCACAACCAGAATGCTCACATCATTTATCCAGTGTATTCCCTTCCTAGTAATAGAGAAGTTGAGAGGTGAAATTATAATAGTAATCAGAAGGCTGCTGGGTGATTATTCCAGAATCAGACCAAAGGCAGGTAGAACCAGAAGGGTATTTCAACCAGGCCACAGTGAGGCCTGATGAAGGACCTCCTGCTCTGACTAGTAGATTCAGCAACCATTTATTGGATGCCCATGATGAATCCAGCACTGGGAAAACAGATGAAAAAGTCACAGCCCCTCAAGTTGCTCACTATATAGTCAGGACAGCAGGTTGACTGCCTATTACTGTACAGGTAGTCCCCAACTTACTATGGTTCAACTTAAAATATTCGTCTTTACAATGGTACAAGAGTGATATGCACTCAGGAGAAAGAGACCAAGTAATACGCTTTCATGATGCAGGGCAGCAGCTGCAGCCACAGCCCCCGGTCAGCCGCTCAATCACTAGGGTAACAACCAAGATACTCTACAGTGTGGTGCTGTGTGGCCACATGGCTTTGCCCATTTTCAACTTATGGTGTTTTCACCTTATGATGGGTTTATCAGGACATGATCCCATTGTAAGTAGAGGAGCAGGTGTACATTGGGATAAGAGCTGTGATTGAAGGATGTTCAGTTGGTAGGAGACCACATAGCATCCCCTGACATGTGGTTTCTTTCCTCTTGGACAGGGCTATGTAAACCTATCAGACCCTCTTTTTCTGTGTTTCCAGCTGAGCTTTATTCCATTTTGTTGGCACTGGGTGTGGCTCTTGTCAAAAGCTGTTCATTCTGCTCTTTGGCCTTTGTAGATTTCCTAGTTTGACTCCTAGTTGGACTCATATCCCTATAAATATAATGGATTATAGATGTGTGCCCTTATCAAATGCAGCATAAAGTTACATGATTTTGTGATGTTTTGGAGATATTCTGAGCAGCCTGAAATAAATATTAATTTGTAAAATGGGAAATAATTCCATCAAGAATAGTTTCATAAATTTTTTTCTTCAATTCTCTCACATTTTACAGGTGAGCTTCAGTCCACAGGATAACACTCAGGTGTGTGTCACTGGAAATGGGATGTTTAAGCTTCTCCGTTTTGCTGAGGGAACCCTGAAGCAAACCAGCTTTCAGAGGGGAGAACCCCAAAACTATCTAGCTCACACCTGGGTGGCTGATGACAAGATTGTCGTTGGCACTGACACAGGCAAACTCTTCCTCTTTGAATCTGGAGATCAGCGTTGGGAGACCAGCATAATGGTCAAGGAACCTACCAATGGCTCAAAGAGCCTGGATGTCATTCAGGAATCAGAGAGGTAATGGTGCTTCCTGGGCTGGTGCTCCCACATTCATTGTACTGACAGCATTATGCAGAAGACAGCACTCTTTAGAAACCACTCATAACCCCTCTACCGTAAAAGTCAACTATGCCCATTTTCCCTCTTCCTCTCTAGTTTTCGTCTATATTTAAGCACAGATTTAACAGTTATAACCATAGACTAAATACAATTCTTTTTATTTTTTATACCTAACCTCATTTTATAAACATTATAGTATTACTGGTCTTCAAAACTATAGTTTTTAGAAAATATATTTTCCAGTGGCTAATTTAATGAATTGATTCATGTCCACCAAGCCCTTGTAGTATGCAAAAGGCATCTCTTGCTAGATGCTGGGGACACAAGTCCTCAAGGAACTTATAATTCAGCAGGAGGCGACAGACCAACAAGTGCAAGGAAATGTTTTAGGTAAATCTGACAGAGGATAGGGGTAAAGTGCAATCTCAGGAAGGAGTGGTTATTGACCATTATAATAGAGATGCCACGTTATCTCTATGACAACCAGTAAAAATCATATCTCCTGTGTATTGGAATGTACCGTTACATGCACCAGACACTGCTTTAAACATTTTATAAATATTCCCAATTTGATTCTTACCCTGTATAGTTCATACTATTATCGTGCCCATTTTGTAGACAAGGAAACTGAGGATCAAAGAGGTAAGTGAACTACCCAAGATCATTCCGCTGATAAGTGGCAGGCTCAGGATTCAAACCCAGATCTCTCTGATGCCAGAGCCTGGGCCCTCAACCCCAATGACATCCTGTAGATTCTTCTTCCTCAGTAACCTTCAATCCACCCATTTTCACTACCATCCCCCCATGCCAATGGCATATCCTTTTTTTTTTTTTTTTTTTTTTTTTTTTTGTGAGTATGTAGGAGCTTCCTGAAAAGTCTCTATAACCTTCTCCAGGAGCTGTGTTCACAGTCCTTCAGCTCTGGGGTCCAGGCCTCCCAGAACAAAGCCCAGACTTCTTGGTTTGGCCCAAGCATACCTGCGACTGTTTTCCTCTACAACTCTCGCCTCTGTCTACTCCACACGCCCCAAGCACTCTCTTGCTTCTAGGCTTGGCCATGTGCAGTTTGTGTACGGTTCCCAAGCCAAAGGGTAGTATTTGACTGTGGAAAAGGGGATCATTGGGTGGTTTCTGTCACACCCAGTGACAGTCTTCTTTCTCCTCCCCAGCAGAATTCATCTCCTCAAGATTGTCTCTATAAATTATGTATGCTGTTTTTTTGTTTCCAGCCTGATTGAATTTCCACCAGTCAGTTCTCCACTCCCTTCCTATGAACAGATGGTGGCGGCCAGTAGCCATAGCCAGATGTCCATGCCCCAGGTGTTTGCCATTGCAGCCTATTCAAAGGGATTTGCCTGTTCTGCTGGGCCAGGGAGAGTTCTGCTGTTTGAGAAGATGGAAGAAAAGGATTTTTACCGTGAGAGCAGAGAAATCAGGGTAAGGCGGGAAGAAAAAAAAGAAGTAAAATGGGGGTCCTATTGGCATTTGTTCCCCAGCAGCAGTTCTCTGAGAAGGCATCTGATGGGGAGGGATAGGGCAGGATTGCTGAGCAGAAATGGTGAAATGGTGACTCGAGATGTCTGTCCTGAGAGAGATTTTAGGATGAGGTGAACAGAATTAGAGTTTAAAAATAGGAAAATCGACCAGCATATTGGCTTATGCCTGTAATCCCAGCACTTTGGGAGGCCAAGGTGGGTGGGTCTCTTGAACTCAGGAGTTCTAGACCAGCCTGGGCAACATGGTGAAACCCCATCTCTACAAAAAAAAAAAAAAAAAAATTATGAGGTCAGGAGTTTGAGACCAGCCTGGCCAACATGGTGAAACCCCGTCTGTACTAAAAATACAAAAATTAGCCAAGCGTGGCAGTGTGTGCCTGTAGTCCCAGCTACTTGAGAGGCTGAGGCAGGAGAATAGCTTGAACCCAGGAAGCAGAGGTTGCAGTGAGCCAAGATCGCTCCACTGCACTCCAGCCTGGTCGACAGATTGAGACTCTGTCTCAAAAAAAGAAAAAAAAATACAAAATACAAAAAGTAGCCAGGTATGGTGGCACGTGTCTGTAATCCCAGCTAGAATTGCTTGAACCCGGGCAGCAGAGGTTGTAGAAAGCCAAGATCACACCACTGCACTCCAGCCTGGGTGACAGAGCAAGACTCTGTCTCAAAAAAAAAAAAAATTAGCCAGATGTGGTGGTGTGCACCTGTAGTCCCAGTTACTTGAGAGGCTGAGGTGAGAGGATGGCTTGAGCCTGGCAGGTGGAAGTTGCATTGAGCCAAGATCATGCCACTGTATTCCAGTCTGGGTGACAGAGCCAGACCCTCTCTCAAAAAAACAAAGAATAGGAGGATCCCAGGAAGCAGCCTGGTCTGGGAGTCTGTAAGCTAAAGTTATCCAAGAAAACTCTGAAAGCCTAGGCCGGGCGCAGTTGCTCACGCCTGTAATCCCAGCACTTTGGAAGGCCGAGGCGGGCGGATCATGAGGTCAGGAGATCGAGACCATCCTGGCTAACGCGGTGAAACCCTGTCTCTACTAAAAATACAAAAAATTAGCCAAGCGCGGTGGTGGGCGGCTGTTGTCCCAGCTACTCGGGAGGCTGAGGCAGGAGAATGGCGTGAACCCGGGAGGCGGAGCTTGCAGTGAGCTGAGATAGTGCCACTGCACTCTGGCCTGGGCAAAAGAGCGAGACTCCGTCTCAAAAAAAAAAAAAAAAAAAAAAAGAAAACTCTGAAAGCCTAAGGCCACAATGACAACGTGGGGACATTACTGATAGCTGTTTTGCATTTTGGGCAGATTCCTGTGGACCCGCAGAGCAATGATCCAAGTCAGTCTGACAAACAGGACGTTCTCTGCCTGTGCTTCAGCCCCTCAGAGGAAACTCTGGTTGCCAGCACCAGTAAGAACCAACTCTACAGCATCACCATGTCCCTGACAGAGATCAGCAAGGTGAGTCTTTCCAGCAATGGTCCTTCCAGACCAGGACCTATCTGCCTGCTGGGGGACTAGTCACCATGTGGGCAAATTTTAATCCAAATAAGTTAGCATAAACTCATGCATCCCCTTAATACAGAGCAAAACAAAATTCTAATTTTAAGATATTCACATAGAAGCATGCTGATAGACTCAGTGGGGCTGTGATTGCTACAGTAACTTTGGAGGACAGACGTATTGGCATTGTCCATCAAATTTAAATCTCACATATCCTTTTACCCAGAAATTGCATTTTAAGGCATTTAATCTATTGCTATATTTGCTCATGTACACAAATATGTATATATAAAAATGTTTCTTTTTCCTTTTTACTGTTTTGGAATAACAAAGAAAGCTAGTATAAATACACTGCAGACATTACAACAAAAAAGCACTATTAAAGATAGAGATCATATTGTACTTAAAATGGCTCAGTACCAATAAGATATTACAATTTTAAGTTTGCATGTACCTAATACCATAGATTCAAAATATATAAAGCAAATCTGGGCAGAACAAGGAAAATAGACCATCTACAATCATAGTAGAAGATTTAACATATCTTTCTCAGTAATGGTCCTTTTTTTAATAACAACTTAATTGAGTTATGATTCACATACAAATTGCCTATTCAAAGTATACAATTCAGTGGTCTTTAGTATATTCAAAAAGTTATGCAACCATTTATCATAGACAGCCTTAGGACATTTTTATCACCTCAAAAAAAAAAAAAGCGCATACCCTTTAGCTATTATTATTCCTCCATCCTCCCAATTATCACCCCTCCCCACCCCAGCCCTAGGCCACTACTTACCTACTTCATGTCTCTATATATAGATTTGCCTATTCTGGACATTTCATTCAAATGGAATCATAAAACGTGTGGACTTTTATGACTGGCTTCTTTGACTTAGCATAATGGGTTTTGTTGTTGTTTTGAGACAGGGTCTTGCTCTGTCACCCAGGTGGGAGTGCAGTGGTGTGATCATGGCTCACTGCAGCCTTGACCTCCTGGGCTCCAGCAATCTTCCCACCTCAGCTTCCCAAGTAGTTAGGACTACAGGTGCACGCCACCACACCCAGCTAGCTTTTGTATTTTTAGTAGAGACAGGGTTTTGCCATGTTTCCCAGGCTGGTCTTGAGTTCCTGAGCTCAAGCAGTCCACCCGCCTCATCCTCCCAAAGTGTTGGGATTACAAGTGTGAGCCGCCACACCTGGCCAGCATGTTTTCAATGTTCATCCATGTTGTAGCAGGTATCAGTACTTCATTCCTTTTTTATGGCCAAATAATATTTAATTATATGGATATACTATATTTTATTCATCAAATTTGTATATTTGGGTTTTTTCTACCTTTTGGCTTTTATGAATAATGCAACTAGTTTTTATGTGGATGGGTTTTCATTTCTCTTCCTAGAAGTGGAATTGCTGAGTCATATGGTAACTTCATGTTCAATTATTTGAGGAACTGCCATACTGTTTTCCAAAGTTGCTGGACCGTTTTATATTCCCATAAGCAGTATATGAGCATTCTGATTTCTCTATATTCTTGCCAAAACTTGTTATTATCTTTTTTATTATAGCCATCTTAGTGGGTAAGAAGTGGTATCTCATTGTGGTTTTGATTTGCATTTACCTGGTGATTAATGATGAACGTCTTTTCAAGAATTTCTAATTCTTCTTTGAAGAAATGTCTATTCAGATTTTTTGCCCATTTAAAAAATTGAGTCATATGTCTTTTTATTATTGAGTTGTAACAGTTATTTATAATTCTAGATATAAGTCCTTTATCAGATATGTGATTTGCAAATACTATGTCCCATTCTGTGGGTTGTCTTTTCACTTTTTTGATGTTGTCTTTTGATGAAGTTTTCAATTTTGATGAAATTGAATTTATCTATTTTTCTTTTGTTGGTTGTGCTTTCCATGTTATATTTAAGAAGCCAATGCCTGAGGCCATGAAGATTTACCTCTGTATTTCTTCTAAGAGTTTCATAGTGCTAGCTCTTACATCTAGGTCTTTAATCCGTTTTGAATTCATTTGAGTATATGGGATGGTATAGGGGTCCAACTTCATTCTTTGGCATGTAGATATCCAGTCGTCACAGCATCATTTGTTGAAAAGGCTAGTCTTTCTCCATTGAGTAGTCTTGGCATCTTGTTGGAAATCAGTTGACACATGGGTTTGTTTCAGGACTTCCAATTCTGTTCCATTGATCTGTCTATCTTTATGCCAGTACCACACTGTCTTGATTACTGCTGCTTTGTAGCAAACTTTAAAATTGGGAATTGTGAATCTTGCAAATGTAGTCTACTTTATCAAGATTGTTTTGGGTAGTCTGTGTCCCTTGCAATTCCATATGGATTTTACAGTCAGCTTTTCAATTTCTACAAGAAGCCATCTGGGATCCTCACCGGGATTGCATTGAATTTATAGATCAATGTGGGGAGTGTTGCCATCTTAACAATACTAAGCCTTCCAATTCTTGAGCATGAGATATTTTCCATTTATTTAGATTGTCTTTAATTTGTTTCAAGAACATTTTGTAATTTTCAGAGTATAACTTTTGCACTTCTTTTGTTAAATATATTCTGAAAAATTTTCTTCATGATGCTATTGTAAATTGAATTATTTTCCTAATTTCATTTTTGGATTGTTCATTCTAAGTGTATAGAAATACAATTAATTTTTGCATACTGATCTTGTCTCCTGCAACCTTGCCAAACTCATTTATTAGTTCCAGTAGTTTTTGTGTTAGGTTATTCTGGCATTGCTATAAACGAGTACCTGAGACTGAGTAATTTATAAAGAAAGGAAGTTTAATTGGCTCATGGTTCTGCAGGGTGTACAGGAAGCATGGTGCTGGCATCTGCTTCTGGTAAGGGTTCAGGAAGCTTACAATCATAGTGGAAGATGAAGGGGTAGTATGCACATCACATGGTGAGAGCAGGAGCAAGAGAGGGAGGTGAGAGATGCCACACACTGTTAAACAACCAGATCTCTCATGAACTCACTCATCACCAAGGGGATGTCACTAAACCATTCATAAACCATTCATGAGGGATATGCCCCCAATGATCCAAGCACCTCCCACCAGGTCCCACCTTCAACACTGGGGTTACATTTCAACATGAGATTTGGAGGAGACAAATATCCAAATTTTATCAGCGTTTTTAGTGAATTCCTTAGGATTTTCTATATATAAGATCATGACATCTGCAATAGAGGTAGTTTTAGTCTTCCTTTCCAATCTGTGAATGCCTGTTACTTATTTTCCTTGCCTAGTTGCCATGGCTAGAACCTCTAGTATCATG